>NC_000004.12:185891077-186194108 GCF_000001405.40 Homo sapiens | reverse complement strand
TCTCTCAGATGAAGCAGTTGTCAAAATTGCTATGAAGGGAGCTGGGTGAAATCACCAGTGTCAATCATCCTGCGTCATGCAAATATACTGCCTGCCCTGGTCTGGTCTGACAGAGGGGACAGGGAGGTCTCAATCTGTGGTTCTAAGGCAGCAGGTCCAACAGCTGGGAGTAGCTGGGGAAGGCAGACTTTGTCACAATGGACTGGAAAATGCTAGATTAGAGTTTAGAGGCCAGTTGGAAGCCAACTGCAATCTTCAAGGTGAAATGGCTGAGGCCAGCGTTTGGACATTAGCCGCAAAATGAAACGCAACACCTCTTGTATGTGAAAGACAAGATTCTTGGGAACAACGACTGTATCTTAGAATATTCTGATATCCCCAACTTTGTTGAGGTCAACACTGGGCACAAAGCAGGGCCTTACTAAATGCTTGATTGACAACTAAAGAACTTACTCTAACTGACTTCTAGACAGTGATCTAGAAACTTTGCATGCAATAAATTTAATCCTTAAAGTGACTCTGTAATATAGTCACTTTAACAAGTAAAGGAGAAAGAAAACCCTCTAAGTTAAAGAGTTTTAAATAATTTCTCAAACAACTTGGATATAGTGTTGGAAATTGAACAGTGGTTTTCCTGATGCCAAAATCCAGAATTTGTTGGTGGAATAAAAAGTCCCTTTGTAAAAGACAGTATTCGTCATTGTCTTCACTCTGAAAGTGACTACAAGGAGAATTACTTTAAATAGTCCAGTCAGCTCACAGGTTGTTTTGAAACAGGTCTTTATTCACTAGAGATTTTAATTACTGGAATCCCCAAAACAGTATGATGAGACTTCAGTATATTACTTTCCAGGGGTAGGGGATAGGGGAAAATCTATATTTTTGTACAGTTTATTTTTTAATACCATAAAGCCTTAGGACAAAAGGGGTGGTTAGCTCTGCTTTTAGAATTAACTGAGATGATTTTTACCAGTGTGATTTTCATATCTGTGTTGGATTACTTGTTACATCAGTCATGATGATATTTGGTTGGCAAAGAGTTCGCTTGATTTTTTTCTGTCAAAGTATTTTTAATATTTTGGTAAACACTCTTCCATGAGGCCTCATCTTGTGAAGTTGAAATTACAGCATTATTTTTATTAGAGAAAACAAGTGAAAATGAGAAAAAGTCCTTCAAGCTTTGGAGTTAGTTAATGCTCAGCCTGTAAAACGATTACTAACAAATAATCCCAGAGGAAACTGGGTTCTGGTCTGGGCCAATTTTAAAATATGCCATTTTGGGCAAATCTTCTCATTTCTGGGTACCTCAACGTAATCCCTGATGAAAATAAAACTCTGAGATCGAGTTCGCCCTCCCTGACAGGGAGTTGTAAATACCAGGTACTTTTGAGAGCTTTCTAACTTAACGTGATTTTTTTCCATCAATAAAATGTCCATCTCTGTTTTAAAACATGATTTTAATTAAAAAATTCACTCTTTAATAAACAAGGCGTTTGACACCCTCCAAAGAAGTCTGCCTGAAGGCCCTGCCGTCTCTTAATTGTTATTATGTAACATCCTTTAAAGGGCTAAAGTATGAAGGTCAAGCGGGAACTGAAGCAGCAGTCAAGTCTTGTGATGCCGGGAGGAAGCGTCCAGTGAATCTCTAGTCTCTTATTTTCCAAAGTGGCAGCGAGAGGAGGGCGGCTCTGGGCGTTAAGGTGTTGGCCAGTTTAAAACCGCTCTGTGCTCCCAGGGAGCTTCTGTTCCTAAGGCTTCCCAAGCCAAGGCAGGAGGAAACGGCAGGGCTTTGAGAGCTGAGCAGCGGTGAGGTGGGAAAAGACCGAGGGCAGGGGTTTGGAAATACCGCATCCTGTGCTACACACAAAGAAAATGCTCACTTTGGGATGGGGCACTAGCAGTGTCGGCGGGTGCCAAGGGGCAACGACTAGAACTGGGAGTGCATTCTCCACAGGGTGACAGGCTCCTCTCTCCTGCGGCCAGCGCCACAAGCAGCGGGTTCCTGGCTGATCGGAGGGTGGGAACGGGGCTGCGGACCCCGTTGCGCTCCAGGAGGAGCGCCGGCCCTTACCTCGCCCGTCCGGCTTCATCAGCAGCGCGTGGCCCACCAGTGGGTAGGCGCGGGCCACCGTGGGGATGGGCCGCATCTGCTGCCATTTCCGCGCGTAGCTCGCCACCCTCTGCAGCAGGCTCAGGACCAGACTGGCGCCGGCCAGGGAAAGGGCACTCGCCGCGCCCCACAGCAGCAGCTTCTGCCACACGAGCCCCAGCCAGAGCCCCGCCATCGCCCCGGCTGGCGGCCGCGGGGTGCACTCCGGGAAAGTGCGGGCCCGCGGGGGCGTGGTGCGAGGCGGTGCCGGCCGCACACCGCCCACTTCCCCGCGCGGACCTGGCGCGCTCCCCGCTGCGGGGTCGCCCGGTCCCCGGAACGACGTTTCCCGCCCGGGCGGCGGCCAGAGAGGGCGCCACGGGGCTGTTCCTGCGCCCGGCCCGGCCTACGCAGCACCGCGGCCTCCACGCCCCAGCCGAAAGCGAAAGACCGGAAAACGGTTTCCGGGCCCCAGGGCGTAGTGATTGCACTGGAGGCCCGGAGGCTGCGCCGGGAGGAGGCCGGCGACACTTCCGGCCGCCTCCGGATGCGGGGTCAGGGGCGTCGGAAAGGTCACCGCGGCAGCCCGGCGCGCCCCAGCGGGGCTGTTCTGAGGGTGCTGCGAGGTTGCTCTACGTGCGGGATTCCGCGGGCGGGCAGCCTGCTCTGGAGAGGAAAGGAAGGCGCATCCGGCTCGGAGCCCAGCTCTGCTGCGCATCGCTCGCTCCCTGCGCAACTTGCAGCCCCGGGAGGCGGGGCGCGTCCTGGCTCCCGCGGGGTCACATGGAGCAGCGGGCGCTGTAATCCAGGGAGGCTTTGGGGACACGTTAGGGAAGTCAGCTACCCGTGTGTGTCCGCTGGCCCACTGGGACACTGGGAGCTCAATGAGGTGGTTATGAGCCAGGTATTTTCCAAA
Source organism: Homo sapiens (assembly GCF_000001405.40). Lineage (NCBI taxonomy): Eukaryota > Metazoa > Chordata > Mammalia > Primates > Hominidae > Homo > Homo sapiens. The sequence continues at coordinate 186,191,103 of NC_000004.12, read as the reverse complement.
ATACGCACCAGGCACCAGACCGAGGAAGCCGGAGCCCCGGAGAGCACGCAGGGGCGGGTGGGAGAGGAAGGCGGGCGAGGCTGCTCAGCGGGTGCCGGGAGACCGCAGCCGCGGGGTACTCGCAGAAGAGCCAAGACCTGCCACCCAGCCCGGGAAGGGAGGGAAGGGCCGCGAGAGGGTGCCCCATTTCAGCCTGGGGAGACGCGTGTGCTGGCCGCCAGTCTCTCTTCCCGGCAGAGGGCCCCAGTGCTGACCCCAGCCCCTTTTCCACGCTCGATGCTTCTTACAAAGTGGCCGGGCGAGGAGTGTCGCTCCCCGAGAGGCCAGGCCCTTCCTAAACACTAAAGTGCCAGGAAGATGAAACTGAATGTCCTGGATGCCCGCTTTGCTTAATTACTAATTACGTTCGTTCACTCGAAGCCACTGCATAAGTTGGCCACAGCCACCTGCAGGGCCTCTTTAGTGCAGAGAAAAACATGCCTAAGGCTTTTCTCCATTTGAATTTGTTTTAAGTCATCTGCATGGGCTGACGTGAAATAGCAAGTGAACAAAACAAGTTGCAGAACGGAGTGTGTAAAGTAATGCCTTCTTTTGGAGAAAAGGTTTCTTTCTCTACGGCTCCACTAATGTCTGCAAGTAAAAATACTGATCAGCTCTATGGAGTGGGAATGAAGATGGGGAACTTACGCTTTTTATTTCATTCACGTCTACATTGTTTAATCACTTTAACACTTTAAAAAATAAATATGTTCACTTAGTATCTTTAAGCAAGTCTCATGGGCTTTAGTTTCCTCCTCTCTAAAGGGTTGAGGCTGAGCTATAATAAGGTTAATTACAGCTATAAAAGTAAACAATTTGTCTACATACTGGGGATTCTAAAATAGGGGGAGGAAGGAAGGGGAGTAATGGTTGAAAAACTGTGTATTGGGTACTGTGTTCCCTATTCAGGTGAGGGGATCAATAGAAACTCAAACCTCAGCGTCAGGCAAATTTAACAAACCTGCACATGTGCTCTTGAATCTAAAATTAGAAAGAAAAAGGGTTTGTCTGTATCAGTCTCTGCTAACCTCTGTGGATAAAACCAGGCGGGTAACATACAACCCCTCCCCTCCAGAAGGAGAGAAGGGAGATTGCTCTGGGCAGCAGTGAGTCTCGGCCTGGGCAGAAATGGTCAGAAATGCTGCAGAGCCAGGAGGGGTAAAATGAGCTCAGGGGGCAGTGAGGTGCCCCTGCCTGGAGCACAGGGTCCCACGCAGTGACAGGTGCAGGATGAGGTGGGTGGGTATGGAGCCAGCTTAAAGAGACCTGCACTGCCAGGCTTAGACGCTTTATCTTTATTTTGAAGGCAATCTGTGGGTAAAGAACAAAATAAAAGCCTTGTCCCTTTGTTCCCTTAGCCATCTTTCTTATGCTTTCTTTGTTACCAGATAGGGCCTTTCTCATACTACCCTGGAATACTGAAATTTCAGACTAAACCAGTCAGGTGGCTGGGAGTGCAAGAAATCCTTGGCAAGACCCTTCTCCCCGGAAAGCCTCCTGACAGCAGAGTACACAGTGTCACACCTTAGAATGTCCACCATGAAATGTAATGGTGCTCAGTGTAGCAGATGATTGCAAGGCCAGTGTGAAGGCAATCTACCCACAACATTTATAACTCTGCGGGTTGTCAGCTTCATGAGCTATGCAGCTGAGTAGGAAGGCATCTCCTGACTTTCACTCCTCAAGATCCATTCTCTATGATGCCCTTCCCACTTGAAAGAGCTTTCTTTAGCCAAGGTCTTTCTTTGATACTCTGTCCCCCTAAAAATCAGTGCTTTTGAAAGTCATGGCCAGAATAGTATAAACAACAGAAGGGTTTTATAAATGTTAATACTTTGATTTCGCAAATTTTCTGTCACTTGGAATGATTCTTAATACAAAACAATGTACATTATAAAAATAAATTCATAGCTCAGTATAGAACTACATTATCTGCAAACTCTACTTACACACATCAAATCATAAAGGGTAGCAGGAAGTTGTTATGAAATTTTGAATCACAAGTACAAGGATCAAATAAAGTATACAACACTCAAACGTCCAGTTTCATGAACAAACCATCACTTCCATGTAACCACAACCCAGATCATGCGATACAACGTGAAATCATACAGCATGCACTTTTTCGTATCTGGCTTCCTAAACTCAACCCTGAGTTTAGATGAATTTGAAAAACAAGTTAGATAACTTATACCAAGAAATATCAAGACTTATAACATTATTAATTAAAATCATGTAATTGGCACACAAATGGAAAACAGCAATAAAACAGATCATATGTATGTGTACAATCACCTGATTTATGACAATCTATATTGACTATATTGCCATGTGTAATATTTTCCCTTATTTTTCACAGCTGTTTATTATTCCATTGTTGGAATATATTATAATTTATTATTCATTTTACTGCCAATGGATGTTTCAGTTGTTTCCAGTTTTCCTATGTTGTGAAGAATTTTGTATGATCATTGTTGTAGATGTCTTTTGATACACATATGTACATATTTCTCCTTCCTGTAAATATGCCCAGGAATGGAATTGCTAGGTCATAAGGCATGCATACATTTAGACTTAGTACTTCTTGCCAGTTTTCCACATTTGTACCAATTTACACACTCATGAGCAATCTCTGATAGTTCCAGTGGCTCCATATACTTGCCAATGTTTGGTATTGTCTTTTTTTTTTTTTTTTTTTTGCAAAGCCATTCAGTTGGGTCTTGTACTAAAACTGCATTGAGTATTTATTTATTTATTTATTTATTTATTTATTTATTATGTGAGACAGGATCTCACTCTCTCACCCAGACTGTAGTGCAGTGGCATGATCTCAGCTCACTGCAGCCTCAACTTCCCAGGCTCAAGCAATCCTCCCGCTTCAGCCGTCTGAGTAGCTGGGACTACGGGGGCATGCCACCACACCAGGCTAATTTTTGTATTTTTAGTAGAGACAGGGTTTCGCCATGTTGCCTAGGCTGAGCGTTGAAAGTTTAGTATGAATTTTCCTAGTGACCTAGGATAGTCAGCATCATTTCAGAAGATTGTTGGCTATTTCAGAGAGCACCTATTAAATCATTTTCCGTGTTGAACGTTGTAGTTGTCTGGATTTTTAGTGATTTGTAGGAATTATAAATAATTAATGAGCAATTATTACATAATAAATTATATATGAATACAAATCCTTTGCCAGCTATGTATTGCCAAGTTTCTTCCTCTCTGTAGTTTGCCTTATCACCCTCTTAATGATGTTGTCATAGTTCACTTTGTGCTCCTATAACCAAATATCACAGACTGGTACGGTTCTGGAGGCTGGGAAGTCCGAGAAAGAGGAGTCACATTTGATGAGGGCCTTCTGCTGCATCATCCCATGGCAGAAGGTGAAAGGCACAAGAGTAAACGAGAGACAGCAAGAAGAAGGGGGCTGAATTCATCCTTTAATTAGGAACCCACTCCCACAATAGTAGCATTAATCCATTTGTGAGGGCAGAGCCCTCATGGCCTAAACACCTCTTAATGGTCCCACCTCTCACCACTGTTGCATTGGGGATTAGTTTCCAACACATGAACTTTGGGGCACACAGTCAAACCATCGCTGATGTATTTGAATGAATAAGAATGTTTTAAAGTTTAATGAAGTCCAGTTATTTATCTTTTTCATTATAGTTAATGTTTTATGCATCTTGTTTAGAAAATCTTTGCCTACCACAAGCTAAAACAGATATTCTCTCTTACATTAACCTTCTAAAAGCTTCATAATCTTCCCTTTCTAATTTAGATCCAAGAACTTGCATCTGTAATGTATTTGTGTATGTATGTGGTAGTGGAGTTTGACACCCTTCTAAATAAAAATATGAATATTCAATGGATTCAATACAATTTAATGAAAAGACCGTCTTTTAATCAATGCATGGAATGTCACCTTGTCATAAATCAGGGGATTGCACACATGCATATGATCTGTTCTGTTCTACTGCTATTTGTCCATTTGTGTGCCAATAACAGATAATTTTAATTAATAATTTTATAAGTCTTGATATTTCTTGGTATAAGTTATTTAACTTGTTTTTCAAATTCATCAAGACTATCTTGCTATTTTGGGTGCTTTGTATTTCCCTATAAATTTTAGAATAATATCAACACACACACACACACACACACACACACTCCCTGATGGTATTTTGTGATTGAATTAAATATAAAAATCAATTTGAAGAGAACTGACATCTTTATAATACTTGCACTGAGTCTTCCAATCCATGAACATGATATATCGCTTCATTTATTTGGGTCTTCGTTAATTTCTCCCAGAAATGTTTTCTAGACCTCTTTGACGAAGTCTTACCTACTATAATGGATTTTATGTGCCTATTTGGTTATGGGGCCAGGTTATGTGGTCAAACACCAATCTGGATATTGCTGTCAAGGTATTTTTAAGAAGTGGTTAACGTTTAAATCAGTAGACTTAGGGTAAAGCAGATTGCCCTCCAGAATGTGAGTGGGCCTTGTCCAACTAGTGAAGACCTCAAGAATAAAGACTGAGGTTTTGGCCAGGCTCAGTGGCTCACGCCTGTAATCCCAGCATTTTGGGAGGCCGAAGTGGGTGGATCAGCTGAGGTCAGGAGTTCGAGACTAGCCTGGCCAACATGGTGAAACCCCGTCTCTACTAAAAATGCAAAATTAGCCGAGTGTGGTGGCACATGCCTGTAATCCTAGCTACTTGGGAGGCTGAAGCAGGAGAATCATTTGAACCCAGGAGGCGGAGTTTGCAGTGAGCTGAGATTGCACCATTGCACACCAATCTGGGTGACAAGAGCAAAACTCCGTCTGAAAAAAGAAAAAAAAAAAGACTGAGGTTTTTTGAAGAATAAAGAATCTGGCCTCAAGATGGCAACACAGAGACCCTACCACAATTTCCAGCCTACTTGCCTTGTCCTGTAGATTTCAGACTCAATACTGAACTCTTACCTGAATTTCCAGCCTTCCAGCTTGCCTTACCGATTTCAAACTTGCCAGCTCCCTTTTCCCTTAAAAGAAATAACTCTCGAAAATCGAGGTTCCAAGATGGCCAAATAGGAACAGCTCCAATGTACAGCTCCCAGCATGAGGGACTCAGAAGACGGGTGATTTCTGCATTTCCAACTGAGCTTTGAAGAGAGTAGTGCTTCTCCCAGCACGGAGTTTGAGATCTGAGAACAGACAGACTGCCTCCTCAAGTGGGTCCCTGACCCCTGAGTAGCCTAACTGGGAGGCACCCCCCAGTAGGGGCTGACTGACACCTCATACAGCTGGGCACCCCTCTGATAGGAAGCTTCCAGAGGAATGATCAGGCAGCAACATTTGCCATTCTGCAATATCTGTGGTTCTGCAGCCTCCACTGGTGATACCCAGGCAAACAGGGTCTGGAGTGGACCTCCAGCAAACTCCAACAGACCTGGAGTTGAGGGTCCTGACTGTTAGAAGGAAAACTAACAAACAGAAAGGACATACACACCAAAACCCCATCTGTACGTCACCATCATCAAAGACCAAAGGTAGATAAAAACCACAAAGATGGGGAGAAACCAGAGCAGAAAAGCTGAAAATTCTAAAAATCAGAGTGCCTCATATCCTCCAAAGGAATGCAGCTCCTCACCAGCAATGGAACAAAGCTGGACGGAGAATGACTATGATGAGTTGAGAGGAGAAGGCTTCAGACGATCGGTAATGACAAACTTCTCGGAGCTAAAGGAGGATGTTGGAACCCATCGCAGAGAAGCTAAAAACCTTGAAAAAAGAGTAGACGAATGGCTAACTGGAATAAACAGCGTAGAGAAGAACTTAAATGACCTGATGGAGCTGAAAATCATGGCACGAGAACTATGTAATGCATGCACAAGCTTCAGTAGCCAATTCGATCAACTGGAAGAATAGGTATCAGTGATTGAAGAGTAAATGAATGAAATGAAGTGAGAAGAGAAGTCTAGAGAAAAAAGATTAAAAAGAAACGAACAAAGCCTCCAAGAAATATGGGACTATGTGAAAAGACCAAATCTATGTCTGATTGGTGTACCTGAAAGTGATGGGGAGAATGGAACCAAGTTGGAAAACACTCTTCAGGATATTATCCAGGAGAACTTCCCCAACCTAGCAAGGCAAGCCAACATTCAAATTCAGGAAACACAGAGAACGCCAAAAAGATACTCCTCGAGAAGAGCAACTCCAAGACACATAATTGTCAGAGTCACCAAAGTCAAAATGAAGGAAAAAATGTTCAGGGCAGCCAGAGAGAAAGGTCAGGTTACCCACAAAGGGAAGCCCATCAGACTAACAGCTGATCTCTCAGCAGAAACTCTACAAGCCAGAAGAGAGTGGGGGCCAATATTCAACATTCTTAAAGGACAGAATTTTCAACCCAGAATTTCATATCCAGCCAAACTAAGCTTCATAATTGAAGGAGAAATAAAATCCTTTACAGACAAGCAAATGCTGAGAGATTTTGTCACCACCAGGCCTGCCTTACAAGAGCTCCTGAAGGAAGCACCAAACATGGAAAAGAACAACTGGTACCAGCCACTGCAAAAACATGCCAAATTGTAAAGACCATCAGGCTAGGAAGAAACTGCATCAACTAACGAGCAAAATAACCAGCTAACATCATAATGACAGGATCAAATTCACACATAACAATATTAACCTTAAATGTAAATGGGCTAAATGTGCCGATTAAAAGACACAGACTGGCAAACTGGATAAAGAGTCAAGATCCATCAGTGTGCTGTATTCAGGAGACCCATCTCACGTGCAGAGACACATATAGGCTCAAAATAAAGGGATGGAGGAAGATCTACCAAGCAAATGGAAAACAAAAAAAAAAAGCAGGGGTTGCAATCCTAGTCTCTGATAAAACAGACTTTAAACCAACAAAGATCGGAAGAGACAAAGAAGGCCATTACATAATGGTAAAGGGATCAATTCAACAAGAAGAGCTAACTATCCTAAATATATATGCACTCAATACAGGAGCACTGAGATTCATAAAGCAAGTCCTTAGAGACTTATAAAGAGACTTAGACTCCCACACAATAATAATGGGAGACTTTAACACCCCACTGTCAACATTAGACAGATCCACGAGACAGAAAGTTAAGAAGGATATCCAGGAATTGAACTCAGCTCTGCACCAAACAGACCTAATAGACATCTACAGAACTCTACACCATAAATCAACAGAATATACATCCTTCTCAGCACCACATCGCACTTATTCCAAAATTGACCACATAGTTGGAAGTAAAGCACTCCCCAGCAAATGTAAAAGAACAGAAATTATAACGAACTGTCTCTCAGACCACAGTGCAATCAAACTAGAACTCAGGATTAAGAAACTCACTCAAAACCGCTCAACTACATGGAAACTGAACAGCCTGCTCTTGAATGACTACTGGGTACATAATGAAATGAAGGCAGAAATAAAGATGTTCTCTGAAACCGATGAGAACAAAGACACAACATACCAGAATCTCTGGGAAACATTTAAAGCAGTGTGTAGAGGGAAATTTATAGCACTAAATGCCCACAAGAGAAAGCAGGAAAGATCTAAAATTGATACCCTAACATCACAATTAAAAGAACTAGAGAAGCAAGAGCAAACACATTCAAAAGCTAGCAGAAGGCAAGAAATAACTAAGATCAGAGCAGAACCGAAGGAGATAGAGACACAAAAAACCCTTCAAAAAATCAATGAATCCAGGATGTGGTTTTTTGAAAAGATCAACAAAATTGATAGACCGCTAGCAAGACTAATAAAGAAGAAAACAGAGAAGAATCAAATAGACGCAATAAAAAATGATAAAGGGGATATCACCACCGATCCCACAGAAATACAAACTACCTCAGAGAATACTATAAACACTTCTATGCAAATAAACTAGAAAATCTAGAAGAAATGGATAAATTCCTGGACACATACACCCTCCCAAGACTAAGCTAGGAAGAAGTTGAATCCCTGAATAGACCAATAACAGGCTCTGAAATCGAGGCAATAATTAAGAGCCTACCAACCAAAAAAAGTCCAGGACCAGATGGATTCACAGCCGAATTCCACCAGAGGTACAAAGAGGAGCTGGTACCGTTCCTTCTGAAACTATTCCAATCAATAGAAAAAGAGGGAATCCTCCCTAACTCATTTTATGAGGCCAGCATCATCCTGATACCGAAGCCTGGCAGAGACACATACAAAAAAGAGAATTTTAGACCAATATCCCTGATGAATATCGATGCAAAAATCCTCAATAAAATACTGGCAAACCAAATCCAGCAGCACATCAAAAAGCTTATCCACCATGATCAAGTGGGCTTCACCCCTGGGATGCAAGGATGGTTCAACATATGCAAATCAATAAATGTAATCCAGCATATAAATAGAACCAAAGACAAAAACCACATGATTATCTCAATAGATGCAGAAAAGGCCTTTGACAAAATTCAACAACCCTTCATGCTAAAAACTCTCAATAAATTAGGTATTGATGGGACATATCTCAAAATAATAAGAACTATTTATGACAAGCCCACAGCCAATATCATACTGAATGGGCAAAAACTGGAAGCATTCCCTTTGAAAACTGGCACAAGACAGGGATGCCCTCTCTCACCACTCCTATTCAACATAGTGTTGGAAGTTCTGGCCAGGGCAATCAGGCAGGAGAAAGAAATAAAGGGTATTCAATTAGGAAAAGAGGAAGTCAAATTGTCCCTGTTTGCAGATGACATGACTGTATATTTAGAAAACCCATCATCTCAGCCCAAAATCTCCTTAAGCTGATAAGCAACTTCAGCAAGGTCTCAGGATACAAAATCAATATGCAAAAATCACAAGCTTTCCTATACACCAATAACAGACAAACAGAGAGCCAAATCATTAGTGAACTCCCATTCACAATTGCTACAAACAGAATAAAATACCTAGGAATCCAACTTACAAGGGATGTGAATAACCTCTTCAAAGAGAATTACAAACCACTGCTGAACCAAATAAAAGAGGACACAAACAAATGGAAGAGCATTCCATGCTCATGGATAGGAAGAACCAATATTGTGAAAATGGCCATACTGCCCAAGGTAATTTATAGATTCAATGCCATCCCCATCAAGCTACCAATGACTTTCTTTACAGAATTGGAAAAAACTACTTTAAAGTTCATATGGAACCAAAAAAGAGCCCGCATTGCCAAGTCAATCCTAAGCCAAAAGAACAAAGCTGGAGGCATCACGCTACCTGACTTCAACCTATACTACAAGCCTACAGTAACCAAAACAGCATGGTACTGGTACCAAAACAAAGATATAGACCAATGGAACAAAACAGAGCCCTCAGAAATAATACCACACATCTACAACCATCTGATCTTTGACAAACCTGACAAAAACAAGAAATGGGGAAAGGATTCCCTATTTAATAAATGGTGCTGGGAAAACTGGCTAGCCCATATGCAGAAGGCTGGAACTGGATCCCTTCCTTACACCTTATAAAAAATTAATTCAAGATGGATTAAAGACTTAAATGTTAGACCTAAAACCATAAAAACCCTAGAAGAAAACCTTGGCAATACCATTCAGGACATAGGCATGGACAAGGACTTCATGTCTAAAACACCAAAAGCAATGGCAACAAAAGCCAAAATTGACAAATGGGATCTAATTAAACTAAAGAGCTTCTGCACAGCAAAAGAAACTACCATCAGAGTGAACAGACAACCTACAAAATGGGAGAAAATTTTTGCAATCTACCCATCTGACAAAGGGCTAATATCCAGAATCTACAAAGAACTTAAACTAATTTACAAGAAAAAAATCAAACAACCCCATCAACAAGTGGGCGAAGGATATGAACAGACACTTCTCAAAAGAAGACATTTATGCAGCCAACAGACACATGAAAAAATGCTCATCATCACTGGCCATCAGAGAAATGCAAATCAAAACCACAATGAGATACCATCTCACAGCAGTTAGAATGGCGATCATTAAAAAGTCAGGAAACAACAGGTGCTGGAGAGGATGTGGAGAAATAGGAACACTTTTACACTGTTGGTGGGACTGTAAACTAGTTCAACCATTGTGGAAGACAGTGTGGCAATTCCTCAAGGATCTAGAACTAGAAATACCATTTGACCCAGCCATCCCATTACTGGGTATATACCCAAAGGATTATAAATCATGCTGCTATAAAGACACATGCACACGTATGTTTACTGCGGCACTATTCACAATAGCAAAGACTTGGAACCAACCCAAATGTCCATCAATGATAGACTGGATTAAGACAATGTGGCACATATACACCATGGAATACTATGTAGCCATAAAAAAGGATGAGGTCATGTCCTTTGTAGGGACATGGATGAAGCTGGAAACCATCATTCTGAGCAAACTGTCGCAAGGACAGAAACCCAAACACCACATGTTCTCACTCATAGGTGGGAATTGAACAATAAGAACACTTGGACACAGGATGGGGAACATCACACACCAGGGCCTGTCATAGGGTGTGGGGAGAGGGGAGGGATAGCATTAGGAGATATACCTAATGTAAATGACGAATTAATGGGTGCAGCACACCAACATGGCACATGTATACATATGTAACAAACCTGCACATTGTGCACATGTACCCTAGAACTTAGTATAATAAAAAATAAAATAAAATAAAATACACTCAAATCAAAAAAAAGAAAAACTCTCTCCCTCCAGATATACATTATATTACATAATCTAATATCTCCTAATAATTTTGTTGCTCTGAAGAACTCTAATATACTCATTTTTATTAAATTTATTCCTAGGTATTTGATTTTTGAATCTATTATATTGTATTTTTATAAATTGTATTATCTGTTGTTATATAGAAATGCACGTAATTTTTATATTGACTGTTTTCAATGATGTTGTTAAATCACATTTTTAAGTGTGTTTGTAATTATTTTGGATTTTCTATGTACACAATCATGTTTTCTGTGAAAAACCAAATTGTTTCTTTCTTCCTAAATCTTAAGACCCTTTAATAATTTAATCTTGCCCTGCTGGGGTGGAAAATATATTCTGTATCATGAATAACAGTGGCGGTAGCTGACACTTCGTATTATCTGATCTCAGGAAGTATAGCTTCTTCAGTAAGTAAAATCAGAATAAAATTACCACTAAGTATGCAGTTTGCAGTTGTTTTTTTCCCCTAGATACTCATGAAGAGATAACAGTGATATTCTTATCTTCCTGGTTGACTAAGAATTTTTATAAAGACATTTTCTTCATCTTTCGAGAAGATCCCATGCTTGTTTCCTTACATCATTTGTTGCACTGAATGATTTTCACATGGTACATCAAACTTGCATTTCTGAAATAAATTTAATTTGGATGGTACGTATTATCTATTTCATATATTACTGATTTGATTTTGCTTGGGAGTTCAGGGATGATATTGGCCTATAATTCGCTTTTTTTTTTTTTTTTATAATTCTCAGTTACTTTATTGTAATTTACTTTTTTTTTTTGTAATGTCCTTGTTAGGTTTTGTATCAGGGTTGTGGTAGCCTTACAAAATGACAATCATCTTGAATAACTTTTTTGTTAGTTTTTTAGAGAGACAAAGTCTCACTCTGTTACCCAGGCTGGAGTGCAGTGGCGTGATCATAACTCACTGTAACCTCGAGCCTCTGGGCTCAAGCAATCCTCCTGCTTCAGCCTCCCAAAGTGCTGGGATTATAGGCATGAGCCACTATGCCCAGGCCTGAAGAGCTTTTTGATATTGCTACTAGTGGTATTAGTTTTTCCTTAAATATTTGGAAGGATTAACCAATGAAGTCAGCAGGACTTGGAGTTGTCTTTGTGAGAAGGCTTTTAATAATACATTTAAGTCTTATAATAGACATAACCCTTTTCAAATTTTCTATTTCTTCTTGAGTGATGTGATTTTTTCAAAGTTTTAATTTTCATCTAAATTACCAAATCAAGTTATTCATAGTATAATGCTTATCTTTTTTCACATCTATAGAATCAGCAGTGGTATGCCTATTTTCATTCCTGATAGTATTTTGTGCCTTCATCTCGCTATATCACACGCACTGCTTTATAAAACTCTACCTTAGAACAGTAATCCTGGACAATGATGAATCTATAACACTTTAACAGCAAATAAACCCTTCCCAATTTTAAGCTATTTCTATAATATTTTAATCCCAAATATATACTGAATTCTGTATTACTCATTATTTTATACAGTAAGTATTCTTTTCTATTTTCCCACGTATGTATACATTCTGATCTTTATTACTTCTTCTTTTATCATTGTACTTCCTTCTGGGATAATTTTCCTACTCTGTGAAGAGCTCTCGTTTGTATTTCCTTTAGTACAGATTTGCCGGTGATAAATTCCCAATTTTGGTTTATCTGAAAATACTGCTCTTTTGCCCTCATTTTTGAGGTATATGTTTACTACGTATAAAATTCTGGGTTGGCAATTATTTTTTTCAGCACTTTAAAGATGCTTTTTATATTGTCTTTCAGCTTCCATCACTTGTGTTGAAAAGTCAAATATTAGTCTTATTGTTGCTTCTTTGAAGATAATGAGTCTTTCCCCCCTCCCTCTGACTGCTGTTTGGTTCTTTTTGATTTGGGGTTTCTAGCAGTTTGTGATGGACCTGAGTATGTTTTGCTTTCTATCTTGTGTTTCTTATAGCTTCTTAAATGACTGCATCGATGTCTTCTATCTATTTTTGGAAGATTCTTTCATGGTATCTGTTCAATACTGCATTGTTCTATTCTCTTTCTCCTCTATGACTATCATTACACGGATATGAGATTTTTTCACATGGCCTCACAATTTTTAAGGAATATCTATTTTTTATGCTTGTTCAAAGTGAATACTGTGTATTGACCTGCCTTCCAGTTTACTAAGCCTCTTGTCTGCTATGTGTAATCTGCAGTTCAACACAGCTAGTGAATTATTGAGTCATTGTATTATTCATTTCTAGGATATCAGTTTGATTATTTTTCAGATTACAGTTCTCTCTTGAAATTGTTTTTCAATATATTTTTGAATGTGCAAATCAAATTGTTTCTTAGCTTGTACCTGATAGTGCTACTATTTTAATCACGTGTGGGTCCATTATAATTTTGTTTTCTCTCTTGGCTTTCAGTCACTTGGCCCTATATCCTGGGCTGTCTCTTAATTTTAGATTGAATGCTGTACATTGTATATAAAAATAATAGAAATTCTAGGTGATGCTATATTTCTTTAAAGAGGATACTTTTTCTGGTGGTCATATAAAGTACAGGCATATAACCTGGATCTAAACAGAGGTTTCATTGATTCTAGGTTCTGCTTCTAGTGTTTTGAGGACTTGTCTGTATTAAGCTTGCCCTTACTCCTAGAGTGTAGTCCTTCAAGATTATCAATTCAAAGTCTGAGACATTTCCCAACATCATTCCTTTTGGCAGCCTAGTGAGCTTGTCACAAATTTTGAGGGTATCCCTTTTTCTTGGCCTCTATGCCCCATTACTAATCTAAAATATATTGATACAGGGAAAGAAAACAGTAGCAAATATGGGGTTCATCTCAATGTATTATTCCTGTTGTCTCCCAATTTGTTTCCTGAAGTTGTGCTGCTTTGTCTTGGGGGGCTGGGTGGGTGTGGATGTGGGTGTCCACGCGTGCCTCCAAAGAGCTGTTTCTTGTCCATTTATAGCTTTTATAGTTGTTCTCAGTAGGTCAGTTTGCTCATGAACTATTCTTTCATAAACAGTAGTGGAATGCCTCCATGTTTATTTTTAACATCATTTTGATTCTGTATATTTTTGAAATCTTTTGCCTTCTAAGCTAAAACTTTCACCCCCACAATGTTCTTTTTGTGAACTCTGAAGACATCCTTCACAAGGTGTAGCCTTCTCTGAATGTTGCTTCTGAGTTATAACTTACTATTCACTCAGCTCTGTCAGCTTTTTCTTTAATTTTCCAGTGGGAATACACTCTGCATGTCCTCCAGAGAACACTAGAGCTATCTTCCTTTTTGGATCAACATTTTTATACTGAATAATGACATTCATCAAGATGAACCTTACTAGGAAACACACGTGCATGCACACACACACACACACACACACACACACACACATACTCTACTCCCCTGTACAGAAAAATTCCCTGGAAGACTTGCCCATGACTACTGTCTTGGATTTCTCTCTTCTTCTTTTCTCCCAAACCCACTGCAAGCCTACTTTCGCCTTGTCCATTCACCTAGCAGATCTTGTCAAGGCCACCAGTAACTTCCATGTGGCTAGACCTTTAGTCTGATTCTCAGACCTCATCGTAATTGACTCATCAACAGCATTCAACATACTTGAGTCCCTATCACTTCCTTGAAACACTTCCCCCGCACAAACACACACATACTTTGAGGACGCCACATTCTCCTGACTCTTATTTCCCTTCACCAGCCATTCTTTCTCAGTCTGCTTTGCTGGTTTTCCTTCACATCCCAGGCCTTTAGATGTTAAAAGGCACAAGGCTCAGTACTTCTTTTTCCTCCATTTCTCTACACTCATTTTCTTGGTTGCCTCATCCATTTCAGTTCTTAAATACCATCTACGTGCTGACAATCCCCAAATTTATACATCCAGTCTATACCTCACCTCCACACCCAAGTGTGGATATCCAAATATCTCAATATCTCCACTTAGGCATCTAATTGGCATCTCACACATAACTTGCCCCTCATGCTGCCAAACGTGTTCCCCTTGCAGTCTTTCCAATTTCAGTGAGTGTCAACACCATCCTTCCAAGTGTGAAGCCAAAAGCCTGGAGGCATTCTCGATTCTTTTGGTAGACACACTCCACCTCTCATCCAACAGCACATCTTTTGGCTCAAATTTCAAAACACATGCAAAGTCCTGGGATTCTCATCAGCCTTACCACTATCATCTGACTGAAACAGGATCATCTCTTGTCGATTATATCATTCTATCCCCAAAACTCAACTGCTCCAGTGGCTTCTTATTTCATATTTCCCATAGTCCAAAAGGGACCTCAGTCCCTCAGCTCCTGTTAGCTCACTGAGCTCCCATTATTCACTCCCTTGCCAAGCGCATCCCATGAACTGGCCTCTCTGCTGTTCTTCAGACATTCCAGGTGGACTCTTGTTTAGGCACATGCTTTCTGCTCTGTCTACAGTTCTTTCTCCCCAGATATCTCCCAGGCTTCTTTTCTCATCTTCTTTGGGGTTTGCTCAAATATCACCTCTGCAACACAGCCTTCCCCAGCCGCTCGATGGAAAGTTGCAGCTCCTTCCACTCCGTCACCTTGCCTCGCTTTGTTTCTTCATAGCACTTATTGCTAACTGACCTGTATCATGTTTTTATTTAATTGTTTATAGTCTGTCGCCTCCACTACAATCTAAGTTCTTTTAGGCCAAAGACTGTCTTGTTCACTATAATGCTTAGAACAAAATCTTACACCAAGAAAGTGCTTAATAAATGTTTGATGAAATCAAATCCATGATGATTACCACACAGGAGCATAATCTTCTGAAACAAACATTACAACGGAGTATTCATAAATTATGTAAAGCCTTTGCAAATATATATGGACATATACTTAGAATTTACTGGGGAAAGTTTACTATGTAGTTAGAAATAATAAATACCTATGTATTAGAAACTGCAGAATAGAGAGATATTTGCACAAATGATACAAAAATTGGGAATCTAAAAATACTTTTATAAATGTTACACATTTTTGAAAACTCTTTTAACACTTTTATATTTTATTAGAAATTAAGGAATCAAAAATCCTACACAATGATCTGTAGTTATAATAAAACAATAAAAAATATAATATCCAAATGATATATAAAAACGTACTTCTGAATTGGTGTAGAAATTCCATCTAGTTCAGAATAATATCAATATGGATACTTCCTTTTATATTAAATTCACAAAATCTAGCAGTTTTCTATGGTATTTTACATTTTCTTAGATTGTTTTAAAATTTCTTCATTCTTTCTTTGGTTTTGGATAAACTAACAGGCATTTTAATTAATGTAATTCAATTAGTGTAAAATTCACTAATCTGAATTTAAAAATCTATCTCAGAAGTAGTTCAATTTTTCTTTTTTAATTTTTAATAGATTAATTCTAAGGTAAGACTCATTTATTAAAGTAGATTATAAAACACTGCCCTAATTTTTACCTAATTAGCTTAAAAAGCACCATCCTTGATATAAGCATTATTTACTAATCTCTAAATCTAATTTAATGTATAAATAAAATACTAACTTTAACATGGAGTAAAAATCAGTGCAATGAGAAGGTCATTTTTAAAATCAATGACAGGGCCAAGTCTCTATGTAATCTCTAAAATGGCACTTTATCTTCCAATTTAATGTTTAGAAGACTCAAGATCACTTTTTAAAAAATATTTTGTCTTTTACCAATATATATATATAAATAATAGATTCTTATTTGCAAACCTCTGGAGCCAAACAAGGTAAAGCTACCATAAAGTATATTCAGTGGTTTTCAAAGAAAAAACATTTTATCTTGGATACCCTACCTTAATGTTAGTTTAGACTGAATATCCGGTGTTTTCCCTACTACGAAGCTTGAGCTCATAAAAAAGAATGAGATTATGTCCTTTGCAGAGGCATGGCTGGAGCTGGAAGTCATTATCCTTAGCAAACTAATGCAGAAACAGAAAAACAAATGCCATCCGTTCTCACTTCTAAGTGGGAGCTAAATGATGAGAACACATGGACACAGAGGGGAACAGCACACACTAGGGCCTATCAAAGGGTGGAGGGTGGAAGGAGGGAGAGGATCAGGAAAAATAACTAATGGATACTAGGCTTAATACCTGGGTGATAATCTGTACAACAAACTCCCACGACACAAGTTTACCTATGTAACAACCTGCACATGTACCCCTGAACTTCAAGTAAAAAAAAAAAAAAAGGAAGTTTGGACTGAATAGGGAAGGAGTTGGATGGTTCCTGGAAATGGACATAAAATACCCTGAGTGGATCTGAAAGAGCAAGTGGGTCATGCTTTGAGCAGTAATGATGCACCAGAGAGCACCTAACCAGCAGCCCTATAACATGGGCTCCAGGCTACTCACATATCTAACTATTCCTCAAGTGGGAGAGCTGCTGAATTAAGACTGGCATTTGCTCTTAAAAGTTTCTATTGCTAATGTTTAGGAATAATGTAGAAAATTCTCAAAAATGCTTTGGTTTGCTTTGTGCAGGAAACTAAGCATTAGCAATCTTCCCCGGACACATGGAGCTGTGACCACGGAAAAGAGGCATGGACCTGGTGGTCGCTGCTGCTGCTGCTGCTGCTGCTGCCTAATGTGTCTCATTGCTATAGAAATGGAGTCAGCTGGCCAGGCGCGGAAGCTCACGCCTATAATCCCAGCACTTTGGGAGGCCGAGGTGGGCAGATCACCTGAGGTCAGGAGTTCAACACCGGCCTGGCTAACATGGTGAAACCCTGCCTCTACTAAAAATACAAAAAAAATTTAGCTGGGTGTGGTGGCATGCACCTGTAATCCTAGCTACCCAGGAGGCTGAAGCAGGAGAATCGCTTGAGCCCAGGAGGTGGAGGTTGTAGTGAGCCGAGATCGTGCCACTGCACTCCAGCCGGGGCCACAGAGCCAGACTCCGTTTCAAAAAAAAAGAAAAGAAAAAAGAAATGGAGTCAGCAAAGTCAAGGAGAAATTTTCAAACAGAGGCAAGGCTCTGGGTCATTTTTGTCACCCTGTGATAAAGGACAACATTAATGTTAGTCTCAACACATCTTTTAAAATTTCAGACATCTACTAGTAGGCAATGATCCCTTCTCCTTACAGCCAGAAATAGTCTGAAAGTAATTTATTATGCATTTATATGATACATATATGTGTGTATATAGTTTATAAATCTAAGTTTATAAATATGCTCATATATATAGCCTTATAAAGTTACAGTTTGGATTAGTAAAAATTAGACTGATGAAATGCAATTATCTGATAGAAAAGAGGAAATTAGCTGATTTGAGATTTGAGAATGTAAAAATGAGTGTAAGGACTTGAATCACAATCAAGAGAAACAGTGGGGAGAGGGACAAGAGGAAGACATGCCTGGAGCCTCATCTCTGCTAATTCCCCTTCCTGTTCTCTGCTCCATTTTCTACAGTAATGTCAGATGGGGAAACACACTCTGAAGAAAAGCCAGGCAGAGCAGGACAGAGCGCGAGGAGACGAGGGCTCTGGGAAGGTGTCATTGCAGTGGTGGCGTCTGGGCAAAGGCCAGCTCCTGATGGCACGTGGAGGGTGGGAGGCTCCCCTCCCATGGAGGAGCTTCGACTGTAAACAATAAAGATGACATCACCTGCCATAGCTTTTAATTGCGTTTATATTCAACCCTAAGATCAATAAATGTGGGGTACTTCACGTGAACTGTCTGAATTTGAAGATGGAACATAGAAAAAGAAAATTAGCTTGGGAGATTTTGCCACTGACATTTCTCAAAGAGGTTCATGGCGGAAGCACTTTTAAAAAATATATGAGAAACTCAGCATGACTAGAACAAGCTGAGTCTTATTCAGACTCTGACATATTGTCTCAAATACTAATATCTACTAGCGTCTAGGATTTTGACAGAATTACTAATAGGGTGAGACTAGAAAATACGTCAGAGTACAAAGTTACAAATGACATATTCCTAGATAATATATTCTTACATGTAATTAGTGTGTGAGTACATACACATGCTAATTATGTTTGCGTATCATTGATAAAATGACGGACTGCAAACACACATCAGGGGCTTCTGAACAAAGCCTACAGAACCTTGGAGATGCTTTCAGCAAGGCAGCTTGGTGGGTTTGACTTTCACTCTCTTTACAGTGCAAAGTGTTCAAGATTAAGTGATTTATTTGTTTGCTTTTCTCTCGGTCTAACATCTCACACTGTCAGACACACAGATAAATATAACACTTGTTCCTCCATTTTTCAAGTGATAAGCAGTGTGCCGAGGCCACAGGTGCTCCAATGGTTCTGGTGAGGTGGTTTCAAGATGTCACTTGGAATCTCCTCTTGAAAGTCAAAGTTGTCCTCTGAAAAGATTTAGGCACATATTGTGAACCTGGAAACACCAAGCAAAAGGTAATTCTCATTAAAATGTTACAAAGGCACCCACTCAGAACGATTGTTTTGTACACTCCATGCAAATACTTTAAAATATATATTTTATTTTAATACACTTTTGTATAAATTAGGAAATAGTCATATGCAAAAACTGCCTATTAGGGTCCTAAGGAAAAGGAAGTGTGCTCCCCCAAAATCAAGCGGAGGTGCAGGCCACGCGTCCTCCCGAGCTGGTGGATTCACGAGAAGCTTCCATGCAGAGGCGGGTCCTGGCCCAGGAGGCTGAGGGAGCACTACTTCCTGGCAGCTCTCCTGCTTCCCAGGGGCAGGTGCAATGCCAGGTACTTTAAGGGATCCTTCCCACTACCTGGAATACCCCTTTGGCTCCTTTTTTTTTCTATCACAGAAATAATAAAAGTTGATAAGTTAGTAGTTCCCAGTGCTTTTTGACCTGGACGCAAAGGTAGCAAGGAGGTCATGTGCCTGCTTGTCAGAGAAAAAGAAAACAAACCCTCAGAAAGACAGGAAGATCCCTCTTATGGACCCTCGATCACTTCTGCAGATATAGAAAAGACCTCTGACCATCAATAGTAGCTGTCTCAGAGTTCCTGATAAGAGCTCATCCTCTGAAGCGGTGCGTCTGGGCCTGACCCTGGGAGCCGGGCCGTGTTGGATGCCATCATGAAGGCGGATGCGGGGTTACATGGGGAAGGGCATCAGGAAGGCTGGGAGGAAGGCAGGAGCGTGGGCGTCACTGAAGGAAGGCAGCACCGCAGGGTGCACGGAGCCAACATCCGGCCTGAGATCAGGTGCTATCAAGGCTTTGCTTTTGCATGGGGATGTCTCTTGCACAGCTGGGCCACTCAGAAGGACCGCAGAAAGATGTGGTTCTTAGAATCACTGATTGGAATGATTCAGAAATTCCTTTATGAGGATCCTGCTTATGATGAGCTCCATGAAGACTTAGAGGAAAATTGAAAGAGTTTTGTTCATGACTCAAGGTTCAGCCTGACTTCGAAATTAGTGCAGAAGCTTCTGGACTTTGGTTTGGAGGACGACCGATGGATGAACAAAGATGAAACATCAAGGAACACAGGTCCCTCTGTCCCTCTGTTCAGTGTTTAAAATGTGACTGAAGGTCAGACAGTGCTGGGAGATCCGGTGTTCAGTGGGGAAGGTTCCACTTTGGCGGGTGAAAGGGCCTCCTTCTCCTGAGGTTTCCTGTCCCTTGGTGCCCCAGGGACCCCTGCACACCACCTGCCTGTCGGGGGCCCTGCCTGCTCTGCGGGCTTAGAGCTCACCAGGCTGCTCAGTGCTGGTCCCGAGTGCCTTGGCTTGGCCATTCCTCTCCAGCAGCACAAGCCTGGCTGGTTCTAGGCGGGGGTTGGCCCCGGACAGGGCCACCCCTACCTGAACTTGAAGGCACAGTCTTGTTTTGTTTTTTAAATGAGGCAGGGTTGACCTTAAGTAGGCTCATGGGTGATCAGGATGAGTCCTTGGATATGTTGAGGCTTGTTATGCACCAGGCACTGCGTTATCTGCTCCGTGTTTTATTTCAGGAGTCCTTAAGTGAGGTGTTATTCCCATTTTACAGGTATGGAAGCTGAGACCCACAGGGAATGCCTGGTGTCACAGCACCCAGCAGCAGAGCTAGGACTTCCGTGCCAAGGCCCGTGTCTCTCACGACCACCAGGCATGGCCTCCTCCGGATTGCACAGGCCGGCACCTACAGCCCTGGGCATCTCTGCCCTCCCTTCCGGACTGCACAGGCCCTGCCGAGCTGCATGGAGCTCCAGGGAGTCCCCTGTGGCCAGTTTTGCCTGTGCACCTGGTGGAAAGGAAGAAAAGCCAGCCTGATCCTGAGGGGGCCTGGACATACCCTTCCCACTCCCCAAATGGGGATGAACTTTGAAGCATTAAAAAAATGGTTAAGGAGGGGAAATATTTTGAACCAAAGAACTAAATGTTAGCTTGTTGTTACAGATGCAAAACCTCTTGGAGCTGTGCATTTGGTTGGCTGCATTCTCTCTTCTAATAGCTCTTTTGTCTTGGGTCAGTAGTTAAGAGGCAGTGAGGCGCAGATGACTGGCATGGACCGTTCCCTGGGTCCTACATGAGTTAAGTGGCCATATGTGATTGCACGTGTTAATGTAACTCCTCTGGACGCCCCCAGTGGGGGTCACTGCAGTCCCCCGATACCAGCTCTACCCCCACCTCCTCTTCCAGAAAGCAGTGAGTGATATGCCGAAGGTGTCACCATGAATCCACTCTGGTTTTTAATTCATTCCTGAATGTCCTATTAGATCGTGGTGTGCTGCCTGAGCTGGTGGCCAGAGAGGCGACTCCCTGTGTGAGCAGCGTGGTGGGCTGACGTTGACAGAGTGCTCAGGAGGAAAGAAAGAGCTTTCCATTTTTGAGGGACAAGACTTTTGAGGGATAAGACTTAGGCCTCCCGCTCCCAAGCTCAAATCCGTGTGTGAGGCCACATGTGCCTCACCTGGGGCCTGGGGACGTCTGCATGGGGCACGCGCCTCATTGCACCAACATCACAGGTCACGCCTTTGAGCCGCGTTCTCTCTACGTCGTGAGATCAGGGGCCTTGGCTGTGTTGTCCTTGGTGGATTTTTGTGTTTTGTAAGTTGTCTGTTTCGATAATGTATTATTTTTTATAATTGTAGAAACAATGACTAGCATATTTTAAAGGAAAAAAAGTTACTGATAAGAGAATACACTGACTTGGCATTTGGTCAATGATTAACAGTGAGATTTAGAACAAATTCAGAACCCAATTCCCACTCCAAACCTCTACTTACGTGTGCTCCAACTACTTCCCAGATACCTCCACTCGGCGTGCTGTAGTCAGCATCCCCAAAAGTGAACTCGTCAGAATTTCCCCAGTTCCCTCGCTCAGCACCACCCGCCGCTGGCCATCCAGAGAGTCATCTGTCAGCCCTCACTCCCTCTCTCTCACATCCCTTGTGATGGTCATCTCCTCTAGGAAGCCTCGGCACCCTCCAGCCATCTGACAGGGGATCCAGGTGGTGCTGCTCACCCCTCTCACAGCCTTTTCCAGCTTGCCTGCCAGGCTCAATGCTCCTTGAGGCACAGACGGAAACACCCCTGCTGTTTGAATCCCAGCCTTTGGCATAGACCTTGGCACAGAGTGAGCACTTGATACACCCATCCATGATTGATAAGCTAACTTGGGCGCCTACTTCCCCCCAAGCACCTACAATCGTGTTACAAGCAACACCTGGGCTGGGCGCAGTGGCTCATGCCTGTAATCCCAGCACTTTGGGAGGCCAAGATGGGTGGATTACCTGAGGTCAGGAGCTTGAGACCAGCCTGGCCAATATGGTGAAACCTCATCTCCACTAAAAATACAAACATTAGCCAGGCATCGTGGCATGTGCCTGTAATCCCAGCTACTTGGGGGGCTGTGGCAGCAGAATCGCTTGAACCTGGGAGGTGGAGGTTGCGGTGAGCTGAGATTGCACCACTGCACTCCAGCCTGGGCGTCGCAGTGAGACTTCATCTCAAAATAAATAAATAAATAAATAAAAGCAACACCTGACCATGTAGCATGGCTGCTTTTTAGAGAACGAGCTGTTGACATGTGAATGACCGCTAATGCTGCTAAGGAACATACAAGAAAAGCAACAAAAAGGCCCAGCAGCCCAGAGCGACTAGCGCAGGAGCAGAACTTTACAGAGCTGAAGAATCTCGACATCACTATGCTACATCACTATGCTACAGGACGACAGGAGGGCTGATGTGGACAGCGACAGATCTGTGCTACGCAATGCTTACATGTTACGAAATTTATTTTTAGAATTATATGTTTAAAATTCCCTGTAAAACAATAAATTATCCCTGAAATTTCAGGTTATTTATAATACAAATGGTTCATAATTCATCATTTCTGAGCAATACATGCCTGGTATCTAGCTAGATCCTTTTCACAGTTTTCCAATAATGATTTTATGTACCCTGCTTGTTATAAAAGAGGAAGCTGAGGGCCAGAGAGGTTGGGACATTCCTAGGGTTGCACAGCCGGTGGCAGAGCGAGGGTGGAAATCCAACGTCAGACTCCAGAGGCCACACTAACGCCTTGAAAACAGTGTTGGAGACTGTTCTGGAACTGGAAACATCACTGGCCCGTATTCAAACTAGAATATCCTGCAAACAGCATACCAGGCTGAGAATACCTATTTATCTGTAAAACCTTGTGTTATAAAGTAATTAGCAAATCTGTGTTAATTTTCTCAAGCATTTTTATCATCAGATTTTCAAAGAGAATCTGAGAGTAGAGTTTCACTTAGAAATAGAGCATGAAAACGCTATAGCAGACAGAGGTACTCACTGCTCCTAAGACAGCATTTTTTTTTTTTTTTTTTTTTGAGTGAGGCCCCCAGTTCATTGAGAGCTTTTGGACATTCCCCTCTTCTTGACCTCACAGCAGGTAAGTAAGTCTCTGCAGGTGTGCTCTGTGATCGAGGTTTCTGAGGTCAGGCCACAGGCCCCAAACATTTGCTATTCCCTCCTACAGCAAAATAGGCTTATCAAGGTAGATCATCTTCCATTTCACTGTCTGAAACTTGAAATCTCACTTACTACATCACTTTATTTACATATGGAGAAAAGCTGACCTGTCAAAATACTTTGACCTGTCCATGTGTGAGCAGCAAATTCCATTTGTGTCAATGAACTTTTTCGAGGCGTATCCGACTGCTGGAAGAAAAATAAAATCAGGGACAAGTTTCATTTTTTTCAAATGTTTTTCAAAATTAAAGTTACAGGAAACAGAGAACCCACCCGGAACGTGTGGGTTGTGCTGGGCCTTGACAACCGTTCCAGGGTGGCTGTTCTTTCTCGAAGACGCGATCGTTCTGTACCGTCAGGCATGGCACTCAACACACGGTTTTGTAGATGCCTTCCTCTGTACTAAATGAAGGATAGTATGTTCTTGTTTAAAATAAATGCAATCCTTAAAAACACAAAAGAAAATCTCGACATGCTCAATCGTTCACTCATCTATTTGGAAACTTTTAGTTAGACATTACTAAGGATCAGGTCTCCTAAGGATAAATACCTGAAGAAATATATTTTGATTATGTAACTGCACTATTAAGCCTGATAAAATTATAGTGTCATAATAGGGAAAGAGAGATAAAAAAAACCTTAAGAAAATGTAATTCTGCATTTGTGAAGTAGCAGACTTTTTAATGTGATGTTTGCCTTTTTTTTTTTTTTTTTTTTTTTAAACAGAGTCTCGCTCTGTCACCCAGGCTGGAGTGCAATGGCGTGATCGCGGCTCACTGCAACCTTGGCCTCCAGGGTTCAAGCGATTCTCCTGCCTCAGTCTCCCGAGTAGTGAGGATTACAGGCACGTGCCACCACATCCAGGTAATTTTTTTGTATTTTTAGTAGAGATGAGGTTTCACTATGTTGGCCAGGCTGGTCTCGAACTCTTGCCCTCGTGATCCACCCACCTCAGCCTCCCAAAGTGCTGGGATTACAGGCGTGAGCCACTGCACTCCGCTGCCTTTTGTAAAATGATGTTATTCTAAGGTTAAACATGAACACTTTGCAACTCTTGCCTTCTGGGAATGGGTTCCAGTGCTGGGCTCAAGGTGGCACAGGGCATGCAGGAGGGAACCTGGCCCCAGGTAGGGTTTTTCTCTCACTATGTCTTTATGTTCCTACAACAGGGGTCCTTCTGTGTTGTATAAAATGAATAGAGACAAGTTACTTGTGTGAAGTGGAGTGAGGGGTGGCTGTAAACCTGGGGGCTGCCTGGATATGCATGCTGGCCACAGCACACCCCCCGCAGACCTGACTGCCTGGCCGAGGCGAGTCTGACTGCAGAAGGTATTGCCCTCCACTGCAATAGACATAGCAAAGGTTAGCTGTAAAAATGACCGATAGAAATGACCAGGGTCCTAATTTACTGAGCTCATAATTTCACGTCAGGAATCATTTAACACCTATGAGTTCATTTTGTCCTTCTAACAATTCTTTAGAGGTAAGAATCATTAATCCCCTTTTACAGAGAACACTAAGGCTCAGGGAGATTAAAGTGACTTGCACCAAGTCATAGAAGAGAGTTTCTGTGGCAGGATCCACGCGGACCTGCCTGTCTCCTGACCAAATTTCATGCTCTCTTCTTTGCTCCACTATCCTATCAGAGATTTCCTTGACACCTGGAATTTCTGATTTAGTTCAAGACATGCTTTTATTTCACAAAACGGTGAATTAAGCCTCTCACTCCCTGTAAATTCTCATAAGCCATTCATTTACTTTCTGGAAACAGATTATGAAGGCATTTGAATACAGCTACTCAGATCTCATGTTACTAATTTCACTTGGAAGTGCCAAGGTTGTTTTTGTTTGTTTTCCAATACAGAACCTAAATGGTCCACTGAAATAGAATGAAATCTGTCTTACAGAAACAAGGCGGCATCCAGGAACTGCTGTATTCTGCCCCCTGGTCTCCGTGACTAGCGGGGGGAACCTGCTCCGTGACGTTTGAACCAGTGGGGAAGCCATGTGGTCCACGCCAGTCGGCCTGCAACACATCATCATGTCACTGAGCACCCAGGTACATGGATAACTGGCAAGTGACAGGAAATCTGCCAAGAGCTGTGATTTCAATGTTTCTGCGTGAGGGGCACACAGGAGGTCTTTGATTTCTGCTATGTGTGGTATTATCCGGATGCTCCCCAGGGAACTTATAGCACTCTGATAACTATGGGAAAATGTTATCTCAATACAAGTGAAAGACAGAGGATGGAGGTGAGAAGACGCAGAGCTGGTGTGTGGGGGGGTCAGAGGGAAAGTGAGGCTGGCAGGTGAGAATCCAGGCGGGTGAGAAGCCGGGGGACACAGGTGAGGTAGCATCACCAAAGGGGGTGGGCACTGGCCCCTCTGAAGCCACAGCTTCCCTCGTATGTGTAGAGCACAGCTATGCACACAGACAAACAGGCTGTCTGTGGGACTACAATTCCATGTGTAGGGAGAGCAATTGGGAAGAATGGTCGAAAAGGGCTCCTCAGGGTGGCAATAATAAAAAGAAAGCTGAAAAATCAGCAGCCCACAGGGAGGGAGGGGTCAGAACACAGAGGGATTTGTACAGTTAGTGGCATCTGAATGTATCTCAGTAGGAAACATAAATGGGTTTCTATTTGATGAAGGTGTGACAGGGGGCCCAGGTAGGCTGGGGCAGGAGGAGAAAGCCTGCCATGTGTTGCTGACTGGCACCGTGTGCTGCTGACTGGCATGGGGGGAAGCGAGGCGGAGGAGGGAGAGGGATCTCGAAGGAATCAGCACAGCAGACCCAACACAGCTGGAAACATCAGTCCCAAACTGTGAAAGAAACAGTCACCAATTAAAAAGCTGAAAGGGGGGTTATGACTGCATCTGGAAAAAGTCTGGGTGCCAGGTAAGCGTTGGCAGCCGCCCGCTCCTGAGCTCGGCTCCTGATAACAGCTCCCCTGCAGGCCGGGGGTCCAGTGGGTGGTCTCTAAAGCCTGAGAGCACTTGTGGGTGTGTCCGGCTGGGCCTCTTCCTGGCGGGGATGATCTCCGGCAGGCTTAGCCTGTTCCCTCATCTCAGATTTGGGATAGTATGAGTCCCAACAATATAAAGTTTTGTGGTGGGGAATAAATAAGATCATAAATGTAATTCATTTACCTGGCGCTGATAACAAAGAAAGTGATCAATAAACATTAGCTATTATTATCAATGTAAGTATTGGCCGATACTGGTAAGTTAGCTGGAGGGCAAGAGACAGGCACCTTTCTAACGAGGCCATGACGGGATGTGAATCCTGCAATCAACAGCTTTGCTGAAACTCCCACATAGAGAAAAATGCATCCTTAAAGATAATCCGATAGGGACACAGTCCTTTTATTTTTATAGCATTTTATATACATTATTTTATTTAAACCTCCCCTTGAAAAGTATTAATTATGTAATTGAAAGGCATTAGCTAATTATTTGTTTCACAGATGAGGCCACTGAAATCCACCCAAGGTCCCCCAGCATCAGAGGCTCATTCCGCCTGTGTGACAGGGACATTGCCTGACCTTGTGTCCTAGGATACAGCTAAGTAGACCACTGGAGCAAGCGGAATGTTAAATGCTCAATGAACTCATTAGAAAAGCATCTATGTAAAACTAGGTAGGGATGCTTTGTCCAGGATGATCCATAAACCCTAACTGAGAAGCATCTAGGTCCTCCGTGGCCTTTAGTTTACTATGAAAGAAATGAGACTCACAGTTTTGTTCCCCGAAGAACTTCGTCACTATAGATGTTGGGAGTTTTTAGTCTCTGTGAATCTGAAGCAAGAGAAGGCAGCCTCCAGGGCACTGGTGTTTTCTTTGCAGAAGGTGATAATCCATGAGTGTCTGAGGCCCGTCCCAGTCTGTGCGGTGCGGAGGAGAGAGCACCTGCCCCTCCACCCGATGCTTTGTCCTCCTTCTCATTCCTGGGAAGGAAATCCTGTGAGCTACTCAGCTGCGAGTGCTGTGATAACAGGGAACGCACCTGTCTGTGCTTAGTTGAGCACTGCCTAGAACAGTCTGGCACCTAGAACATACTCCTAAGCACGGGTTGAATGAATGAAAAGACCCATCATTTCTGTTTCTGTTTCAATGAAGAATCATCCACAGGCAGAGGGCTAAGGTTTTCCCTGTCAGTAATCAAACAGTCAAGCCCACAAGATTAAGAATTTCAGGACTACATTCCCCTTTCCCCATCTCTCCCTACCAAATACACGATAGTAACTGTTTTGTGGTTGGTACTAAAGGGTCTGTTTCTGCTCTTCCAGACGTGCTCAGGCACATCTGAAGCACGGGATTAAATGGGACCTTCGTGATCTCATGTCCCCTGCAGTCTTCAGTGCTCCAGTGTTTGCAGCACAGGGAAGAGGCTGGGTAACTACTACTGATTCTGATACGTACTGCGTTCTGTCAGCAAAATAGGCAGGTCTCCGCTGAAGCGGTTTTGCTTGAATTGTCATGACACCATTCATGTCACTATAAAAACTGCTGGAGAAGTGATGAATCTGAGAACAGTAAAAAAAAAAAAAAAAAAAAAAAGAATTACAAATGCCCAGTGCCGTTCCAATGACTGATGCTTGTCCGAAATCAGCAGGAAACACCCGGCACACTCACCAGCTAACTGGAGGAAAAACTAATAAAGGGGATATATTTTATAAAGATGTGGGCTGAGACATTAACAACGAATTGGTTAATTCCCCAAGGCTCCTAACAGTGGGGACATTGAGCACACCTGGCCCAAAGTGGCCAGAAGTGAGAGAGAGGTTCCTGCACCCGGAGAGGGTAGCTGCACGGGGTAGGAACGCCACCAGCCCAGGGTGACCTGGCAGGGAGGCTGCAGGGAAGCAGAGCCGTGCTTCAGTCTCCCCCCATGCTCTGAGATCCCGGAGGTTGGAGGGCAAGGGAGCACTGGTGTGGTCAACGTGTATCAGCCTCTGGTAACTCCAGGGTGAGGAAGGCAGAGAGAGAACTGGGAGAAGCACAGGCCGGGCATCATGGCTCCTCATTGTCCTGCTTGCCTGGGACCTCTCCTCTCCTCCTCTCCACACTTGCCTGGGTTCTCTTCCCAGAAGCGGTGAGATGGCCTGGACCCTCGAAAGCATCAGTCTGAACCCCAGCTCTAACTGCTTCCTGATTTGTAATTCTGGAAAGCTTACTTTGTTCTTGGAGCTTTAATGGCCCCATCTTTATGTTGGGGAAAAATCATACCTACTTCACAGAGCTATTGAGAGAATTAAATGAGATGACAGAAAGCGTGAGCTAAGGGCTAAGTAATTCTTAACTCCCTCTTCAGTCCCACAATATGACCAACTAGGATTTAAAATAATATTTACCTAGATGACAGGCTGACAGGTGCAGCAAACCACCATGGCACATGTATACCTGTGTAACAAACCTGCACATTCTGCACATGTATCCCAGAACTTAAAGTAAATTAAAAATTTTTTCAAATAACCATATTTAGATGTAGGAGAACAGGATTTCTGGGACTGGAATTCTGTTCTAGTTCATGAGCACATGTGGCAACCACAATCATATGTAGAGGAATAACTTAAGAGCTTTCATAATTAGAACTAGAACACCTTGAGTATTTCAAAGCAGGCTCTATTTTTATTCTGTTAACTTTGCTGTCCACTTATTTTTTTTTAACATTTATCCAAACAAAGTAATTATAAAAACAAAACAGCTATTTAAAAAATGCCTCAGCTTCTAGAATGTCCATATTTTTCTGGTCTGTTTATTTTGCCTGATATTTAAAGGCTCATCCACTGCTCTTTGTGTGATATTCATACTGCCTATTTTTTTTAAGTGGGAAATGTTGTATTGAACTTGTCAGAGCAGTTTAAAGAGACCAAAAAAATACAATAAGCAGGTAGCAATTCCAAAAGTTTCTTTAGAACAGAAAAGGCACAGAAGACTTACACTAGAGAGTGAAACAAGCCTCTGAGACGCTCTGTTCTCCCCACTGCTCCCCGAAGCACAGGTTCTGTTCAGGCCTGTGTCCCTTCAGTCTCACAAAGATCGCGGGTTTAGAAGCTCCCACGCCAGGTGCAGTTTTGCTTTTGCTTTGAAGAGCCTCCCTTCCTTTCTCATGTTAACGAATCACACCTGTCATTTAGGGCTTGGTTCATATCTTACCCTACTCTGTGAAAAGTATATTTTTCTTCTGACTCCCAGAGGACTTATGATCCAAAACACATCTCATTATAAAATATATATAATTACAAAACATTACATCTAATTAAAAAATTACACAAAAATCTAATTACAAAGGATTATATAGACTATTAATATATAATTAGCATCTGATTATAACAAAAGGTAACACTTATTGAACGTCCACTCTACACCAGACACTACACAAAATGTTTTATCTCCTTTAATTCTCACAGCTTCCTACCTCATAAATCAGGAAATTGAGGTTTTGAGAAACAGGGACTGATTTACAATCACGGAGTATTAAATGCAGACATCAAGCCCAGAACTAGTAGTCTATATACGCAAGTTTCACTCTGCTATCAGCTAGACTGTCTCCCATGTGGGGAGATGTGTGTGTGTGTGTGTGTGTGGTGTGGTGTGATGTGGTGTGTGTGTGGTGTGGTGTGGTGTGTGTGGGGTGTGGTGAGGTGTGTGTGTGGTGTGTGGTAGTGTGTGTGGTATGTGTGAAGGTGTGTGTGTATGTGTGGGGTGTGTAGGTGTGGGGTGTGTACATGTGTGGTGTGTTGTGGGTTGTGTATGCATGTGGTGTATGTGTGTGGTGTGTGTATGAT
Organism: Homo sapiens; assembly: GCF_000001405.40. Taxonomy (NCBI): domain Eukaryota; kingdom Metazoa; phylum Chordata; class Mammalia; order Primates; family Hominidae; genus Homo; species Homo sapiens. The sequence goes on along the minus strand of NC_000004.12, from coordinate 186,160,579 downwards.
ATGTGGTGTGTGTGGTATGTGTGCATGTGTGGGGTGTGCGTGTGGTGTGTAGTGTGTGTGTATGTGTGTATTTGGTATGTGTTTGTATAGTGTGTGGTGTGTGTGTGGTGTATGGTGTGTGGTGTGTTTGTGTGGGATATATGTTTGGTGTGTGGTGTGTTTATGTGGGGGGTGTGTGCAGTGTGTGTGTGAGTGGTGTGTGTGTATGTGGTATGTATTTTCTGTGTGTGTGGTGTGTTTGTGTGTGGTGTGTGTTTGGTGTGTGGTGTGTTTGTGTGGGGTGTGTGTTTGGTGTGTGGTGTGTTTGTGTCGGGTGTGTGCAGTGTGTGTGTGAGTGGTGTGTGTGGTGAGTGGTGTGTGTGGTGAGTGGTGTGTGTGTAGTGTGTGTATGTGGTATGTGTTTGGTGTGTGGTGTGTGTGCGTGTAGTGTGTGTATGTGGTATGTGTTTGGTGTGTGGTGTGTGTGCGTGGTGTGTGTAGTGTGTATGTGGTATGTGTTTGGTGTGTGGTGTGTGCGTGGTGTATGGTATGTGGTGTGTTTGTGTGGGGTGTGTGTTTGTGTGGGGGGTGTGTGGGGGGATGTGTGCAGTGTGTGTGTGTGGTGTGTTTGGTGTGTGTATGAGTGGTGTGGTGTGTGTCTGTGTGTGGTGTGTGTGTGTGTGTGTTGTTTGACATGGCTGGGCTCCCTCCAACTATACTATAAATTCTGTGTAGCTCAGGACTAGGACTCCTGCCTTACCCGTGTTCTCTGCTCCCCCCACAAGGTGGGCAGTGGAAACAACCTCCTTGGCACCACTACAGGCCTCGCGTGAACAAGTGTATCCTTTCCAGCCTCACCTGCGACCACATCTCTCAATAAAAATGCAATTCAAGAAAAATTTATTACGCGCTCAGTATGTGCTGGACCCTGTAGTAGGAGCTCTTGGGTATTTCTATGATTTTATCCTCACAATAATCCCTTGGACAAGATAATAATCTCATTATAAGCTAAGGACACTAAAGTTCAGAAAAGCTAAACAACATATCCAGAAGAATACTCCTCTCAGGCCTCTCGATTCCTAATCCCCTGTTCTTGCCACTATGCTGCAGTTGCCAGTTTCTTATCCCCTAAACTCAGCCCAGTCACAGTCCCCAAACAGGCCCCATCTTTTACTCATCCACGCCTTTGCTTGGCCTGAAATGGCCCACCCAGAGTTCTCTCCCACAAGAGCCTTGCTCATTCCTGCTCAAATTTTACCTTCAATGTAAAAGACCAATCCCCCTCCTGTAATCAGAACAAATCACTCTCTCTTTGATTCTTCTACAAGGTTTTTTTTGTTTTTGTTTTTTTTTGCGCGACCCTCACAGAATGTATTGCACCTGACCCTGTGTCACGGCTTTTGTATCACTAGGATTCACCTCTGTATCTCCTCAAAACGCCTCAACTACAACCAATAAATGCTGAGTAAGCCCAATGTATACTCATTGGTTCTTTTATCACTTTGGTGGAAAGAAAGGAGAACATTTATAATTTTCAAACTAGCTCGAAATATTAGGGGAAAGCATTTTTTTAATCTCCCAAAATGTAGAAAACAGCTTCACATCTCAGAGCAGTGCCATGTGGTAATTCTGTTAAACTTCATGAAATAATCACATTGCAAACAGACCCGAATATCATTGTTTTAAATAGAAACTGATGTTTATTTTCCATCGGCCTTATTTCCATCTTGCTGGTGGCCTGTGGAAGAACAGCTTGAGACCGCTCAGTGGTTGATCCTCCTCATTCAGGGGCCTGAGCATTGGGAGCTGCAGAACAGGCTTGCCTGGCAGGCTGAGTGCTCCAGTCTGCAGTAGGGACGGCTGAATAGGCACAGGGGGTACCTGCACCTTCAGAGCAGTCTGCAGCCTCAGGCTGAGCAGCAGTGCGTGCAGGGGCTGGGTCTCCACCCTCAACCTGGGCGGCAGTGTGTGCAGGGGCTGGGTCTGCAGCCTCGGGCTGGGCGGCAATGCTCAGCAGGCACTGGAGCAATCTGTTCCCCTGAAACTCCCCCTTGGCCACAGCTGCATCAGCAGCAGGCTGCTCTTCCACCTCAATCTCTTCAGGGTCTCTGCAGAAGCAGAGGTCAGGCGTGGACTCCCATGGGTGTTCCTGGGGGATGGTGTCACGCATGCCCAGAACTCCCTGAGCCAGCAGCCACCCCTTCAGGCCCACTGAGTGAGCTCCCTTGTTGCACGGGATGGCGACTTCCACACAGCACAGAGGAGAATCTGTGTTCCACAGAGCAATGGGAGGTGGGCTAGCCAAGACGCCTCTCTGAGAGGCTGGTGGTCGCCTGGGACCAGCAGACATGGCTCCCGGAAGGCTGCCTGGGTCTGGCGAGTGAAGGTTCCAGGAGAGAAGCGGCCAGCAGCTGGAGTGGCTCTGGTGGCAGCAGTGAGCTTCAGCACAGCCTGCCGGCCAGTGTTCCTGGAGCAAGACAGGGACCTCAGCAGGGTTCAACAGCAACAATGGCACGAGCTGCCAGCAGCAGCTTCTCCCAGGTCCCTTCAGATTTATGACAGAGATGCCATCGCTGGTCCGTCCTTTTGTGGATATACTGCTCCATCTGGAAGCCAAGGGTGGTGCCGCCTGCGTGGGCTCCTACCGCAAGGAACTTGAGCACATCCTCGTCCTTCATAGGCAGGACGTCCAGGTCTCCAGGCATTGTGACACTGTGAAGGTTTCCCTTTAAGTTACCATGGAAAGCCTGCATGGACCCCTCTGCGGGCAGCGTGGAAAGCAGCCCCAAATATCTCAGTACTGCAGTTTAACAGAACGACAAACTGAGGTGACAGACACACAGAGTGAAGGCAAGAGGGAGAAGGGTGTGAAAGCACCGACCTGGGGCGGGTTCAGACGAGAAGCCAGGGAGATGCCGTGAGCCTCGGCGTGTCCGGACGGGGGGCCACTGGCTCCATCGGCGTGAGCGTGTGGAACGAGGACGTGCGGAAATCTGTTTCCAGCCACTTTCAATGTTTCTCTCTGTTTTTTCCCTTCTGTGTCAACAGAAGAATCAATATTACAAGAAACATCAGATTATCTAATACAAATACTTAAAATTCACTCTTGAAAGAGAATATGTGTGCTTGAGCTACCACGAGCCCATGCTACGGCCACTCCACATGTTACCACGGAGGGCAGAGACCCCTGTGGAGCAACTGGCTGCTGGAACTGTGGTTGCAGGGCTTGGAGAAGCAGATCACACAGTGGGCAATACAGATTCTCAGCACATGATAAAGCCCAACTAATTCCTTAAATACTGGAAAAAGAACAGGATTTAGGTTAACGTGATTATTGCCTTATTGTACAAATTGATTAATAAAACTGGTCATTAATGTCCATCACTGACATTTTTATGATTTGTTTTTGTTCAATGTTAAGTTTAGAGAATATTTTGTATGTAAGAGGATTAAAGCATGATTCAATTAGCAATGTTTACATTTTACATTACAGATAATGTCACGAACAATGAAAAACAAATATCTCATTATTAGAGAGTAGTTAGGTAAATTATTTTTACTATAACAAAAAACATGACTTCTAGCCTTGTTCTTGTGTATCTGTGTGTTTTCCAGACTGCATATGCACTGCTATTTTTGGGGGAGAGATGGTCTCGCTTTGTTGCCCAGGATGGAGTGCTCACTTTCAATACTGAATTCCTGAGCTCAAGGGGTCCTCCCATCTCAGCCTCCTGAGTAGCTGGGCCTACAGGCATGTGCCACCATGCCTGGCTAACTTTTTATTTGTATTTTTTGAAAAGACAGGGTGTTACTATGTTGCCCAAGCTGAGCTGGCCTTGAACCTCTGGGTTCAAGTAATTCTCCTGCCTTGGTCTCCCAAAGTTCTGAGTCACCATGCCTGCCCTGCATTCTTTTTTTTTGAGATGGAGTTTTACTCTTGTTGCCTAGGCTGGAGTGCAGTGGTGTGATCTCTGCTCACTGCAATCTCAATCTCCACCTCCTGGGTTCAAGCAATTCTCCTGCCTCAGCCTCCCGAGTAGCTGGGATTACAGGCACATACCACCACGCCCGGCTAATTTTTGTATTTTTAGTAGAGGTAGGCTTTCATCATGTTGGCCAGGCTGGTCTTGAACTCCTGACCTCAGGTGATCTACCTGCCTCGGCCTCCCAAAGTGCTGGGATTACAGGCGTGAGCCACCGCACCCAGCCAGCCCTGCATTATTTTTTATAACACAAAAAACAATAGCGTCCTTTTTGAAGGGACTAAAGAGCACTCATGAGTAAAGTCAGAACACCCACTTGTCTTCTCACTGGTCACGTTCTAGGTCTGGCCAAGCTGGGGAGCAGGAGCCCAGGGCCGAAGAACAGGGACTTTTTCTTTTCATTAAGCTAAATTCTGCATGTAAGTACCTGTGAGTGTAGTTTCCCAGTGTTTTCTAATCAGCTCTTCCAAAAGTTCTACCATATTTGTCCAGACGTGATCAAACACTTCTGCTGCCACGGCATCTTTGACACAGTCACGCGGGGAAACAGGAGGAAGTCCGAGTTTGCGCCATTTCCTACCGGGCTGAGCTGGTTTTTGTTCAAGACATTCATCATCACTAAGAATAAAAACCCACTCCAATTACTAAAAGATCAATGCTTAGAGTTAAAATAATTCTATCTACACACATTCACGTATGTACATGTATACATATATTAATAAACATTCTTTGTTAAACAGCATCGTTCTTTTTTAACATATATAATTTTTTTCCATTACACATGAATAAAAACAAGAAACCAACTCCTGGTTTCATTGATCTTTCTTTTTTTTTCTAGTCTCTTCATTTATTTCGGCTCTGAGCTTTGTTATTTCCTTCCTTCTACTAAGTTTGGGCTTAGTTTGTTCTTTTTCTCATTCCTTCAAGTATAAAGTTAGGTTGTTTATTTCAGATATGTCTTTTTTCTCAATGTAGGCATTTATTGCCATAGGCTTCCCTTTTAGAGCTGCTTCTACTGTACCCCATAAGTTTGGTTTTAATATGTTGTGTTTCCATTTTAATTTGTCTCATTATATTTTTTGATTTCCCTTTAGGTTTCTTCTTTGACCTACTGCCTGGTTGTTGAGGAGCAGGTTGTTTAGTTTACACATATTTGTGAGTTTTCTAGTTTTCTTCCTGTTATTGACTTTCAGTTTTGTACCACTGAGATCAGAAAAGATGCTTGATTTCAGTCTTCTCAAATGTGTTAAGACTTGTTTTATCAGTGTTACTTTTTAATGTGCCAATTTTCAATCACGGGGCAAAGTTTTATCATGTAATAGTTGTAGTTTTTGATTAAGAACAAAATACAAGGCTGGGCACAGTGGCTCACGCCTGTAATCCCAGCACTTTGGGAGGCCGAGGCAGAAGGATCACGAGGTCAGGAGATCGACACCATCCTGGCTAACACGGTGAAACCCCGTCTCTACTAAAAAAAAATTCAAAAAATTATCCGGGCGTGGTGGTGGGCGCCTGCAGTTCCAGCTACTCGGGAGGCTGAGGGAGGAGAATGGCGTGAACCCGGGAGGCGGAGTTTGCAGTCAGCCGAGCTCGCACGGCTGCACTCTAGCCTGGGCGACAGAGCGAGACTCCGTCTCAAAAAAAAAAAAAGAACAAAATACGAATTTAGTACAGAGGCAGGAACTCCCCTTAGGCCCTTTTGGGCAGCCAGGGCTGGGGAACCTGGAGCCCCCAGGACCAGGGCTGCGAGGAGCCTTGTCTGCTTTTACAAGGGCACTGAACACCCTCTTCGCTGCTCCCGCACGTGCACCGCTGGCTAGGAATCCAAAAGCTCTGGGGAGTACATTACTCTCAAAAGAACAGAAATCTTTTGGGTGAGTAAAAAATACACAAAACACTTAATGAGCATACGATAACAATAAATGTCAAATAAATTAATATTATTTTATGAGGTCAATGTCAAATAAGATTCTATTTACTCCTCTTTTCTGTCAAAAGCGAAATACTCCTCAATCTTTCCATCCACATGGTAAACCTCTTCTTCCAGGGATGAACGTGCCGTTAGGTCAGCAACCCCTGTGTCATCAGGGCCTGGCAGGGCAGAGGCTGAGAGTGCTGCTGGGACTATTTGAGAGCCAGAAATGCACAACCTATGGGAAAAAAACAGATTCTACATGGGAGTTTATAGAACACCAAGAACGCAATGCTTAAACGATCATGGCGGATCTTTCAATTATCTGTAAAGTACAGAATCCCCCCCTCCCAAAACGGTTGAATATTACATTGGACAAAACTCACGTCCTTAAAAACACTTTAATACAGGCATCATTAAACATTTTAAGGGCTTCTTAAAAGCCTAAATTATTCTATGAGTTTGTACCCTCTTTGGTTGCAGTGAAAGGACTGCATTGTGTCACGGCACACCAAATATGTGTGAATGGCATAGAGTCATCAAAATCTGCTAGTGAACAGAAACGACAGGACAGAGCTTCATTTCTCCTGCTGCCACCGCCTGGAGGCTTATAATCCATCACAGTGAGGCGGTTTCCATCCTGCACCCAGTCCACCTTTCACAGCGCCTTTGGAACAAACATGGAAGGTAACTACCATGTGTGTGCATGTGTGTTCCATATATATATTACACATCTCTCTATATACACACATATACACCTATCATCAATTCAGAATCAAAAGCTTCTTATAAAAATTGTTCTCTGTACCTGCCCTTCATCAGAATCTAAATTTCCAAAATGGGTGGAGCCAAGGCTTATAGATGAGATAAACATGAAAAAGTATAACTAAAATACAGCTAACAATACTTTTTGAGAGTCACTTATCTGAACATACTCTCTGATGTTGCTGCTGTGTCCGCAGGCACTGAGCGGGGGTCTGTGGACTGCGGAGGCAGGAGTGCTGCCCTGGAAATGCTGGACGCCTTTGTCAGTGGGCAGGATCAGCTGTCTTCCTAATACTCTGCGAGGTCAAAGAGAAGCTACTGACATTTTTGATCAGACAAAGGGAAAATGTTTGGAGATTTTAAAAGTAGGAGACAATGATTTTGAAGGCATGTGTATGATAAGATGTGTATGGGAACGTGGGAAGCATCACGCATCACAGAAGTGTGACTTTGAGAGTTTAGGCCAGACTGTTCTTCCACTGACTCAGTCTCAGGCAAGGTTCTCAGGCTAATTTCATTTGTTTGTCTTTCATTTGCAAAACAGGATAATAATGGTTACCTTGCAGGGCTGATGAATGGCTTAGAGATCATATATGACAGACTCAGGTGTCTAAGGCAACACTGGGCACAAAGAAGCCCTCCATACATATTAACTAATACACAGTTAAACACAAACATAACAAGAATACAAATATATAAATATGCACACTTGGCTTATGTACCTGACAATCTTTTCCCACCTTCCCTCCATTTCTATCAATGATGTAAGACAGCAGTGACAAGAATAAGTGTGAGCTCCCGAATTTCTGGTGAGTGATCATCCCCAGAAAAGTGAGTATCCACAACTAGTATCTAGTGGACATATCATACTCTTTAGGGCAGGTGGCTTATTAAGGGTTGAAAAGAAAAAAAAAAACAACCCTAGTTGGTCAAGATTTCTGTAAAAGTTACCTAGTGAATGTAACCAGGAAATCCAGCCACATTTACATGAGTGTTCTGATTCATTCTCCCCAGACAGAATCCACAGGAACTCAGGTAACTTTGATAAACTGTCCCCCAGTACGTTGGCTGAGTGACTGAAAGATAAGCTTGCCTTTGGCCGGGCGCGGTGGCTCATGCCTGTAATCCCAGCACTTTGGGAGGCTGAGGCGGGCGGATCACGAGTTCAGGAGATCAAGACCATCCTGGCTAACACGGTGAAACCCCGTCTCTACTAAAAATAAAAAAAATTAGCCGGGCGTGGTGGCAGGTGCCTGTAGTCCCAGCTACTCGGGAGGCTGAGGCAGGAGGATGGCGTGAACCAAGGAGGCTGAGATTGCAGTGAGCTGAGATCGCGCCACTGCACTCCAGCCTGGGCGACAGAGCAAGACTCCATCTCAAAAAAAAAAAAAAAAAAAAAAAGCAAAAAGAAAAGAAAAGCTTGCCTTCATACCCAATCCATATTCTCCATCTTTGATATGAAAAGTAACACATGCTCCTCCCTACATAAGGAATGGGTGAGATGGGAAGACCCATCTATCCAGCCGTTCAGCAAATCATCTCTGCCCACCCTCGCTGTGTTCTGTGATGAAGACAGACATGTGCTGCTCACACACAGTGAATGTGAAGGTAAGAGGTGGCCTCCACCATTCTTGCATTCGTATATGTGTCATGCCCTTCTCAGGATGGCCTGAATTTGCTTCTCACAAATTAAAAGGCGCTTGAGTACTGGAATGTCTCAGTATTTCCTCAGACGCCGTAAGAGGAAAGTGATCTCTCAGTGAAGGACTGCGCTCTGCATCCATATTCTGACTGGGCAGGCACTTTCACACCAAATGTACTGAATGTATCGAGGCAGGTCAGGGGTGGGTGCTTGGAAAACCCACCCCAGAGAACTTCCACCACCAAGGTCCCACCTCAAATGGAGGGATCTTCTTGTCCACTCCCCGCATTCGGCCAGCAGACTCTGGGTCTGAGGGTTCACTTTCCCTTCAAATAACATTTCCTCCACCTCCCAGAGTAACCGCTGCACTGACTGTGAACTGGCTTCGTCAAATTCCTAAACAGAAATGCACACTTGGTTACAACACTGCAAGTTACAGAACTGCGGGCTTCTGGATCAACGCTACTTATACATTTACTGTCACCCACTATGTAGGAGGGTGCATCACTTGGTAAAAAGATGGTGGCTTTGCAGTCAGACACACCTGTGCTCTAGCTGTTACCTTTCTGAGAAATGCCATCTCATTCTGAGCCTCGGATTCTTTTACTGTTAAATAGAGAAAACTTCTGCCACGGAAGTTATGAGACTCAAGAATTTGCATAGATAGAGGTATAGATGGACGTGTTCATACTGCCACAGACATCAGCGTAGACACACAGACACGTCCACATCTGTATGTCTGCAAACACAGGCAGCTCCTCACAGAGCTGTGCCTGACACACCTAAGCACACCTGCAAAATACAAGATTTTTTTTTCTTCTGGTGATACCACAGAAAAGAAAATTACTTTTGTAGAAAAGGCCATTAATCTCCTTAAATCAATGAACTGGAAAAAAAAATCCTTAGTTATCCTAAGAAGTGTGGTTATTAGGGTGAGGCCTGAGTATTAATGGAAGTTATACGAATTTCCCTGGTAATTCCATTAAACGTTGTACTAAAAGAATCCTAGAATTTGGACAGAGTAAAGCAGTGGTGCTCAGCCTTCTACCAAGGAAGGCGGGCTTGAGGGATGGTGGTGAGTGGGCGTAAGGGAGAGGAAGGAGGCAGCTGCCCCTAAGTAAGGGAGCTGCGTGCGTGAAAGGTCCTCCTAGCAGTGCTGAGCTGAGTCCCTTTCAGACCCCCTCGGTGCACCTGCCCTGCCGGCTCCCCTGAGAATCACAGCTGCACAGCTGCGGACAGAAGCGGATTCCCATGTGCAGTGGGAGTGGGGAACCACTTTTAAAGAAAGCAAAGAGGCTGGGCGCAGTGGCTCATGCCATGGGAGGCCCAGGCAGGCGGATCACAACGTCAGGAGTTCGAAACCAGCCTGGCCAACATGGTGAAACACCGTCTCTACTAAAAATACAAAAATTAACTGGGCATGGCGGTGCACACTTGTAATCCCAGCTACTCGGGAGGCTGAGACAGGAGTATTGCTTGAACCTGGTAGGCGGAGGTTGCAGTGAGCCGACATGGCACCACTGCACCTCAGCTTGAGTGACAGAGCAAGACTCTGTCTTAAAAAAAAAAAAGAGAGAAAAGGCCGGACGCGGTGGCTCACGCCTGTAATCCCAGCACTTTGGGAGGCCGAGACGGGCGGATCACGAGGTCAGGAGATCGAGACCATCCTGGCTAACACGGTGAAACCCCGTCTCTATTAAAAATACAAAAAATTAGCCGGGCGTGGTGGTGGGCGCCTGTGGTCCCAGCTACTCGGGAGGCTGAGGCAGGAGAATGGCGTGAACCCGGGAGGCGGAGCTTGCAGTGAGCCGAGATCGCGCCCCTGCACTCCAGCCTGGGCGACAGAGCGAGACTCCGTCTCAAAAAAAAAAAAAAAAAAAAAAAAGAGACAGAGAGAGAGAGAAAGCAAGCAAGCAAAAAACAACAACAACAACAACAAAACACCCAGCATAAACGAGGTAAAACAGAACACCCAAGGTGCTGCAGCCAGGTGGGCCTTAAAAAGGAGGGCTGTGTCCTGGGATCCACGGAGACCCTTGGAGGGAGGGGGAGGGAGGAGACTGGAGCCAGTGAGCTCCTGAGCAAGCTGGAGCAGTGGAGGCAGAGCTCGCCCAGCCAGAATCCCAGGCTCACACAGACAAAAGCAGTTCAGAGGCAACAGCGCCCCCAGCGGTAGGGGGTGAAGGTGAAATATCCGACTGGGAATACTGGCGGGGAGTTCTCTAATCACAGTGGCTGCCACAGCTTTTACTTTTCCAGCATTTCTTTCTTATTCAAGTCCTGAATTTCCGGCCATGGATACCATCCAAGAAGTCACAAGGAGCACACACCCGGAGAGCCGGCTGCAGGGTGGAAACAAGAAAACTGCGGGCAGCTAAGACGGGGCCAGAAGGTCACGAGGGAGTTCTGTTTTCCTCCACGGTTCGTGATCTATTATTTTCACATGTAACATGTACATGCTTTTACATGTATGTACATGTATGTATGCAATAGGTCATGCTTTTATAATTGGTAAAAATAATTTTGAATATAAGGAAGCAACTCTTCACTATAAACTGTAATTACAAGATTATCCAAAATATTCTGAGACATACGTCATCTCTCCAGGAATAAACGGAGCCCCTCTCCGTGGATGAGCCGGTGGTAGAGCTCTGTGTGGCCGACCCAGACCAAGAGGTGTGGGCTCCCGTGGGTGTATGGCTTCCGCTGGAGGAAAAGGATGACAAGGATTTGCTGCAGGAATGAACATGAGCAAAGAAATCACATTTGCTGGAAGGGCTTGGATGGCTAAGTGGCTTCACTTTTCTGAGCCTGCTTCCTCTTTCTTTCATTAAATATATTTATTAATTTCACAGTATACTAATTTTGAAATATTTTTACAGTGTGATGTTTACACTAGGTTAAAAATAAAACTGCATCTTACTTTTAGAAATTCATGGCCAGTCACTAACTTCCTTCCCACATTTGTTACGGGCATTTTGTGATTTTGTAATCTGAAGCAAGGTGAATTCTTACCAGGTATATTTATCAATGGCTTTCTGCACATTTCTTGTAAAATGCGTAGGTAAAGAATCTTTGCTCCTCACAGTAAAACCGTGCCTTCTACGTCCTTCTGACAGTCCTCTTCTGGAAATAAAATAAAACATGACGAGTCTCCCTAATGTAATAATATAGTTTTATTCATTAAGACTTTTAAAATTTCTCTTTTATACAAAGTTGCTCCTCTCGTTCTGCCACATCCCTCCAAACCCACCTGTGCATGAGCGCACACACACACACACACACACACACACACACACCCCATCCTGATGAAACTGAGACTTAGGATGTCATCATTTTTCTTTTTCTTAAAATCAAGGTTGCCATTAACCTATATGTACCTTTATGTGAACTGAAGACAACATCAACTTTTTGTGACTCAGCCAGAGAAGGAAAAGTTGCCCCAAACAGTTCACAGTATTTCAGGGATTTCAGGTCCCAGTTGTCCCTTGACCAGGGACAAGGGACTTACTTACAAAACCCAACCACTCCTCCAGTAAAAAAATCATTAATCCCATATTAATTAAGAAACATCAAATTCTTTAGACTCAGAAGCCACACAGACACCTAACTTGCTTTAATCTAGCATTGCTGTTTGTGGGTATACTGAGTTTTCAAGAGTTAGAAGATATTAAAATTTAATGAAGAACTAAAACAGAAGAAATATCTAGATGTTAAATAAACTATTAAGCCTAACTGGTGTAGCACAGTTCCTGTTAATCATTGAAATGTCCTTTCAATGAACCGCTTAAAACATTTACTTCCTCTAGTCAAAATATCTTCCTGATGTTTAATAATCAACAACTTCTGTTCTTCAATAGAAATCTTATTTTCCCTTACAAATAAAACATATATTAACATAAGATATGGTCATGAATCAGGAAAAACTTCAACTTTCAATATTTCTAGTTAGAACACCACTCTAAAATGCATTTTTAAAAAGTTTGCTTTTGCTTTCGATTATAAGGCTACCTAATTGATCTCAGCTCACTGCAACCTCCACCTCCTAGGTTCAAGTAATTCTCCTGCCTCAGCCTCCTGAGTAGCTGGGATTACAGGCGCCTGCCACCACGCCCAGCTAATTTTTGTATTTTTAGTAGAGACAGGGTTTCACCATGTTAGCCAGGCTGGTCTCGAACTCCTAACCTCAAGTGATCTACCCGCTTCGGCCTCCCAAAGTGCTGGGATTACAGGCATGAGCCACCACACCCAGCCAACAAAGAGAATTTTTAAAACAAAGTAATTACCATGTACAGATTGGCGAGAACATCTACCTTCCATAGATACGTCTCATGCAAGAGAGAATAATAGAATTATATGATTGTTTTTATTCTCTTTGTTGCTTAGGTATCTTACGGACAACCAGGTAACTCTGAGGATAAAGATGTTAAAGAAAGGGCCCCAGAGAAAAGAATAAAGGACACGCTTTATGCTGACAAACTGCTTTACCTTTAGCCCTCTTCAGTTGCTTTCAAGCCATTAATTATTTCTTGTTTACATGTGACTCAGTAACTTTTTAGGTAAACATACAAATACTAATGACATAAAATAACAACTAAAAGTTACATCAAATAGATTTGTTTTGAACACTAAGAAAAACATACTGGTATAGGAGTTAATATATGACTGAGAAATAATTTTAAAACTCAGCATGATGAATTAGCTAAAACATTGTTCTTTTGTGATACATATCTACAGAATAATAATGGGGGGTTCAAATTTGCTCTGCCACTGAGGCTTTAAGCAAGTTAACTTTTCCTCTCCTGAATTCAGTGTCCACATCTGTAGATAAAGTATATGAAGTGTCAGTCAGTGCTACATAAATCGGGTTTACCTGCTCACTGCTATTATTATTGTTATGTTATTATTATTACTTGACACAGGGTCTTGCTTTGCTCCACAGGCTAGAGTGCAGTGGCAGGATCACAGCTCACTGTAAGCTCGACCTCCAGGCCTCAAGTTATCCTCCCACCTTCAGCCTCTCTAGTAGCTGGGACTACAGGTGTCTACCACCATGCTTGGCTAACTTTTTAATGTTTTGTAGAGATGGGGTCTCACTATATTGCCCAAGCTGGTCTTGAACTCTTGGGCTCAAGTGATCCTCCTGCCTTGGCCTCCAAAACTGCTGGGACTATAGGCATGAGCCACCGCACTGTCCTCTCACTGCTATTATCATCATCACCTGCTACTCTACGAAGATGCTGTGTTCTTGTTTCTTTGGACCTCCCATAGCATTTTGTATTATATAGATCTTTTCACATTTTAACTTTTTGTTGTGACCTTGACACCTTATTCATCTTTTAAGCTAAGCACCTGAAATAACACTCGTCACACAAAAGATGCCCTCGGTTGAAAGACTCAAACGGCGAAGACGAAATTAGCAACTCAAATGCGGAACTCATTTTCACTACAGAATTACTCTGAATGTTTATGCCTGAAACATAGGATTACATCGTGACCTGACATGAAAATATTCCCCAGATTCAAGACACTATTGGATAACGTTTTACTCGTTAAAAAGTCACAGCTCTTCTTTGGGCAGCTGATATTCCCCCAAATGGTTTTCACCGCCAAACGGAGCATCTGCTCTGCTCAAGACGGTCTATCCTGCTTCTAGCTCCTCCTCCTGCTTTTGTGCAACTTTGAAGCCAAATTCAAAATGGGACGCATGCGAGTTTGTTTCAATGAATAATTTATTCCTCTAGGAAATTCACTCTTTTTCAGGGGAAAGGGTGGAAGCTCTTTTCAAATTAAGGAGAAAATTATTTACAAAACGGAGGAACTCATCTCTCTTCACATCACACCACATCCTTTCCAGGACCAGGCTTCCCACTGTCTTGGACGCAGAGCTGAGCCCAGGAGGTCTTGGGATGCAGGGCAGGGGGAAATGGGAAGTTGGGTAACAGTCACACCAATTATTACGAATTAGGTGCCTTAAAACTCCCCTACTCCATGCCATTTCTCCCTCTTTTTTCCTCTCTGACCTTCCCCTCTGTATCTCCTTTTAAGCAATTTCTTGAGCTTCAGAGTTCAGTGTAATAACATACAAACTTGACCACACAATTCACAAAAAAACGAGGTGAACAGGAATTTAAGTCCGTAACTCAATGATTGCCCAAGAGCACAAAGAAGATAGGGACAGAGTTTCTTCGAGGAACCAGGCCACTGACCTGCCTGTCTCTCCAGTGGCACAAGTTACTAACATCATGAATTAACAGCAGAGCCTACAAAATCCCTTTCTTGTCTTTTTCTTTTTTTTTTTCTCTTTCACATCTTGTTTTGGTTCTTTGGTTTCTCTGTTCTCTAACCAAGGATTGGTTACTGGTCCCTCATGCATAATGTTGAACCTCTTTAATCCCCTATAAACTATGGACTAGTTCTGTATCCTACACAGTCTAAGAAAGTGTACACAACTTACAGGATGCATCCCACAGGTATTTTAAAACTTGAATATGGTGGCATGTCCATGAAGCTTCTAAACATAGACATGCAAGTTCTATACTAGTTCCTGTCCATACTGTTTAAATAGAGCAAGGCTGTTGATTTGGGGACAGGTCTTCGTAGGGTGGACTGAAGTGCAGTCACTAAACTAGACTGCACTCATTTGTTGGCGCATGGAGGTTAAGGGTGAGTTCCAATCTCCATGACTCCATTCCAGCTGTCAGGAAAATCATCATCCAGAGTTACTGTTTTAGGTTGCTTCTTGACAGCCCACAAACCTCTGCCACACTGCTTTGTAGAAATTCTAATGTCAG
This sequence comes from Homo sapiens, assembly GCF_000001405.40. Taxonomy (NCBI): domain Eukaryota; kingdom Metazoa; phylum Chordata; class Mammalia; order Primates; family Hominidae; genus Homo; species Homo sapiens. The sequence continues at coordinate 186,145,504 of NC_000004.12, read as the reverse complement.
TGACAGCAGCTTTCAAAATTTTCTATTCCTAGTTGACAGGACTGTCTGACATAAGCACTGTACTCTGAACGGGTTAAAATGCAGGCTGGTTTTCTGGATGGGGGGACACACAGGGGCACTCCAGGGTGGCCATGGGAAGCCGCTCCTCAGCACGGAACACTCACACCGCCCTGACCCAACACCAGCAAGTCCCAGGAGCGACCGCAGTGACGAAGGAGTCCCTTTGGCGGCGAACGCTTCCCCGCGTGAGCCATGCCCGGGGCCGGCCTGACGCTTCCCGAGTGCCTGCAGGGAAGCCCGGGCCAGACGCAGCCGGCCCGCGGGCGGAGAACACCGCGCACATCGCCTGCAGAGCGGCCAGAAGGCGAGCCCTGCTGCCGGATGAGACTCACCCGATTACGATCAGCCCCGGGCCTGTGCTCGCAGCCCCCGCGCCAGGCTCCGCGCTAGGCTCGGGCACCGTCAGGCAGAGGCACCGCGCGCGGGCCCCACGCAGACAGCCGGTCACGCGCCCCCGCGGCCCCGGGGCTGGGGCTCCCCACCCGCCCGCGCCCGCGCCCGCGCCCGCGCCCGCGCCCGCCGCGCGGCTGGCCCAGCTCAGGCGGCCCGGGCGCGCCCGGGGTCCGCGGGGCTCGCACGCCCCTTCCCTCTCCAGATCCTCCGCCCCGCCCGCGCCGGCGCCGCCTCCCCTCCTCCTCCCTGCGCTGCGCCCTCGCCCGCCAGCTAATCCCGGCTGCGCCCGCCCATCCCCGCTCCGGGCCCCGGCCCCGGCCCCGGCCCCGCGCCGACCTCCGGGAAAGCGCGCCTTCCCCGCTCCCTGCCGGGCCGGGTTTCCAACCCAGCGGCCACTCCTCCGCGCACGGCCCGGCCTCCCTACTCCTTCCCGGGTCTCTGGGGCCGGGGGCTGTGCATACTGGTGCTGGCTGCCCTTCTCTCTTCCAAATCGGATTTTAATTCACCAGAAGAAGGCAGAGAACCACAGGACCATCTCGCCTATCCCCGCCCCATCAAAGGGTGCGCACACCAGGCTGGGGTGGGGAGTGGACGAATGAGGTTTAAAAAATGAAGCCCCGGATCTGGTCAATGCGAGAACCATTACTCCATCAACAGGAACGCTAGATCTAAGCATGCATACTAAAGACGTGGACCCTTCCACGCCCGTCCTGCCCTACCGGCTCACACAAGCCGGTGCATCTCCTGCACACCCCGAGCATGCCTGCCGCTTGCGTTACCATGTGCTCGTTTCAGTTTTGGAGGCCCAGGATTATACCAGGAGCAGAGCAGCTGGACGCTCTCCTGTGAGCTGGTGAAACTGCCAAGCCGTCATTTTCACATGCTAAGGGAAGAAGGGGTGAGGTCGCGGAGGTGAACTACATTTTTGAGTCTCAGAGGGTGGGCACTGCACGAGGCATGCCTTTCCCACGACAGGGATTTTAGTAATGACAGTTAGTGCACTGGGTGCCGGTACAACACTCATCCCCGTCCTGCCGTAGCCAGTCTCTTTTGAGAGCTGAGGCCATCTAAGTTTCAACAGGTACAATTTCTCCTGCCAAGTATCCCGTATTTACAGAGGTAAACCATGTATTTCCGAGTTTTTACTAAAAAGCCCAGTTTATTTCTGATGCACCACCCTAGCACGGTGACAAGAAATCACTACCAATAACAAAAACAGTAGTCCAGCCAGGGTGGCTCACGCCTGTAATCCCAGCACTTTGGAAGGCTGAGGTGGGCGGATCACTTGAGATCAGGAGTTCAAGACCAGCCTGGCCAACATGGTGAAACCCCAGTCTCTACTAAAAATACAAAAATTAGCTGGGTGTGGTGGTGCGTGCCTGTAATTCCAGCTACTCAGGAGGCTGAGGCATGAGAATCACTTCAACCTGGGAGGCGGAGATCGCCCCACCCACTCCAGGCTGGGCGACAGAGGGAGACTCTGTCTCAAAAAAACAAACACAAACAAAACAGTAATCCATTGTTGAACTAAGAACACTGGAATCCTCCCCACTTTTATAAAAGTGGTAAGTGGTTATAAATTATAAAATTAATGAGATTTTAAATCCTGATACATGTATATGTGTATATGTGTGATGTGTGTGTATGTGTATACATATCTATCAGGAAAACTATGGTATCTTAAGCCCACACAGACTTGCTGATATTATTTATATTGCCAGGGGTGGGAGGATGGGCATGCCAGGGAAACAAAAGAAAGGAGTCTGGTGTGATGGCTCCCACCTGTAACCGCAGTGTTTTGAGAGGCCAAGATGGGAGGATCACTAGAGCCCAGGAGTTCAAGACCAGCCTGGGCAAGACAGCAAGACTCTTGTCTCAAAAAAAAAAAAAAAAAAAAAAAAAGTAAAAATCGAACACAAAGTCATTTAAGATCCAAACATATGCTAGCTGCTTTTACTTTTATATATATTATTTTACATATATTCTTACATATATTTAACACCCATAGTAGGTAGACACTATTATTACAATTTTGTTGATAAAAATACTGATGTCAGAGACCTTAAGTAACATGTTCGAGGTCACACAGCTAGGATGTATATGTGTGAATGTGTCCCAGATATCTATTACCCCATAACAAACCACCCCAAATGTAGATTAAATCAACAGTCATGTTGTTATGCTCATAATCCACAGAACTCAGGAATTGCGGCAGGTTGAGTGTTTCTTCTGCTCCCCGTGGGGTTGCTCAGTGGCATACAGGTGGAGGGTGGTCTGGTGTGGAGGCTCTAAGAAGGCTTCACTCATGTGTCTACACCATGCAGTCGGGGGTGGCTGGAAGTCTGGGCTCAGTTGAGCCTTCTCTCATGCAGCTTCAACACTTCTCTGAGTGGTCCCTCCAGTGAAGTCGTTGGAATTTCTACGTGGCAGCTTAGGGCTCCAAGAAAGCGAGGCAGAAGCCGTCAGCTCTATTCAAGGTGGCAACTGGCAGTGTCACCTCCACTGTACTCCATAATCAAAGCAGTCCCAGAATGAAAGAGATGGAAAATAGACCCCAGCTCTCAATGGGAAGAACCTACAGCCGTCTTTAATCCGCCATAACCGTCCTCTGGCCACAGGTCATTTACACATGCACGATACACTCAGCTCTTTCAAGATGCTCAGAAGTCTCATCATCTAAAGCATGTCCGCGTACAGATGAGGCTTCTGCTTGGGTATTTCCTTTACATCTGAAGACCTGCGAACTAGAGAGACAAGGCAACAGCCTTCTCCACACCCAACCGACAATGGTGAGACAGAGCCAGGACATCCCCAGTGGGCACCTGTCCAACAAGAGAGGTGGCGGAGCCAGGCAGCAGCCACTGCGGGTTCCAGCAGGCTCCTGCTGCCTTGCCTTGAGGAGGACTCACTTCTGCTTCCTGCCTTCTCCCCAGCCCTTAGCTCTGTCCTCTGGGCTGTTGCTTCTACCGAGACTTCCTCAGGGAAAAGAAATGGCCTAGGTTTGCAACTAAGTAGCCTCTCAGCCTGCTTTCCTCCAGGGAAGGCTGGGGAAGGGGGTCCAAAAGTCTGTGCCTCTTTTAGTTCAAGCCAGTGGCGCTTCCATCACTCTGCCAATACCTTGTGGGTTTCTTTGAATTTTATCAGAGTTCACCCCATCCATTAGTTACAAACCACACTGACCTGAGATGGGCCCTTGGTCCACCTTTGAGACTGCCGGGGGCCAATTCTCTTATGATTTTTTAAAGCCCTATTATCTTGGGGATCTATGAGACACCCCTAAATCTGACGTCTTGTTAAGCCAAACCTTTGATTTCACCTTTACCCCTGCCTAGGATTTGATCTTTGCACAGAGGCCATTTTTCAGTTTTGCCCAGAGAGACTGTGATGGTCAAAGTTTCACAAACCCAGCAAGTCTTGACTTCTATATTTCTTATGACTTCTGTTCAAAACCTGAACAGTTCCTTAATTCATTTGTCTCTTCTCTCAAATTTCAAAACCTAAAGCTATGCTGCTTGCTTAAAGATTAAAGTGATAAAATCTTCACGTTGGATTGGTTTAGACCACCACTGCCCAGTAGAAATATAATGTAAATACATACAATTTTAAATTTTCTAGTATCCACATTTATAAAGTAAAAGAAACAGGTACAATTAATTTTAATGATATATTTTAATCTAATATAAATTATCATTTTAACATGTAATCTGTATAAAAATTGGTAATTAGATATTTTTAATTTTTTTGTACTAAGTTTTGAAATCCAGTGTGTATTTTACACCAATAACATATTTCATGCATCCAACAAAGGTCTAATATCCAGTATCTATAAGGAACTTAAAAATACATTTGCAAGAAAAAAACAACCCATAAACAAGTGGGCAGAGGACATGAACAGACACTTTTCAAAAGAAGACATACATGTGGCCAACAATCACATAAAACAAAGTTCAACATCACTTACCATTAGAGAAATGCAAATCAAAGCCACAATGAGATACCATCTCACATCAGTCAGAATGGCTATTCTTAAAAATACCAGATGCTGGCAAGTTGGATCAGAACTACTTCACTGGCTCTCCTGGATCTCCAACTTGGCCATTCACCTTGAAGGCCTTGTGACTTGTCAGCCTCCATAATCAATGAGCTAAATCCTTGTAATAAATCTCTTTATACAGATATATACAAATATAGATGTAGACATGTATCTCCTATTGCTTCTGTTTCTCTGGAGAACCTAATACAATGTTACCTGTACTTAGTCCATACGATTTTCCATCTTTCATTGATTATTTAAACCCTAATTGAGAATTGAAAAGTACATAACTATTTCTATCTTATTGTTTAAGTGTTTTACATTTTAATGGCATGGGGCCCTGGGATCAGTAATTAGAGTCATTAAATGGGAGACCTCAATTCCTAAAATAATAGGATCTCCCTTAGCCTAGTTTGGCGAATTCATTAGGATAAAATAAAATGGTATAGGCTGGGCACAGTGGCTCAGCACCTTGGGACGCCAAGTCAGGAGGATCTCTTGAGCTCAGGAGTTCAGAACAAGCCTGGGCAACATAATGAGACGTTGTCTCTACAAAAAAAAAAAAAAAAAAAAAAAAGCTAGGTGTGTTCACATGGATCTGTAGTCACAGCTAATTGGGAGACTGAAGTGGGAGGATCACTTAGAGCCCCGGAGATGGAGGCTGCAGTACTCCAGCCTGGGTGACGAAGCAAGACACTGTCTCAAAAAATAAAAATAAAAAGTGGTATATGTGATTATGTGATCACCCTCTGAAAATTAATTAGTAATATAAGATATAAAGTTATTCCAAAAATTATAAGCAACTCCTCTAAAAATTGACCTGATTTCACGTGCTGGCTCTGTCTTGCCCTAGCCATGCAATCCTGAGCTGATAACTTAATGCTGTGAGCAGAAATTAGCTAAAACAAGGCTAATATTACTGTCTTCCTTGTAGAGTTGTGTGAATTAGAGACAAATTTTGGAAACTGCATATAGATACATAATAAATTGTAAATTATTCCTTTTTTCAGCATTTAAAGCATTGAGAGTGGTTTTTTTTGTTAGGTGGAGTATTAAACCAGTTCATTTTAATATTATGCAATATAATACACAAAAGTTACATACAGTTTTTTACATTTATCCAGTACGAGCAGTCCTGGCTTTACATGGGTATCATATAAACTGAAACTTGTGCATATCAGAACTGTGGCCTTGCTTTGCAAATACAAACATATACATACAACTATGTCATCTCTCTATACCATAGAGCTGTCTCCAGTAGCAATGAGCACCTCCAGTGCCTAGATCTTAGTTCCTAACACTGTCCTAGTCCATCTGGGCTGCTATGACAAAATACCATAGACTGGGTGACTTATAAACAACAGAAACGTATTAGGTGGATGCAAAAGTAACTGCAGTTTTTGCCATTACCTATCTCCCACAGGTCTGAAGGCTGGGAAGTCCAAGATCAAGGTGGTAGCAGATTCAGTGTCTGGTGCCGGCTCCATGCTTCCTAGATGGTGCCTTCCAGCTGTGTCTTCACATGGCCAAAAGGGTGAAGAAGCCCCCAGGGCCTCCTTCATAAAGGCATGAATCCCACTCACGAGGGCTTTGCAATCATGACCTAATCGCCTCCTAAAGGCCCCACCTTTAGTACCATTTCATTGGAGAGAGATTTCAACCTATGAATTTTGGGGGATACAAACATTCAGACCACACCAAATACTATTCTCCAATAGAGGGACCAGGGCTCCATGGAGGAGTGGCCGATTTGGGGGCTGAGGCAGGGCAATATAAAATGTACCTGGAGCATCTTGTACTGCCAGACTGTAGGAAAGTGCTCAAAAAACAAAAACCAAAACAACAGAAGAATGAGAGCATGTCACAGGAGCCATCCTGAAAGAGCCCCAAATGGCTAAAGCTAGAACAACCTGAGTAACAAAATACATCATGTGCTATCGGATTATAACTAAAGTACAAAATACATTTCTATGAGCCCATATTGATAGAAATAAACAAATAAATAAATAAATGGGGAGAAGAGGCACATTTCCCACAGAAGAACTCTACCCCAGTGGTGTGTGTCTCCCCTTCCAGGAGGCGGGCATCATACCTTCTTCTCCAAGAGTGCAGTATGGAAGCTTGACTCCAAGAGTGCAGTATGGAAGCAGGGGGTGACTTTACAGGGGAGCAGCCTGACAAGCACTCCCGGAGCCAGGTGGTCAAGGCTGGCACCATCCGTGATGTGTCATGTTGACACGCACCCTTGCAATGAGGCAATGAGAAAGGCACTTCCCTTCTGTGGCCTTCCCCCCCAAACCCATAACCCCAGTCTCACCATGATAAAAACACAAGGCGAACCCCAGCGGAGCGGCCTTCTACAAAACACATGACCAGTACTCCCCTAAACTGTCGTGATCATCAAAACAAGAAAGTCTGAGAAACTGTCTCGGATCAGAGGACACTGAGGAGACGTGACAACTCCATGTAATGTCAAGTGGACCCTGGAGGAGAGGAAGGGCACTGGGGAAAACTGGTGGTGACGGTTAATACAGTTTAGGGGACCCTGCGTGAAGCAGATGACCCTCCATCATGGGGGTGGACCTCATCCAATCTCTGCAATTCTCTGGATCACTATTTGCAAATTCACCTATTTGCTAAAATATAATTGTAACCCCCAAAATAATCTGTCACCTCTGCAGGTTTTGGACTTACCAAGCCTCCACAATCACGTGAGCCTATTTTTAAAAAATCTCTCTCCCTCTTCACACATGCAAACACACACACACACACACTCACTCACTAACTCATCCTGTCTGATCTGCTTCTCTGAAAAACCCTGAATAGTACTCTGGTGAAATCAGAATAAATGTGGAGTTTAGTTAATGGTAACGGATTGATACTGGTTCATTAGTTGTGACACATGTACCAGAATAATAGGGAGCTGCTTTTCTGTAAATCTAGCTCTAAAATAAAAAGTCTGTTTTAAAAATGCTTGCATTAACCTCCTCTATACATTTAAATATATTTTACAAGTTGGTAACTTCCTTCATAGAAGACTAATAAAACAATATCATGTTTTATTATTTTAATGGGAAGAGTATAAAAATCTTGGAAAGTGCTAGGTAAACTATGAAGTCCATAGCTTATATAAAATTATAGAAAAATATAGAATATATTATTTAATATTTAAAAATTACCTAAGTGGTGAAATTTATAAGTACATTGTTTTAAATGAGTCCAGGAAATTGCAATAAATAAATATGATATTAAATGATAACAGAATTTTTCTTTTATGAGCATGTTCTAGGAATAGCCTGTGTAAACCAAGATATAGCTCTAGATTGGGATTGAAAGGCTGCATGTAATATTGAAATGGTGGCATGCAATATTGCCAGAAAGCCACCAGATGTCAACATTTCCCCTCTTTCATCACTATAAAAAAAAAAATCCTTGCCCAGATTTTAATACTTTATGGTTTCTTTTTTGCAAGATTTAGGATTTGCCGAATTTTCATTCCAGAATAGATAGGGAATCCTGTCTCAATCAGAAGTCAGCATTTCAGTGAACAGTAGGTGGTACGCACAGCCGACAGAAAGTGCGTACCATGCACATATCATACCATGCACATGATATGAATGTGCATGAGGGACAGGGTATGCTTTCGCTCTGACCAGCACTTAGAGCCAGAGACCAATGTACCTTACTCGTAAACCTCACACCACCACATGAACAAAACCTTCAGCCACCTGAAAGGTGGCTACTCTTTTATATAGAAAAAAAAAAAAGAGGGTCAGCAACATCCAGTAAATTCCCAAGGGTACACAGCTTTATCCAGATCAGTCCAGTCTAGCTTTAAAAGTTTAGCTTTCAAAGATTCATCTCAAATCCAATTTGCTGATTTCTGTTAAAGTTCCTTTCATTATTGGTCTATTTTAAACACAACAAATATGTTCTACCATAGTATCCACTAACATTTCCTGAATATGTACCACACACCAGGCCCTGCTTTAAGCACTTAGAGAGAGAGAGAGAGAGAGAGAGAGAGAGAGAGAGAGAGAGAAAGAGAGAGAGAAAGAGAGAGAGAGAGAGAGAGAGAGAGATCAATCAGTGTATTTGAGCTTCACAATCATTCTTCGAAGGGGGCACTGCTGTTAATGCCATTCTGCCAGTGAGAAAACTCGGGCACAGACAGGTGGACGGAAAGGCAGAGCCACCTTCTTAGGCTGTGGGCAGCCTGGCTTGTTGAGCACCCCACCTGCAGCCCTGCAGGGCACACTCCCACAGCTCCCTACAAATCATACAGAGACGCTAAAGCTCCTATACATGGCACAGATTATCAGGACATTTTGAAATTGCTATAAATGTTGTATCCAAAAAAGGATGAAAAATACTTAGACTTTTAATATGAAGAGTATAAAAAGCATAGAAAGTCCTAGGTAATCAATAAGGTCCACAAGCTTATAGAAAATTATAGAAAAATATAGAATTAGTACATTATTCAAAATGAAATACCTAAGTTCTGAAACCCAACTTTTTAAAGTAAGTGCTAAAATTTATCACGGAGAGTAATTATTAGGCAGAATCATATGAAATTGTCCATATTATACTACTTTGAACCAGAGAAACAGAAATTTCATTGTTTCAACCTAATATATTGAACAAATGGGTCCAATGACATTCTTTAATATCCAATTTTTTTACTTTTACACATTTGTTTACTATACTTAGTATAAAGTGAAAAAAGAATAATCTAAAAACTGTTTTACAAAAATTCTGATAATTAAACAGTCTTTCAACATAAAAATAACTATCCAAACATATTCTATGAAGAGTTCAATTGGGCAAACTGCAACATCAATAAGGCCAAATTTTCCTAAAATGTGTTTTTCAATGTTTGATTTACTCTTTTAAACAGCACAGCAGAAAACAAAGACTTCGTAGTAATTGCTAGACCACTGTTGTACATTAGATTTTATGTAACTGAAATATTAAGATGCAATTGATCCTTATTATTCTCTGGTTCACCCTCTGCAAATTCACCTACTTGCTAAAATACATCTGTAAGCCCCAACTCCACACGCGTGGTGCCTCCATGCCCCTCCGCACATGTGCAGAACAATGACACACCTGAGTCCCTTCAACTGCGTGCTCCCCGCTGCGGTCACACAAGGCGACCCTGCCTTGTTTCAGCTCTCACGCTGTCAACAAGTGTGCACTTTTGTGGGTCTATTCAGTGCTGTCACAGGTCTTCCAAATTGTTGTGCTTGTTGTGGGTGATCTGGCTGTGTAAAGTGGTCTTGGAGTGCTGTGCTAAAGCTGCCGAGTGTTCCTAAGCGCCAGAAGGCTGTGGTGTGCCTTGAGAAGGAAATACGTATGTTGATCAGCTTTCAGGCACGAGGTATAGACAGCGCTGTCGGTGAGTTCAATGTTAGCAAGTCGCTACTATATATTAAATGAGGTGTCTTTCAACACGAACACACATTAGACAAGCTCAGGTATCGATCAGTTGACAAAAATGTTGAGACTGGAGACTCACAGGACGCGAACCCTGTATTTCCTCTGCAGCTATGGTTCAGTATTCACTACATCATGGTTTCCGGTGACTTCACAGACCATGACTACCAGGGATAATGAGAACTGATTATTACCTCTACCACCACTCATATGTATATGACATTACAACACAATGTCTTCATAAATCTCTTACTAAATTTCAAGACATACAGATGGAATTTCAGAACACTAGAATTGGGAGATTGCATGCATTTTATGTTTAATACACAATCTAAAGTAAAAAACGTGAGAGTAGAGGCAAAGGGGTGGTGCCCGCTGTCTTATGTCTGCACTGCAGTTTGTCAGGTCAGAATTGAATTCAGTGGTTCTCAAATTGTAACATGCAGCAGGATCACCAGAGAGCTCGTAAAAACCCAGGTTGCTGGGCCCCACCCCGGTCTCTGGTGCAGCAAGTCTGCAGTGCGAATGTGGATTTCTCAGGATCCCACGTGCTGCTGGTACTGCGGCCCAGGATGGCACTTCGAGAGCCACCGCCCTGATTCATCTGTTATACATTCTGTCCTCCCAACGCATTCCCACCTAAAAAACTGCTTGAGCCCAGGAACTGCGTCATATTGAATTGTGTCACCCTAGCCTCAGCACACCTTTAATCAATGTTTGAAGGAGTAGAGGAACTAATGAAAGCCTTCGTATTCCAGAGAAGAAAAAGCGAGGTCTCAGAAGGGCAGGCCTGCTGCTGCTTGGTGAAGGCCAGGGACCAGAATCCAGATTCCTGCAAACCTGCAGCACACGAGGCTGCTAGGCTTTCCCTCAACAGCTTTAATTGTAAGTAAATCCTATTCCATCTTTGGGTGGGAACACCAGCAGAACACCCTTTCTAAATGTAAAACAACAAAACTGTCAGATTCTAGGGCAATGCAGGATACCCAGGGAAAACCTAGGTCTGACTAACGAAGACATTTGGGAGAGCACAGAGGTTCCTCTTTACTTGGTGATCCAGGGCTCTCAGCTGACCAAAGCTGAAAGGAGAACTCAGGCTGCCAGACACTCTCAGGATGACTGTGTTCTCGCTGTCTTTCTCATGCACCTAAAAAAGCAAAAGGCTCTTCCTGTCCTTGCTGCGGCACCTAGTACAGAGTCAGCCATGAACATGCTTCACATGCAGCTTTCTTCCTATTTCAGACCCAGGAAAATACCAGTCTAAAATGTTGCAAAAGAAGAAAATAAAGATCATAATTGCTCAGGTTTAATCTCTGAGGCTGGGATGTGTCTATCTTCAACAGCATCGCACGATGCTGTCTGGAAGCCCTTGCCAAAAAATGTAAAAAAGATCAGTCCTCCATTTTAAACTCATTAGAGTGGCTGTTTAAAAAGAGATAAAGAAAGTAAGTTTTGGTGAAGATGTAGAGGAATGGGAATCCTCGTGCATCACCGGTGGAAACGTAAAATGGTGCAGCTAGTATAAAAAAATCGTTTGTGATTCCTCAAAAGTGAAACACAAAATTACCATAGGATCCAGCAATCCCACTTCTTGGTATACACTGAAAGAATTAAAAGCAGGGACACAGGCCAGGTGCAGTGGCTCATACCTGTAATCCCAACACTTTGGGAGGCTGAGGTGGGCTGATCACTTGAGCCAGGAGTTCGAGACCACCTTGGGCAATACAGGGAGATCCTGTCTCTACAGAAAATTTAAAAAGTAGGTAGGTGTGGTGGCACATGCCTGTCCTCCCTGGTACTCTGGGAGGCTGAGGCAGGAGGATCACCTGAGCCCAGGAGGTCAGGGTTGCAGTGAGCTATGATCACGCCACTGTACTCCAGCCTGAGTGACAGAGCAGGACCCCATCTCTAAAAAATGTTCATAGCAGCATTGTTCACACAGCTGAAGAGGGAAGCAACCCAAATGTCCATCAACAGAAGAATGGATAAACAAAAGGTAGTATATATTAATACATACAATTAAATATTGTCTTAAAAGGGAATGAAAATCTGATTCATGCTATAACATGGATGAACCTTAAAATCTTTACGCTAAGTGAAATAAGCCAGACACAAAAGCCCAAATATTGTATGATTCCACTTATATATATAAGGTCCCTAAAGTAGTCAAATTCATACAGACAGAAAGCAGAATGGTGGTTGCCAGGTGCTGAGGAGAGGAAGGAACGGGGAGTTACTGGTAACAGGTAGTGAGTTTGTTTGAGATGATGAAAAACTTCTGGAGATGGATGGCGGTGGTGACTGCACAACACTGTGAATGTGGTACTTAATGCCACTAAATGGTACACTTAAAATTGTTAAAATAAATTCTGTCTCATGCATATTTATCACATTTTTTAAAAAATCACCTCCCAGCTTGCAGAATGTAGTGTGTAGGGTGGAAAGAAGTCGAGACAATACATGACTCCTGTCTAACCTTTACCCACCAGTGAATGCCTAGGGAGGAGGGGGCAGTGTTGAGTCAGAAGCCTTTACTCACATTCCTAAGCAGTGCTGAGTGCAGGCCAGCTCTATAGGCAGAGCTCGTCTCAGAGCACAGCGTCAATGTCTCTTTTAAAAAATCCATCTCCAAATACCATCACACTGGGGGTTCAGGGCTTAACATGAACATGAATTTAGGGAAAGACTGTGAAAGCAAAACAGAAACTTGGGACCCCAGTTCAGGATGCCAAAAGGAAACACTTAAGCTGAAAGTTGAGTCATGCAAGAAACTATCTTTCCTTTTGTTGACAGGCAGAGAGCTACAGATAAAAGGTTCAATATCTTCACAGGTGGCTAGCCTATGTTCACCTTATCTTGCATAAAGAGCAGATGTACTAAGCCTGGACAAGCACCGAATTGGCCATTCCCCTCCCTGCTCCTTTTGTCTTGGAACAAGTGGATTCAGTAGTGAGACCATACCCTCCTATCCCCTCCAGCCTGCTTTTCCCCTTTAAATACTGAAGCCCTCAAAACCATCTTTGGAAAAAGGCACAGACCTGTCTCCCTGGCACATTCTTAACCTTGGCAAAATTTCTAAATCGGTTGAGACCTGTCTTAGATATTTTTTGGTTTAGAAGACACAGACATTCAGCCCATAACAATCATCTTTTCACCAATGTCGGCAACACCAACTTTGCAACAATCCCATAGACAAATAGGTCTGTTTCTGGCTTTTCTACTGGGCTCCCATGGCCCACTGTTTATCTCTGCATCAATAACACAGTCTTATTTACTGTAGCTTTTAAATCAATTTCATTGATTTCACTGAGATTTTTGAACTAAATTTGCTGTAATTTTGTCTCATGACAATACTGATGGCTTACTTTTCAGATATAGAAAACAGGTCTTTAAAAATCTGCCCTTCATTAAAAGTGACATAAACTGGAAAATCTCGTACCAAGGTAATTTGTCAAATGATTAGCATCACCAAGCCTCTGCTGTGGAAATGACGTGTTATCTGTGTTGCTAAGCTTTAATATGGAGCTATTTTGTGTTTTGTGTTCCAATCTTTTATGGAGATAATAAGAAAGCTAGAACAGAAGCTAAACCCATTCAAAAAGAAATACAAAAGAATTTTTTCCCAACAATTAACTACAGTTAAAGGGCTAGCTGGCCTTACAAAGCTTGTTTGGGGTCATTTAAAACCTTCCAGTAAATGGTCTGTTTTGATTAACAGAAGTTCTTAATTTTAATGCAGTGTAACTTTTACTTTTTGGTTAGCAATTATTTTGTCTGTTAGCAGAGGTCCTTACCTATCCTCGAGGATGAGATGCATGAAAATCGGCATCTATGTCCTCTCCTAGAAGTTTCATTGTTTTACCTTTCATATTCAGATCTACAGTCCACATGAAATTGTTTTGTATGTGTAGTGTGACTTGAGGTATCAGGTGTCTTCCACTTCTGTAAGGATATACAGTTGGTTCCGCACTATTTATTGAAAAGACCATTGCCTCATTCAGCTCAGGCTGCTATGGCAAGACACCACAGACTGGGCAGCGTAATCAACAGACATTTATTTGTCACAGTTATGGAGCCTGGAAGTCCAAGATCAAGGTGCCAGCTGGTTTGGTTCTTGTGAGGGTGTTGTCCTGGCTTGCTGAAGGCTGCCAACTCCCTGTGTGCTCAAATGCCTTCTTCTTTGTGTGTACATGGAGAGTGGGAGAGTGAGAAACTGTCTTCCTCTTTTTTTTTTTGAGTTGGAGTCTTGCTCTGTCACCCAGACTGGAGTGCAGTGGCATGATCTCAGCTCACTGCAACCTCTGCCTCATGGGTTCAAGCGATTTTCCTGCCTCAGCCTCCCGAGTAAATGGGATTACAGGCATGTGCCCCCACACCTGGCTAATTTTTGTATTTTTAGTAGAGATGGGGTTTCACCATGTCAGCCAGTCTGGTCTCGAACTCTTGACCTCAAGTGATCCACCCACCTCAGTCTCCCAAAGTGCTGGGATTACAGGCGTGAGCCACTGCGCCTGCCCTTCCTCTTCTTATAAGGACACTAACCCTGTCACAAGGGGCCTTTCCTCAAGACCTAATCTAAACCTAGTTACTCCCCAAATACCAACACACTAGGAGTTAGGGGCTTAACATAGGAACTTGGGGGAAAGGCACAGACATTCAGTTCATAGCAACCATCTTTTCACCAATATCTGCAACACCAACTTTGCAGCAACCAAACATCCATGTACAAATAGGTGTTTCTGGCTTGTCTACTGTACTCTCCTGGCCTATTTGTCTACCTTTGCATCAGTAACATACTATTTACTGTAGCTTTTCAATCCATCTCATATCTATGAGAGGAATTACTGTATTGTTTGAATCTTTCTAAGGTAAATTGGTGGTATTTTTTCTGAAACAAATTGACTCCAAAAAATTATACATAATTGGCCAGGCACGGTGGCTCATGCCTGTAGTCCCAGCACTTTGGGAACTTGAGGTGGGTGGATCGCTTGAGTCCAGGAGTTTGAGACCAGCCTGGGCAACATGGCAAAACCCCATATCTACAGAAATACAAAAAAAAAATGCCAGGCATGGTGGCTACTGGGGAGGCTGAGGTGGGAGGATCACCTGACCCCGAGCAGGTAGAGGCTGCAGTGAGCTGAGATCATGCCCGTGCACTCCAGTCTGGATGACAGAGTAAGACTCTGTCTCAAACAATTATACACAATTACTGTTACAATCTTCCACTACAATTTTGGATTTCTCCTTTTAGTTCTGTCGATATAGATTATATATATATATATATATATAGAGAGAGAGAGAGAGAGAGAGAGAGAGAGATTTCATAAAGTCCAATTTTAGATTCCTTTTTGGAGTAAAACAGGTTTTGCACCGTTTACAAGTTTATGTCTGGGTTGTAACAGTTACCTCCTATCTGTGTTCTGTATTTCCTATACTCTTCCATTCAATCTTGGCTACCACAGGCTGATGGACAGGAATGGCAAAAAACACTTTTTTCTTGCATCTGGAGAGGAAACCTTGGCAGCAGACATTAGCTGCTGCAAGTTAGTCAAATGGGTGCATCTTTACATATTTTTTGAAACGATGTTATTGGTGCCTATAAATTAAGAATTCTTATATCTTCTCACAGAGTGGCCTTTAATCTTCATGAACTGGCCCTTGGTACTTCTACCAATGCTTCCTATTTACTTGGGAGTCTACTTGGTCTAATACAAGATACATCAGCTTCCTTTTAGTTGGAATATTTGCACATGCAAACACTTGACGTGTACATTTATTTTTAACATTTCTTTCTTCTTCTATTTAACTGGTGTCTGGTAAACAATACAGAGTCGTTGCTTGCAGCTTAAGTTCAAAGAGGATTGTATTTGCTTGGTATAGCAGACTGTGCTGGGGGCTCTCTCAGTCCCAGGTCACCTTAATCCAATCAGCAATTGAGAAGATCTAAAACTGGGTTTCAGTCCCCGGTGCTGCTCTATTTGCTGGTCACCCTAATTCCTGCGTGGTCTTTAACCTAGTGTTCAGCTTCTCTAGTTGCTCTCAGCTGGTGGTTGGTCTGAAACAATCCAGTCCACCCTTGCTGGAAGCGGAATCAAGAGAACTTTTGAAGTGAGATATTGTACGGTGTGTGATATGAATCACATTCATCTTTCAAGGGGATCTTTAGTGAAATACACAGTTTTTCCTCGTGATTTAATGCAATTACAGTTCATGAATTCCTTATGGGGAAAGGAGAGCTGCATCCTTGCTCTCTCCTTTGGTCAATCCTTGACCAATATTGGCCATATTGGTCAGTGTGGAGCAAAAACAGAGGCTTCTCAACAGGGACAGGAAGGTACAGATTAGAAGTGTATTCGGAGCACACACACATAGACACACACACACATGCACACTCATACACAGACACAGAGACACATACACACATGCACAGACACACACAGACACACAGAGGCACATACACACTCATACACAGACACAGAGAGACACACACCCATACACATACATGGACACAAAGTGACAGATACACACACAGACACACATTCATACACACACAGAGATGCAGGCACACATACAGATACAGGCTCATACGTGGACACACACACACCAAAAAAGACACACATACACAGATACTCATAGACACAGAGATGCACACACACAGAAACACATAAGACGCATACCCAGACACACACACATACACACCCATACACACACACCCCTATACAGATGCATACACCATACACACATGCACATACACACAGACATCCATCCATCCATACACACATACATATATGTACACACACAGACATACAATGCTAAGCTCAAAGTGTGAATATTAAAGTGTGAAAATTAACCAAACCAACAACTGAAGTACATTAAATAATAAAGGTGAACACTCTAATTCTAAATAAACTGAATTTAATATGGACCTTGAATTTCAAAAAACCATGAGCTCTGAAATATACTAGACATATTTCCATTAAGCAGAGCTCAGCCCTTCCCCATAATAAACAAAAATACATATAAGACATGTCCTTATAAGGAAGAAAGAAAGCATCGTGAGCTAAGGTGTTCCAGGGAAGGTTCCGTTGCTCTTTTTGGTTTTTTTTTTTATAATATTTAGCTGAGTGGCTCCCAAAGACAGAAAATTGCAACATGAGTCCCTGCAGAGCACAATTTCCCTTCACTCTTGTATCATCTAAACTCATGGTCCTTAACCTCAGTATCAGTCGTAAGCTGTGACCACAAAAATGTAGGACTAATTTTATCAATGACTTGCATTAAAAAACAGAATATTGGCCAGGCGCAGTGACTCATGCCGGTAATCTCAGAATTTTGGGAGGCAGAGGTGGGTGGATCACCTGAGGCTGGGATTTCGAGACCAGCCTGGCTAACATGGTGAAGCCATCTCTACTAAAAATACAAAAATTAGTGGGGCATGGTGGCATGCACCTGTCACCACAACTACTCGGGAGGCTGAGGCAGGAGAATTGCTTGAACTCAGGAGGCGGAGGTTGCAGTGAGCTGAAATCGTACCATTGCACTCCAGCCTGGGCAACAAAAGTGAAACTCCGTATCAAAAAAAAAAAAAAAAAAAAGGCCGGGCATGGTGGCTCATGCCTGTAATCCCAACACTTTGGGAAGGTGAGTGGGGAGGATCAACTGAAGTCAGGACTTTGAGACCAGCCTGGCCAACATGGTGAAACCCTGTCTCTACTAAAAATACAAAAAAATTAGCTGGGAATGGTGGCTCAGGCCTGTAGTTCCAGCTACTTGAGAGGCTGAGGCAGGAGAATTGCTTGAACTTGGAAGGCAGAGGTTGCAGGGAGCAGAGATCGTGCCACTGCACTCCAGCCTGGGTGACAAGAGCATAACTCTATCTCCAAAACAAAACAAAAACCACCAGAATATTTCAGACTACCTCTTTCACACACATTCCCTTATTCTTGCTTGTCTGAAGAGTAAGGAATATAACTGCAGTGATCACATTAACAAACACTCATGAAACTGCTTCTCGCATGGACATGTCATCCTCTGATGGATGCTGTAAGACAGAAAACAAACGTTGAAAGCCACTAGACAGAACCTGGTACCCACACTCCAGCTGTGAGACTTTGGAGAGGCCAGCCTCTTGACATCTCTTCTGAGCATTCCTGTGACAGAAGCAGTCATCACAAAGCCTTTTGTCAAAAGCATCCCCTTGTTTCAATCTACCTGTGGAATCCAGGTAGACTGGAAGGATGTTTACTGTGAAGTAAACCTACTTCTTATACTTCCTAGCAGCAGTGTGCTGGTAGACTAACTCTCCGGAAGAAACCGAAGCTCTGAGTTGAGATTTGTGGGCATGCAGGGTGAAAATAGTTCCTCCTTGGCTGATTTCAAACTCCCAGTGTGATGCTACTCAGGGTGGAGTTGGCGAGAGGTGTACAGTTGCTCCTGTTGGCCCGTGCAGTCAGCTCCAGCACCTTCTGCCTGGCAGGAAGGCAGGGCTTCTCAGAGAATCACACAGACACTACTTCTGCCTGTGAAGTAACTGTCCTGCCCGCAACACTTGTAATTGGCATACGCGACAGCTCTACCATTACAAAATTCCATTCCATTCCAGTCTTCAATAAGCCTCTTCAGTGGTTCCAAAGCAGAAAATTAGCTCAAAATCACCACAGAATTGTGATACACCGCCCATTTATAAAGAGCAAGTGTCTCTTCCTCCCCCTGTATTGGGGTTCTCCAGAGAAACAGAACCAATAAGATACAGAGACATACACCAGGAGATTTATTAGGGGAACAGGCTCACGCAATCACAGAGGCTAAGAAGTCGCATCATCTGCCATCTGCGAGCTGAAGAACCAGGAAAGCCAGTGGTGTGATCCAGCCCGAGTGTGAAGATCTGAGAACCAGGGGGGTCAATGGGGTGACGATGGCGTGACTTCCCCCAGTCCAAGGTCAAAGACTTGAGAATTCGAGGGTGGAGTCCTGGAGTCTAAAGACCCAAACACCAGACCCTTCAATGTCTGAGGGCAGAAGAGTTGGATGTCCGAGATCAAGAAGAAGAGAATTCGCCCTTCCTCTGCCTTTTTGTTCTATTTGGCCCCTTAAGGGATTAGATGATGCCCACTCTCATTGGTGAGGGTAGATTCCACTGCGTCTACTGATGAAAATGTTAATCTCTTCTGGAGACACACTCACAGACTCATCCAAAAACAACGTTTTATCAGCTATCTGGGTGTCCCTTAGCTCAGTCAAGTTGACACATAAAATTGACCGTCACACCACCATATGGTAGAGAAGCTGAGAGAGTGAATAAATTCTATCTAGCCAGCAAGAAAGGGGCATCTCGGGAAGATGTGAGTTGGAAAGGGCAAGTATGTCAAGGTATCCTTTTTGGTAACAAGGCGCGAGGCTTACTCGAGGTACCCCTAGTAATGAGTAGTATGGACAGGGCAAGTGATATGATACTAATGAAAGGATTTCATTTTGTGGAAATAATTTTCAAATATTGGAAACAAGCGTCCAGATCCCACAGGAGTCTGGGAAACACCACCCAAACAGGAATATAAGGGAGGAAGGAGATGGCAGGCTCTAGAGGTTAGAATTTGGGGCCTGTGAAGGTCATCCAGCCTCCGGGCAGCTGGAGAACAGGCTGTTACCTCGCGCTCTTGCCAGTGCGAGTCTGCAGGACACAGAGAGGGTGCCACACTCGTTCGTGTGATTCCACTCCTCTACGTTGCTTCTTCAACATCTCATCCCTACCTCGTATTTCTTTTTGGCCTCCCTTCCAAACGGTTGGGTATTCATGGCCCCAGCTTGCCCACGGCCTCTCTGTTCTTTGCCTTCTCTCAGTATCCTTCAGCTTCAGCTATTCACAATAATAGTAGTGTTAATTCCCCAACATTTATTAAGCCCCATATTTCAGCCAAGCGCTCTGCTGAGTGCCTTATGGGAATGATCTCACTTAAACCTGACAACAAGCCTGTGCTGTTGACTCTCCCTTTACCTCGTGTGCAAATTCTCGTGAGAAACCTATTTCACTGCATTGACATCCCTGCTTGGATAGAGCTACCCCTGTACCATGTCACTGATTGCTGGCTGGCTGACGGACGGACTATCTTCCTCAGGCTTCCCAGCGTGCTCTGATCAGCTCCCGAGAGGCAGCGTCATTACTGTGTTTGTGGGGCTGCCTAGGGCTGCTTCCCTCAGCAGTGGCTATCATCAAGAGACCTCCGCAGGGGATGTGGGTGTAGCAGGCATCCTGGCTCTGTGTTCATCCAACGAGAAAGATATGGTTCGAGAAGCAGGTGGCTGGCACATATCACAAAACAACAAGCTGAGGGCCTGAACTGCATCATTACTTAGAGAAAAAGTACTGAGAGAAAGGAAAAGGTTTGTGAGATGCCAACAGCAAGGATTTCCAATAGTCCAGTCATTGACTTGTATGGCTGTGGACACATGACCACACTGTGTTCCATAAAAATGACAAGCCCATCAACAAGTGGGCAAAGGATATGAACAGACACTTCTCAAAAGAAGACATTTATGCAGCCAAAAGACACATGAAAAAATGCTCATCATCACTGGCCATCAGAAAAATGCAAATCAAAACCACAACGAGATACCGTCTCACACCAGTTAGAATGGCGATCATTAAAAAGTCAGGAAACAACAGGTGCTGGAGAGGATGTGGAGAAATAGGAACACTTTTACACTGTTGGTGGGACTGTAAACTAGTTCAACCATTGTGGAAGACAGTGTGGCAATTCCTCAAGGATCTAGAACTAGAAATACCATTTGACCCAGCCATCCCATTACTGGGTATATACCCAAAGGATTATAAATCATGCTGCTATAAAGACACGTGCACACGTATGTTTATTGTGGCACTATTCACAATAGCAAAGACTTGGAACCAACCCAAATGTGCAACAATGATAGACTGGATTAAGACAATGTGGCACATATACACCATGGAATACTATGCAGCCATAAAAAAGGATGAGGTCATGTCCTTTGTAGGGACATGGATGACGCTGAAAACCATCATTCTGAGCAAACTGTCACAAGGACAGAAACCCAAACACCACATGTTCTCACTCATAGGTGGGAACTGAACAATGAGAACACATGGACACAGGAAGGGGAACATCACACACCGGGGCCTGTTGTGGGGTGGGGGGGAGCGGGGAGGGATAGCATTAGGAGATATACCTAATGTAAATGACGAGTTAATGGGTGCAGCACAGCAACATGGCACATGTATACATATGTAACAAAGCTGCACGTTGTACACATGTACCCTAAAACTTAAAGTATAATAAAAAAAAAAGAAAGAAAAATTAACCCAAAAAACAAAAATGGCAAGAAACCGAAAGCCAACCCACCCTCTGCCTCCACTCTGGAGGAATATAGTGCCTTTGCATTTCCTACTCACAGGATTATTCTGTAGATGTATCTTGGTATCTTATCGTAAGTCCATCCTTTTCTGACCAAGGATACACCTCTTTGGGGATGTACCTCTAGTGGATGACCTAGAAACAAAGTGGCCACCCACTACCAAGTTTCTCATTGTCTGTGTGAGTGTGTAGCCCCTTCTTTCACACATTAGAAAATTTTAGCTATCTAGTTAAGATGGCAAATTTTTAGAATAGAATTTTGTTTAGCAATTTCAGCTACTGTCACTGCTTTGTACAAAAAGTGTTTTATTTTTTTTAAGAAAGTGATTGTCACATAAATATTTGCTGCTTAACTATTCTATGCTGGCTATCAAGGACCGTGAAGGGTCTGGGATTTCATTTTACTCTGCTGAAAAGCCAGCACATTAGTTTGTCACAATTTTGTGGATGCTTAGAGGAAACATAAGAATCCTAGACCAGAGATGAAAGACTTTCTTACTTGCTGCAAAAGCAGCAGCCACAGTATCAGAATTCATGTCTGTTTCCTGGACCCCACTTCCCAGAGGGAAAGTGTTTGGTCCTTGATCCTGCAGTGGGTCGTGTCACAAAAAACACCGAGCTTGCAAACCAGCTGCTCCATAGCAGCCAGTGGCTCACGTGCTCTTTCTCCCTCATCTCTTCAGGCTGCTCATTGAAAATGCAACCCTGGAAAATGGCCCTTATTAATAAAGAGCCATGAAGGGCCTTGCATTTCTGCATATCCAGCAAGAACATACAGGAACAAAAGGCCCAGGGAGAACTGTCTCCCAACATCAGCACATGTCCATGAGACGAAAATTCACCCATCTCATAAAGGTACAGACAAGAAAACTTGCAATGACTAGAGAAATCTTTTAACTGTATAAACTACATAAACTAACAACCATACTTTGCCAAAAATAAACTATACAAACAGCCATATTTTGCAAAAATAAGATTTGGACATCCTTTGAAAACTCAGTAATGTGACATTTCCTTTTCAAATTGTCCTGGTTCCTTGGATTAACACTGGACTCCACATCAGAATGACCAGTGTTTGAATGCAGAGGCATGGCCTATGAATGAAAGTATCTCCTCCGTCTTCTCTTCCCCACCATTTCTTATTCCCTTGTAACAAAATTAAACATATTCATTTCTTTCCTTCTAGGCTCTATCATAATTTCCATTTTTCCTTCTTCAGAACTTTAGATTCTTCTCTGAAGGCTTGAAATTCTATAAAAGAAAGTCACCATTACCAGATGCTTTCAAGAAAGGTGGAAATATGAAATTTGGAACATTAGGGTTCACAAATGTTAAGGAACCACTTAGTCTCCAAAAAAGGAGGCAAGAATTTACTTACGATCTTTTGTTTCATCATTTAGATATTCATCCTCTAAATATTTACATTATTTATGAACAATTCCCATGAAAAGTAAATATTTAACATTTCTGTTGAGGTCAGAATAATAATGATTCTTATATACAATAGTTTTTCCAACTTCTTACTATAACATTTTTTTAAAAACATGGAAGAGTTGAAAGATTTATACCAAAAAATAAAATACCTATCACCTGGATTCAACCATGGTTAATATTTTACCATATTAAATCCAGAAACATATTTTATTCCGGACCATTTGAAAGGAAGTTGCAAATATCATGACACTCTACTGATCCCTACCTTACCATACATTTCCTAAAAGGATGTTCTCCTACATAATCCTCAAACTGTTATCATATCTAAGGAAATCAATGACAGTTTCTTAAAACTAGTACTCACTCCAATATTCTCTTTAATATTCAAATCTAATTTCCCCAAGTGTCTTCTATAGCTATATTTTTAAACTAGCATCCAATCAAATTCCATACTTTAAATTGTTCTTACATGTCTTTAGTCTATTTTCATATAGAAAGAAAATGGTTCTTCCGCCTTTCCCCAGACCTGACACTGACAGTTTTAAAGACAGCAGGCCAGTTATCTTTTAGAACAGCCTACTGTCTACATTCATCTCATGGTTTCTTTACGAATAGCTTCTTTCAGACTTCTTCATAACATCTTTATCTATATGTTGTCAGCAATTTTCTCACTTAATATAAAGACATAATTGAGACAAGTGAGAAACTAGTGAAAGGAAGACAGGTATTGGCTATTCTGATCTCCCTGGCAGGCCTAGCATGGTGCCAGCCAGGAAGTCACTGTCTTGGTAAGTTCATGGGGCTGGATCTGGGTTGGTCGGCACAGTTAACAGAGAATTCAGGCAGATAAATCACAGGGGCGCTTGAGTCAGATTCTCAGGAGCTATGAGGATTATATCAAGAGCCAAATGTATTCATCAAGTCCAAGGTTAAACTCCACCACAAAAGCAAGACAGAGACAAAAGAGCAGAAGCAGAACTTCAACAGGGTCAGAAGAGAGAATGAAGACAGACAACTGCTGGGTGTAGGATGGCAGCACCACACTCATCGTTTTCAGTCCCACGTTAGGTGGGGTCAACGTGTGCAGCGGCTGTCAGGGCCGTCATAGTAAGTTTGTGTGCGTCAGAATATCAATTGCCATCAATGTCTCCGTACATCTTCCATAGGATCCCATGATCTTCTCAATGTAATTCTGACATGCTCTACTAAAGAAATTTCACTGTAAAGAATTGAAGTTAATGACTAAGTTTTAAATTGTCACTTTAATACATCTTTAAAAATACATTTTAAAAATATATTTTAACTATATTTTATAGATCCTCAAGATTGTATCATTTATGTTAGAAATCAGTCAAAAAAGATCCAAAATGTTAAATGTTAAACAAATATACTCACTAGATAAACATGAACATTAGTGCCTGGCAAGGATTACAGTTGTCAATATTTAATTATAAGGCTTCTTCCAAACCCTTAAGTGAAACATCTAATTAAGAAAATGCTGACGTGCAGGAACAGCCTTTCCCTGGCAATGCCATCTCTAATTGCTTCTCCATTTTTTCTAGTAAGACAATGCTTGCTCATTACTGCCGTTCTAGTATGAATAAAATATATTTGGTATCATCATACATAAAATAATTTACAAGAAACATAATTATAAAAAACTGGAAAAGAGTTGAAAAAATGAATGCTTTATTTTTAATAAGTCATGCCTTTATTACAAAAGACATTTATTTGTACTTTGAAATGGATTATTATGGTCTCTTTATCAGTACTAATAGGAATATTAGGGAGGCTGGGGCAGGAGAATGGCGTGAATCCGGGAGGCGGAGCTTGCAGCGAGCCGAGATAGCGCCACTGCACTCCAGCCTGGACAACAGAGGGAGACTCCGTCTCAAAAGAAAAAAAAAAAAAAAAAAGAATATTATTTTGAGAAAGATACTTTTAGATTACTAACTTTTTTTTTTTTTTTTTGAGATGGAGTCTTGCTCTGTCGCCCAGGCTGGAGTGCAGTGGCGCAATCTTGGCTCACTGCAAGCTCCACCTCCCTGGTTCCAGCGATTCTCCTGCCTCAGCCTCCTGAGTAGCTGGGACTACAGGCACGCACCACCATGCCTGGCTAATTTTTGTGTTTTTTTAGTAGAGACAGGGTTTCACCATATTGGCCAGGCTGGTCTCAAACTCCTAATCTCGTGATCCACCTGCCTCGGCCTCCCAAAGTGCTGGGATTACAGGTGTGAGCCACCGCGCCCGGTCTTACTAACGTGATTTTTAAATTTTTATTGGAAAGAGTATAATTCTTTGGAGTTATTTTGTTCTGGTGGAAATACCATGAATTACTTTGGAAGTAGATTTTAATCCTCATTACTATCTTAATTCATTAAAAATACCTGGTTATACCTATGTGTGGAAGATATAGATTGATTTCCAGGAATTCAATCTTACATTTATCACATAGCAGCTAGGTGGAATTAGACAATTTCTTATTCTGAGCCTCAATTTCTTCATGTGTAAAATGAAAATAAAATTCCTGCCTTGTATGTATGCTTTGGGGATTTGTGATAATGTCCATAAAACATGCATGCTGTATTTGGTGTCTAGTAGACCCTGAAATACCAGCCGTTACTTCAAATGCTAAGAACCCTGGCTTTATGGAATAGTAAGTAGTTGATCAATGATCACATTCATCTGTGAAACATGCTTATAAAAATGTTAAAACAAGTAAAACAGAGGTCTGAGGTAGACCTTCCCTTGGGAATTTATCACCTGCTTCTTTAAACTGCGCTTCATATATTCAAACTGTAGTTCCTTAGGATTCAATTTTTTGCATTAATTTAGCAAGAAAACTTCTATTTGAGGGAAGGGGTTCATTTTATTTGATGTAGGCTCTTAGTTCAACTGGATTATGAAGAGTCCTGCATCTCTACAGGGATGGTTTCCAAGTCTTCACACTGTTTGATACTAGGGAATTGAATTAAATGTTGCATTTTACAATACATCCCCACTTTACCTTTCTATACAAAGAGCGACATTCTCTGAAATAGAATTATTAACTTTAAAAGCCTGATATGAACAGGAGCTTCCAAGGTGAGTTGTGTCCTCATCCTCATGACTGACATTATATAGAAGTTCCACAATATTTAAAAATAATTTCAAGTTATGGTTATAAAGAAGGCAATGATTCTAAGATTATATAGGTATACATGCATTTGAGAAGAACATTTTATTTAGTTCAACTTTGCCTTAATAACCTCTTTATTAAACAACAGAAGGGAAAGTCTTAGCTTGGCTGTTTTTCTAGTCACTGCCAAAGACCATCTGCTTCTGAATGATATTTAATCATTGCAAAGTTCCATAATCATTAATCATGACAAAGCCTTTATTTTGTTTCTGTGCTTTTCAGAAGATGGCATCTTCATTATTTCTACCTCTCAAAAAGGGGCAACTCTTTTTTCAATACATAATAAATAGTATTTATCCATTTGCTTGACGAGTACTACGTAGTACATGGTGTCTAGAAAATCATGTCCTGTTAAATGTGTGTCTGTGTAACACTATTCGTGAGACCATTAAATGTGAGGTAATTTTTGAAATTTTTGCCTATGAATTGTAAAATTCTGCATATCCAAAAAGGTGCGTGGTTTGACTGCGTGAAATGAAACAAATATCCAGACTGCACCCATGAGGGAAGAGTGTCCCCTGTACGTGAAGGATATGTGGAATGGTATTTGTAAATGTTAACTGATATTTTTTTCCCTAGCATTTTCACTTACCTTTGGCCCTCCTCACATTGAATGATCCAAAGGTTTATTTTGAGAGAAAGCAATAGACTCTACTCCTCATTGTTTTTATGTCAAAAGAAAACAAAACAAAACTGAAACTTACAAGCTTGGATTAAAGCAGGAATAAGAATGGGAAGCTCCCTCCTCCCAGGCAGTGGGTGCTTGGCTGGAGGCTGCATCCGATGACCGCAGCGCTCAAAGACACCGTGAACCGGGCACACCCTCAACTCCAGATCGTCTGAACAATTTAAAGAATCTCATCTTCAATCAGAGGATACTATCTGAATATTGCTTAGCCCGGTATTTTAAGGACAGTAAAAGATAATGTCATCATTGGCTGTTTTGTTTTTTCTTGGTGTCCTGAAATGTTTTGCTGAGTGTGGTCTAAAGGTATCTTAATAAAGTCTACCTCAGTGTTCTTCAAACTATCTGTAGTGTCAGATCATTTTTCCAATTTATTGTATGTAAATACTTTTAAAACATAATAAAAATCAAAAAATAAAATGATAAAAATCCTCAAAATGTGAATCCAAATGTTTAATTATTAGAGTCAACAGACATAAAGCTCCTCTGCCAACTGCTATAAAATTTCTAAATGCTTATTCTCCCTTTCTGCACTTACCGCTTCATGGACAGGGAACAAGTAGCTACCTGGTAACTGCAAGCAGGTAGCTAATGGCACACACATTGAGAAGCACTGTTCCAGCAGAGAAAGGAGACGCTCCTCATTTCAGAGGGTCTTGAAACTCCCACAGCAACAGTAAAGAGCACTCCCATCTTGCGTGGTGTGTGATGTCATCTGTTGTATAGTTTGTGATCACTGTGTGTGTTCACCAACTCCTGTACGTGCAAAGTTGCCTGTTTATACTTCCAGTCCTTAACTTCCTGCCATATTCCACCATGAATGTCCAGCCCCGTGCCTGGCCCTTCTCTAGATGTTTCCCTAGACCTCAACTCAAGGTGTGTATCCCAGAGTGAACTCCTCATCTGCATGACAAACCCGCATCTTCTGTGGTCCCCCTTTATGAGTGGCACTCTCCTCCCAGCCACCTGACATCATCTTCAGCCCTTCCTCTTGCTTCCTCAGCCTCACCTATGTGTTGCCGGTCTTGGGAGATTTGTCAGTTCAATATCTTTCTTTTCACTGTGTTCATTCCTAGGCTCCATACCTCTCAGGCGTTTATTCCTAGAGCTTCCTACTAGCTCCCTGCACATTAGCTCAACCCTCCTAAAGTGCAGCCTGCTCCTGCCACTTCTCTACCTAAATCCTGGCTTTTCCAGTGTTTACTAAAGAGAGCCCAGTATCCAGGCTCTCCCTAGTTTTAACGCTTTTCACAACAGCTGTGCTCCTAACAAATGGAAAGCCTCACGCCATGTGGCTCTGGGCCTCCACGGCTTTGCTCACACTGCTTTGGTCTCCGACAGTGCCCTCCCAAGCCCCAGGTGTCCATGTGCCCCACTTTTGGACATTCTTTAGAACTCAGACCCCTGACATCGCCCCTCGTTCAGCATCATCTCCGCGCCTCCTCTTCTCTCTTAGCTGTGTGCTCACAGCAGTGTGTCTGAAACCACTCTTGGATCATTTATCTTATTTTTCCTGCTTTTTCATAAGATCCATTTCCAGTTCTTTCCCTAATTACTCAAAAATCTAGCTCCATGTGGATCTTAGATGGAATAGATATTCATTAAATACAGGTTGACAATTAATTAAAGAATACATTAGCCTACACTGCAGATCATAGCAATAAACTGTATTTTGTACAAAAGATGCTGTGGGTAGTAAGAATATCTTTAGAATAGTGAATATCATGTAATAGATATTTATTAAGTGCTTATGTACCAGCCACCACAGGGACAAGTTTGTATAGATGATCTCTTAATCCTTACAATGTCTCTTTGAATAGGCATTATTATTAATTCCCATTTTATGAATGAGAAGGTAAAGCTTAAAGAGGTTAGGTAGCCAATGTGAATGCTTAATTAGCATTCTAAGAAAAGTTACAAAATGAGATTTGAATCAAATTCGATCTGACTTCAATCTGTGCTCTAAAAACTATACTAATTTACATGAGCTGTTATGATTACGCAATGCTGAAGGGTTCAAATCCCATAGGACTATCATTATGAGCTTGGCACAAGGGCCATGCTTGTTGGATAAGAACTTAGAAAACACTCAACATGTGTTCTTTAAACACACAGCAAAAAAACATATAACTGCTAACTCAAATACAATTTTCAAGATTTAAATATATCCCAGCTACTCAGAAGTCTGAGGCAGGAGAATCACTTTAACCCAGGACGCAGAGGTTGCAGTGAGCCGAGATCGTGCCGCTGCCCTCCAGCCAGCCTGGTGACAGAGTGAGACTCTGTCTCAAATTAAAAAAAAAAAATTTAAATATAACAACAAAGAAAGAGGATAATTTAAAGCAAAAGCCTACGCATAAGACAGAACAAAATTGTTTTCTCGGGTATAAGCAAATACTCGATATGGAAAACCAAGTTGAATTCATTATTATCTTTAATGACAGTAATGGTCATATGACTGTAATAGAAAGTAACGGTCATGAGGGAGGAGCCAAGATGGCCAAATAGGAACAGCTCCGGTCTACAGCTCCCAGCGTGAGTGACACAGAAGACGGGTGATTTCTGCATTTCCATCTGAGGTACCGGGTGCATCTCACTAGGGAGTGCCAGACAGTGGGCGCAGGTCAGTGGGTGCGCGCACCGTGCGCGAGCCGAAGCAGGGCGAGGCATTGCCTCACTTGGGAAGCGCAAGGGGTCAGGGAGTTCCCTTGCGGAGTCAAAGAAAGGGGTGACGGACGCACCTGAAAAATCAGGTCACTCCCACCCAAATATTGCGCTTTTCGGACCGGCTTAAAAAACGGCGCGCCAGGAGATTATATCCCGCACATGGCTCACAGGATCCCACGCCCACGGAGTCTCGCTGATTGCTAGCACAGCAGTCTGAGATCAAACTGCAAGGTGGCAGCGAGGCTGGGGGAGGGGCGCCCGCCATTGCCCAGGCTTACTTAGGTAAACAAAGCAGCCGGGAAGCTCGAACTGGGTGGAGCCCACCACAGCTCAAGGAGGCCTGCCTGCCTCTGTAGGCTCCACCTCTGGGGGCAGGGCACAGACAAACAAAAAGACAGCAGTAACCTCTGCAGACTTAAATGTCCCTGTCTGACAGCTTTGAAGAGAGCAGTGGTTCTCCCAGCACGCAGCTGGAGATCTGAGAACGGGCAGACTACCTCCTCAAGTGGGTCCCTGACCCCGACCCCCGAGCAGCCTAACTGGGAGGCACCCCCCAGCAGGGGCACACTGACACCTCACACGGCAGGGTATTCCAACAGACCTGCAGCTGAGGGTCCTGTCTGTTAGAAGGGAAACTAACAAACAGAAAGGACATCCACACCAAAAACCCATCTGTACATCACCATCATCAAAGACCAAAAGTAGATAAAACCACAAAGATGGGGAAAAAACAGAACAGAAAAACTGGAAACTCTAAAACGCAGAGCGCCTCTCCTCCTCCAAAGGAACGCAGTTCCTCACCAGCAATGGAACAAAGCTGGATGGAGAATGACTTTGACGAGCTGAGAGAAGGCGGCTTCAGAAGATCAAATTATTCTGAGCTACGGGAGGACATTCAAACCAAAGGCAAAGAAGTTGAAAACTTTGAAAAAAATTTAGAAGAATGCATAACTAGAATAACCAATACAGAGAAGTGCTTAAAGGAGCTGATGGAGCTGAAAACCAAGGCTCGAGAACTACGTGAAGAATGCAGACGCCTCAGGAGCCGATGCGATCAACTGGAAGAAAGGGTATCAGCAATGGAAGATGAAATGAATGAAATGAAGCGAGAAGGGAAGTTTAGAGAAAAAAGAATAAAAAGAAATGAGCAAAGCCTCCAAGAAATATGGGACTATGTGAAAAGACCAAATCTACGTCTGATTGGTGTACCTGAAAGTGATGGGGAGAATGGAACCAAGTTGGAAAACACTCTGCAGGATATTATCCAGGAGAACTTCCCCAATCTAGCAAGGCAGGCCAACGTTCAGATTCAGGAAATACAGAGAACACCAAAAAGATACTCCTCGAGAAGAGCAACTCCAAGACACATAATTGTCAGATTCACCAAAGTTGAAATGAAGGAAAAAATGTTAAGGGCAGCCAGAGAGAAAGGTCGGGTCAACCTCAAAGGGAAGCCTATCAGACTAACAGCGGATCTCTCGGCAGAAACCCTACAAGCCAGAAGAGAGTGGGGGCCAATATTCAACATTCTTAAAGAAAAGAATTTTCAACCCAGAATTTCATATCCAGCCAAACTAAGCTTCATAAGTGAAGGAGAAATAAAATACTTTACAGACAAGCAAATGCTGAGAGATTTTGTCACCACCAGGCCTGCCCTAAAAGAGCTCCTGAAGGAAGCGCTAAACAGGGAAAGGAACAACCGGTACCAGCCGCTGCAAAGTCATGCCAAAATGTAAAGACCATCGAGACTAGGAAGAAACTGCATCAACTAACGAGCAAAATCACCAGCTAACATCATAATGACAGGATCAAATTCACACATAACAATATTAACTTTAAATGTAAATGGACTAAATGCTCCAATTAAAAGACACAGACTGGCAAATTGGATAAAGAGTCAAGACCCATCAGTGTGCTGTATTCAGGAAACCCATCTCACGTGCAGAGACACACATAGGCTCAAAATAAAAGGATGGAGGAAGATCTACCAAGCCAATGGAAAACAAAAAAAGGCAGGGGTTGCAATCCTAGTCTCTGATAAAACAGACTTTAAACCAACAAAGATCAAAAGAGACAAAGAAGGCCATTACATAATGGTAAAGGGATCAATTCAACAAGAAGAGCTAACTATCCTAAATATATATGCACCCAATACAGGAGCACCCAGATTCATAAAGCAAGTCCTGAGTGACCTACAAAGAGACTTAGACTCCCACACAATAATAATGGGAGACTTTAACACCCCACTGTCAACATTAGACAGATCAACGAGACAGAAAGTCAACAAGGATACCCAGGAATTGAACTCAGCTCTGCACCAAGTGGACCTATTAGACATATACAGAACTCTCCACCCCAAATCAACAGAATATACATTTTTTTCAGCACCACACCACACCTATTCCAAAATTGACCACATACTTGGAAGTAAAGCTCTCCTCAGCAAATGTAAAAGAACAGAGATTATAACAAACTATCTCTCAGATCACAGTGCAATCAAACTAGAACTCAGGATTAAGAATCTCACTCAAAACCGCTCAACTACATGGAAACTGAACAACCTGCTCCTGAATGACTACTGGATACATAACGAAATGAAGGCAGAAATAAAGATGTTCTTTGAAACCAACGAGAACAAAGACACAACATACTAGAAACTCTGGGACGCATTCGAAGCAGTGTGCAGAGGGAAATTTATAGCACTAAATGCCCAGAAGAGAAAGCAGGAAAGATCCAAAATTGACACCCTAACATCACAATTAAAAGAACTAGAAAAGCAAGAGCAAACACATTCAAAAGCTAGCAGAAGGCAAGAAATAACTAAAATCAGAGCAGAAGTGAAGGAAATAGAGACACAAAAAACCCTTCAAAAAATTAATGAATCCAGGAGCTGGTTTTTTGAAAGGATCAACAAAATTGATAGACCCCTAGCAAGACTAATAAAAAAAGAGAGAAGAATCAAATAGACACAATAAAAAATGATAAAGGGGATATCACCACTGATCCCACAGAAATACAAACTACCATCAGAGAATAGTACAAACACCTCTACGCAAATAAACTAGAAAATCTAGAAGAAATGGATAAATTCCTCGACACATACACTCTCCCAAGACTAAACCAGGAAGAAGTTGAATCTCTGAATAGACCAATAAAAGGAGCTGAAATTGTGGCAATAATCAATAGTTTACCAACCAAAAAGAGTCCAGGACCAGATGGATTCACAGCCGAATTCTATCAGAGGTACAAGGAGGAACTGGTACCATGCCTTCTGAAACTATTCCAATCAATAGAAAAAGAGGGAATCCTCCCTAACTCATTTTATGAGGCCAGCATCATTCTGATACCAAAGCCGGGCAGAGACACAACCAAAAAAGAGAATTTTAGACCAATATCCTTGATGAACATTGATGCAAAAATCCTCAATAAAATACTGGCAAAACGAATCCAGCAGCACATCAAAAAGCTTATCCACCATGATCAAGTGGGCTTCATCTCTGGGATGCAAGGCTGGTTCAATATATGCAAATCAATAAATGTAATCCAGCATATAAACAGAACCAAAGACAAAAACCACATGATTATCTCAACAGATGCAGAAAAAGCCTTTGACAAAATTCAACAACCCTTCATGCTAAAAACTTTCAATAAATTAGGTATTCATGGGACGTATTTCAAAATAATAAGAGCTATCTATGACAAACCCACAGCCAATATCATACTGAATGGGCAAAAACTGGAAGCATTCCCTTTGAAAACTGGCAGAAGACAGGGATGCCCTCTCTCACCACTCCTAGTCAACATAGTGTTGGAAGTTCTGGCCAGGGCAATTAGGCAGGAGAAGGAAATAAAGGGTATTCAATTAGGAAAAGAGGAAGTCAAATTGTCCCTGTTTGCAGACGACATGATTGTATATCTAGAAAACCCCACTGTCTCAGCCCAAAATCTCCTTAAGCTGATAAGCAACTTCAGCGAAGTCTCAGGATACAAAATCAACGTACAAAAATCACAAGCATTCTTATACACCAATAACAGACAAACAGAGAGCCAAATCATGAGTGAACTCCCATTCACAATTGCTTCAAAGAGAATAAAATACCTAGGAATCCAACTTACAAGGGATGTGAAGGACCTCTTCAAGGAGAACTACAAACCACTGCTCAAGGAAATAAAAGAGGATACAAACAAATGGAAGAACATTCCATGCTCATGGGTAGGAAGAATCAATATCATGAAAATGGCCATACTGCCCAAGGTAATTTACAGATTCAATGCCATCCCCATAAAGCTACCAATGACTTTCTTCACAGAATTGGAAAAAACTACTTTAAAGTTCATATGGAAGCAAAAAAGAGCCCACATCGCCAAGGCAATCCTAAGCCAAAAGAACAAAGCTGGAGGCATCACACTACCTGACTTCAAACTATACTACAAGGCTACAGTAACCAAAACAGCATGGTACTGGTACCAAAACAGAGATCTAGATCAATGGAACAGAACAGAGCCCTCAGAAATAATGCCGCATATCTACAACTATCTGATCTTTGACAAACCTGAGAAAAACAAGCAATGGGGAAAGGATTCCCTATTTAATAAATGGTGCTGGGAAAACTGGCTAGCCATATGTAGAAAGCTGAAAGTGGATCCCTTCCTTACACCTTATACAAAAATCAATTCAAGATGGATTAAAGACTTAAACGTTAGACCTAAAACCATAAAAACCCTAGAAGAAAACCTAGGTATTACCATTCAGGACATTGGCATGGGCAAGGACTTCATGTCCAAAACACCAAAAGCAATGGCAACAAAAGACAAAATTGACAAAAGGGATCTAATTAAACTAAAGAGCTTCTGCACAGCAAAAGAAACTACCATCAGAGTGAACAGGCAACCTACAAAATGGGAGAAAATTTTCGCAACCTACTCATCTGACAAAGGACTAACATCCGGAATCTACAATGAACTCCAACAAATTTACAAGAAAAAAACAAACAACCCCATCAAAAAGTGGGTGAAGGACATGAACAGACACTTCTCAAAAGAAGACATTTATGCAGCCAAAAAACACATGAAAAAATGCTCATCATCACTGGCCATCAGAGAAATGCAAATCAAAACCACAATGAGATACCATCTCACACCAGTTAGAATGGCAATCATTAAAAAGTCAGGAAACAACAGGTGCTGGAGAGGATGTGGAGAAATAGGAACACTTTTACACTGTTGGTGGGACTGTAAACTAGTTCAACCATTGTGGAAGTCAGTGTGGCGATTCCTCAGGGATCTAGAACTAGAAATACCATTTGACCCAGCCATCCCATTACTGGGTATATACCCAAAGGACTATAAATCATGCTGCTATAAAGACACATGCACACATAGGTTTATTGCGGCATTATTCACAATAGCAAAGACTTGGAACCAACCCAAATGTCCAACAATGATAGACTGGATTAAGAAAATGTGGCACATATACACCATGAAATACTATGCAGCCATAAAAAATGATGAGTTCATGTCCTTTGTAGGGACATGGATGAAATTGGAAATCATCATTCTCAGTAAACTATCGCAAGAACAAAAAACCAAACACCGCATATTCTCACTCATAGGTGGGAATTGAACAATGAGATCACATGGACACAGGAAGGGGAATATCACACTCTGGGGACTGTGGTGGGGTTGGGGGAGGGGGGAGGGATAGCATTGGGAGATATACCTAATGCTAGATGACGAGTTAGTGGGTGCAGCGCACCAGCAT
Organism: Homo sapiens; assembly: GCF_000001405.40. Classification (NCBI taxonomy): domain Eukaryota; kingdom Metazoa; phylum Chordata; class Mammalia; order Primates; family Hominidae; genus Homo; species Homo sapiens. The sequence continues at coordinate 186,110,473 of NC_000004.12, read as the reverse complement.
GGCACATGTATACATATGTAACTAACCTGCACAATGTGCACATGTACCCTAAAACTTAAAGTATAATAAAAAAAAAAAAAGAAAGTAACGCTTATATGACAATTGTACACTGAGCCACCGTTCATCCCTGAGGAAATGCTAAGTCCCAGCAGCAAGCATTACTAACTTTGGAAAAACTCAAGACGATGAAACAAAAAGACCTAAGACAATAATTATTCTTCAAGAAAGACATTTAAACTGCCCCTGGGTTGTTGTAAGATTAGAAACCCATGACAGTGGATTATATGAGGAAGAAAATATTTTCTTCATCCATTCAATAAATATTTGCTAAATGTCTTTTATGGGCATGTGTTCCCTTAAGTGTCACAGGACAAAGAGTTTATAGTCTGATAATGGACATAAGATGTGAATATAAATCACAGGGTTTCAGTGGAGGAAAAGACAAGGGCTACACAAATGTATGATTTGTGATGCTACTGATTATTCTGCAGATTAAAAGTTTGATCCCAGAGTGGTAAATGCATTTCCTTCTGGGTGTTACACAGCACTCAGTGGTAATGTTAATTAAACTAACCCTTATCTTCTGTAAGTCATGCAGGGAAGGTAATGATGAAAGATTGGCATGTACTATAATTTGTTCTCCCAAATAACTGAACTAAAAGACACCATTTATTACAGCCACATGGTAAATATAATGAATCATTTTTCTCTGTTTTTTCTTCACCTAGAATGTTTCTTTCAATAAAACATGGCTCTCAATTTTCATTTCTGTGCCAAGAAGCAGGTAGTAATCATAGATAACACTTTTTTAGCATTTCTCCATATATTACTTATTATTTCAATTAATTTCTGGAGCACTTCTATGCAGAAAGTATTATCACCTCCATATTATCAAGAAAGAAAAACTACAGCTAGGGAAGAAATGAATGACCTGCCCAGAATTACTCAGCTAGCAATCGGTTTGAGGTGGAATCCACCTCGTCTGGTTTCCGGGTCTACAGGCTTCATCACACTGGAGGCTGCCTCAGTGTCAGAGGAATCGAGATAAGTCCCTCTAGTCACTTTACTGCCAGCCATGCTGACAGGCCCTTCAAGCAGCCACTGCAATGTTTCCACAGTAATGTGATTTTAACAATGGAACTCAATCACTCAAAAAAAAAAAGAGTGAATATATGCTTGCTAATAACTATGACTTATACAAGCTATAAATACTTCCTGACTAGAAGTTTACACTCTACCAACATTCATACACAGCAATTATCTATCTATCCACCTTACGTATTGCTAGGAATTCTTACATTTGCAGAACAAATAAGAGAATAAGACCGGCCGGGCGCGGTGGCTCAAGCCTGTAATCCCAGCACTTCGGGAGGCCGAGGCGGGCAAATTACAAGGTCAGGAGATCGAGACCATCCTGGCTAACATGGTGAAACCCCTTCTCTACTAAAAATACAAAAAATTAGCCGGGCGTGGTGGCAGGCACCTGCAGTCCCAGCTACTCGGGAGGCTGAGGCAGGAGAATGGCGTGAACCCAGGAGGCGGAGCTTGCAGTGAGCCGAGATCGCGCCACTGCACTCCAGCCTGGGCGACAGAGCAAGACTCCGTCTCAAAAAAAAAAAAAAACCAGAGATTGAGAATAAGACCTTTACAAGGTGTATTGTGTGGTTCAAACCAGAAGTATGAAAAGAGGTAATGAAGAGGGATGAGTGAGACTGAAAAACACTGAGGCATAATATATACATGAAATGGACAGGGAAGCCAAGGTGAAGATCAAAGGTGTTGGATCACGTATCCAGGGATGCAGGAAAGTGAGGTGAAGACAGAGAGATCAGTATCCTCTGCCTCTGGCTCAGATGTGCAGTCAGTACGCCCTGTGGAGCAAAAGGGGCAGCCTCTGTTCCATGGGCCTTTCACTTACGGAATTCTTGGGTCAGAGATTAAAAACCCCTGCTGCTATTCAGCATCTTTGCTTGGAAAAAAGCCTCTAAATTGCAGGAGAGTTTGCATATTTTCCTACTCAAGTTAATTTCACTACTTTTAGTTTTTTGTTTTTTTTTTTTAAAGCCAAGTACAGAATCAGGCAAATGTAAAATGTATGCGTTATTGTCAAAAAAGTACAAACTGCTAATAGGGTTTTCCTTTAGAACTCAGGGCCACAGCTTTAAAATTAGATCCGCATTTCTTGCAGACAGGTTTACGGTTTCCTTTATATGTATTCACATTCTCATCACTCTTTAAACTTTTTCTCTGACATTACCCATTTCTCCCTTTCCAAGTTTCCAGGCTTTTGAAATTTAAATTCCTGATTTTAATATTAACCACACAGGCTAACAGCAGCAGCTATCTGCCAAGTGACAGATGAGATGGTAGGAGCAAATTTAAATTCATTGTCTTATGTTTGTTTATTCGGTGTTATAAATCACTACCACAGAAATCCAGGAGGGAAAAAGAATCCTTCAAGGTGCAAAGTCTGCAGTATTGAAAGAAAAGCCGTCTTAATACTTTCTTCCTTCCCCTTTGTCTCTTATGTTTTAGTGATTGAAAAAGGAGTGGGGTATGATGAGAGGAAGGGAATGTGAGTAGTCGTGGATCTGAAAGGAAAAATGGTATGCTCAGAGGGCCAGTCTGCTTCCTGCCTGTGTGTGCCTCTACCTGCTGCTGCAGACAGTAGGAACACACAAACTCAGGAGGATTCTGCAAAGCACCTAGCTGTGTATATTACTTCTCATGGCACTTACCTAAAATTCAATTTCATGGCCAGATGCAGTGGCTCATGCCTGTAATCCCAGCAATGCCCAGGTGGGAAGATTGCTTGAGGCCAGGAGTTCAAGACCAGCCTGGGCAACATAGGGAGACCCCGTCTCCACAGAAACATTTTTAAAATTGGCCAGGCATAGTAGCTCACACCTGTAGTCCCAGCTACTCGAGAGTCTGAGACGGGAGAATCAGATCGCTTGAGCCTGGGAGGTTGAGGCTGCAATGAACAGTGATCATACCACTGCACTCCAACCTGGGTGACAGAAGGAGACCTCATCTCAAAAAGTAATAATAATTTAAAAATTCAATTTCTTCACTGTCCATAAAATTGAATGCATTTGTTAATTCAGAATAATCTCTTATGTAAATAATGCCAAATGCAGTGTTATTCAAAAAGTATCTATTCCAAATATTTGCACAATATAAACATGAGCTAATATGTTCAAGAATTGAAACTAACACCAGTTTCACTGGCCATGCTGCATATTTCAGTGCCTATTTGTTAAAAGCACTAAGACTAGAGTTTAAGGTCAGTGTGTAGATCTGTTTGCTCATAAAACATTAATTGCATAAATGTTAAGGACCAGTTGCCAATAACAAAGATCTAATTCCTCAGGCATATGTATTCCAGTGAGTTTTCCAAAAGCAATTAACTGATAGGGAAAACTATCAGTTGATAAACATATGTCATAATATAGTATTTTTTAATGAGTGGGAACAACTTTTTGCTTAACTGCTTATTTTCTTTTTTGTTGTTGTTTTTTTGAGACGGAGTCTCTCTCTCTGTCGCCCAGGTTGGAGCGCAATGGTGCGATCTTGGCTCACTGCAAGCTCCGCCTCCCGGGTTCACGCCATCATCCTCTTGCCTCAGCCTTCCGAGTAGCTGGGACTACAGGCACGTACCACCACGCCCGGCTAATTTTTTGTATTTTTAGTAGAGACGGGGTTTCATCGTGTTAGCCAGGATGGTCTCGATCTCCTGACCTCATGATCCGCCCGCCTCGGCCTCCCAAAGTGCTGGGATTACAGGCGTGAGCCACCGTGCCCGGCCGCTTGTTTTCATATTGACATGAATATCATTCAATTTTGTGAAACTGTAATTATTTAAATTGTGAGTGAGTCAGGATCAGTATGAATGCAAAAATTACTCAGGATTTTTTGGAGGGAGTAGGGAATGGCCTCACTAGATTACAATGCAGAAACCTCAGTCTGTGAATTGGCTCATCTGTCTTTGACCATTTCACTATTTCTTTGCAGCATTCAGGATGAAAATTTACCCACTCAAGAATAGCTAACGATATGCTCCACTCTAAAAATTAAAATTCATCCTAGTTCTAAAACACATTTTAAAAGAGCAATGTTTTTATCACGACTCTTGGAAGTGAAAGGGGTGTTGTGTGGGTGTGTGTGTGTTGAGGGAATCGGCCTCCGATTCCCAGTGAAAATGTTCCCATGAAGTCAACGTTTCTGCAGTGACTCAGGGCACTGTGGAAAGCTCTCAGGAGCTCTAGGGTAATAATCAGACGTGTCCTGGCCATTACAACTCCATTTGTGTCAGATGATGTCATGCATATGTAAATTAACTAGATGTCACACAAAGGAGACCCATCCCACTTAGGATAAGACTAGGGACTGGTCCTTAGACATTAGGAAAGCACCAGGTCTCACCACTTCTTAAAACACTTGCTGCAGACGTGTGTATTCGGTTTCCCTGCACACCTGCTATATTCTGAGACAAAGAAAGGGACTTCAAAAAGTCCTTAAGAAAACCAAACAAACACTCTAAGTAGCAATGCTTCTGGTAGAAGAGAAACAAAATTCTGTCCCTTCCTTCAAGGCCCCTTAGGATTCACTCTGAGAAAGCTGGACAAAGCATGTCACAGCTTATGTCTGAAAGCCCGCAAAGCCAAGGAGTAAAAACCCAGGAAACGTGCAAGGAGGGTGCCCAGGGGGTTATGAAAGTTACTACAAATATTTCATTTCCTGAAGTGCACCTGCGAAGGTGAGTGCGGCAGGCGGAGGGGTCGGGGGTCCCGGCAAAAGGTACACGCGCCCGGACCACGCTGCTACTCACGCTTCGCCATCCCCGGAGTCGCCGTCCGAGGCCCCCTCCTCGCCGATGTCAGGCAGCGTAAGGAACAGGGTTCTGGGGCCAGCCCCGGGGGCCACGCAGGCGCCGAGCTCTCGCTCTCCGGGGCCAGGCTGGAGCGGGTTCCTGGGGAGCGCGGCCCAGACCCCGCCGGGGCCCGAGGGCGGCCGCGCTGGGACCACCAGGCGAGCAGGGGAGCAGCCCCCGCCGGAGGGAGTGGGGGGCTGGGGCGGGGCTTTACCCGCTCTAGGGCTACTGGGCCAAGAGAGCAGGGTCCCCACTGCTCCCGCGGCGCGGCTGGCGGCGGAGCCCCGGGAGTAGGGGGAGGAGAGCAGCGGGGCGGGCGACCGCCGCGAGGCGGAGGGGGAGTCCGGAGCCAGGGCGCGGAGGAGGGTCGGGGCGGTACCCAACGGGGTGCCCGCCCTGGAGCCCCCCGACCCTGCAGCGGCAGCACCTCCCGAGGGTCTGGAGGAGGGGCCTGCGGGGGGCGCCGTCGAGGTCTCGAAGAGTTTGGCCAAGAGAGACCCAAGGTCCAGCACAGCAGCCTTCATGCCTCGACAGTGGACACGCCGTCCTCGCCGCCGCCCGAGAGTTCAGACCGCGGAGATCCGGCCGAGGCGGCCCGGGCCGGGGCGAGGAGCCTGAGGTCCCCGCACCCGGAGCCCCGGAGGCCCCTGGCTCCCTCTCCTCCCCGAGGACGCTCAGCTCCGCGCCGCTGGGGTCGCCCTTCCCCGGCCCGGGTCCGTCCGCCGAGCGCCCCGGCTGCGGAGAGCAGCCCCGCCTCGTCCCAGCGCCGTGAGACCCCCGAGGGCCGAAGGGCCAGGAGCCCCGGGAAGCGCGGCCGCCGCCCGCCCCAGACGCCCGCCGCCCGCCGCCCGCCGCCCGCGGTTGCTACGTTCAACACACCCGGCCGCGCTCCAGGCTAATTGGGCCCCAGGTGCGGCTCGGGCTGTGCCCGCGGGGGACGTCCCACTCCCCGCCTGGTTCCGCCTTAAAGGAACACGCCCCCATTTCCCCTGCGCCCCGAGCCTCGCAGATCCCATCCGCCGAGCTCAGGGCCCAGGGCTGGGAAAGAGAATCCTGGCTCCAGAAGGTTCTGGAACTTACCCAGCCTGACAAGCTTGCACGTGCTGGGGTCAGGCCACCTCTCTGACGATAGGGAAGGTGGGTAGAAAGATGTATTTGGGCGAACGAGCTTGAAACAGCAGCATCCACTCCCCCACCCCAGGGTCCTACTCAAACCCTGTTACTAAGGGTGGGGTGGGAGCAACCGCGAGGTGCGCCACCCACTAACCTGCAAACAAGACCGGCTCTGAGAGCTGAAGTAGAAAGACCTACGCACACCTGTTTAAACACCTGTCGGAGTGAACCAAGAGACTGTGTAATTCAAATGTTTGAGAACTCAAATTATAATCGGAACGACTACAAATTCAAAGACAGATATGGAAGGCAACGTTTTCTATTCAGTGGAATAAATTGTATTTTGCTTAATCTGAAAAATATGTGTGAAAGGTAGAGCGTATAGGTGCGAGCATCTAAAGGGGTGTGGGGTCAGTGTTGAACAGAGTTAAAAAATAAGATACTGCAGCCAGGCTCGGTGGCTCATACCTGTAATCCCAGCACCGGGATTGGGAGGTGGGAGGATGGCTTGAGCCCAGGAGTTCCAGGCCAGCCTGGGCAACAACATAGGGAGACCCCATCTCTACAAATATTTAAAAAAAAAAAAAATGCCGGGCCTGGTGGCGCATGCCTGTAGTCCCAGGTACTCGGGAGGCTGAGGTGATCGCTTGGGCCTGGAGTGAGCCGTGATCGCACCACTGCATTCCAGCCTGGGCAGTAGAGTGAGACCCTGTGTCAAAAAAATAGTAATGAGATATTGATGGAGTTTGTCCATTAATATTCAGGAGAGGATCTCAGGAGATACATTTCCTGATGTGGGGTAGGGAAAAGAGATGAATTAAGTCTGGCAGTGAATAAACTGACATTCATGCTTATATACTTGAATCTTTTGTAAGTTATCAAACTGGAGTCTGAGCCACGGTAAACTTCCAGGTAATGCTAAGTTTTGCGTTATTTGGAGGCAGTTAACAAGTCTTCTGTCATGATCCCTTTTCTACATCTAACTGCCACCAACATGTACTGGGCACTTGTCTGCTTCAAGATTGCATTAAGCACAGACATGCAAAGAAAGAGCGGTTCTCTTCCCAGAGCATGGAATAATCTGCTTCACGTCATATGCTGAGTGTCCCGTGAGTGCCCTGGAAGACAAGCACAGGTGATGGCAGCCATCGTGGTCAACATTCGCTTGGGGACAGCAGAGCATTTGTGTGCCTAAGGGAAGTAAGAGACATGGGTGACTAGGGTGAGATTTTAAAGGCCCTTGGATGTTCGGAGAGGCGAGAGCACGCAGTCGTCAGCGTGTGAAGCACCAGCACACAGCGAAGAATCAAAATGAGAGAAAAAGGGAATTAAGAACAGACACCTCTGAGAGCAGCAATGGTAACAAGAGGGAGAGGGTTGGGGGCAAACCAGGGAAGCAGTGCCAACTCCGTCACAACGCAGAGACACCAGGAACAGGCTGCTGTTGAACCATGAACTTTTCTCGTGCTCCCTTGTTCCCCTTCTGCAGCACTCACCAGGTAGCCTCAGAAGTCTGGACGTTCCCTCCGAACACTGGACTGTTTTCATGTAGCACTCATTCAGGACTGCAAAGCAGTTTCCCACAGATTTTGTTCATCTTACAAGGATCTTATTCTGATTCATGGAGTAATTAAATCCTTAATATATCAGGTCACTTTCAATGCAAATAGAAGTTATTTCTAGAGTATGTGCTTTCAGTGAGTAAGGGGCTAGTCGCTCCATTGAATCTGAACATATGGAACTTGAAATAACAGCAAGGGAGGGCCATTGTGGAGCAAAGTTCGAGTCAGCTCACCTAGATCCTTGGGGGTAGCACTTGTTTGCTGCCAGAACTCAGGATTCCTGATATTTCAGACTCAGAAATCTGATGGGCCCAGCACCTTCACAGCTGACCAGTGTCTCTGTGTGGAGCCCCACTAATCTGACTCACAAAGCACTGATGCGGCCGGGTGCGGTGGCTCACGCCTGTAATCCCAGCACTTTGGGAGGCCGAGCGGGCGGAGGAGGTCAGGAGATCGAGACTATCCTGGCTAACACGGTGAAACCCTGTCTCTACTAAAAATACAAAAAATTAGCCGGGTGTGGTGGTGGGCGCCTGTAGTCCCAGCTACTCGGGAGGCTGAGGCAGGAGAATGGCGTGAACCTGGGAGGTGGAGCTTGCAGTGAGCCAAGATCTCGCCACTGCACTCCAGCCTGGGTGACAATGCGAGACTCCGTCTCAAAAAAAAAAAAAAAAAAAAAGCACTGATGCAGTGTTCCATCCTCTGCTCTTTCCCCATAAGAGGAATCCCTTTAGGACCAAATTAATTCCAATGGTTGTTAGGTGAGTGTGGAATCAAAGCAAAGGGAAGGAATCATATGGTTCACATACAGGGGGCATTAACCATTAGAGTCCAGCACCCTTCTCCTTCAGGAGCAACTGTTCCTGAACAGTGGTGCATTCATGCCGCTGTCTTGGGCTCTCTGGTTCTAGATCTTTCCATGTTTCCCTCAATAACCACTTCTCTTCTATGGACAAGCACTTTGGGAGGCTGAGGCAGGCAGATCACTTGAAGTCGGGAGGTCAAGACCCGCCTGACCAACATGGAGAAACCCCATCTCTACTACAAATACAAAAATTAGCTGGGTGTGGTGCCGGGTCCCTGTAATCCCAGCTACTTGGGAGGCTGAGGCAGGGGAATCGCTTGGACCCAGGAAGCGGATGTTGCGGTGAGTCAAGATCGTGCCATTGCACTCCAGCCTGGGCAAGAAGAGCGAAACTCCGTCTCAAATAATAATAATAATAATAATAATAATAATAATAATAATAATAATAAATAAAGCTAGAGAACAGCTGCATACCCTTCCAGATCCTGGCCTTGAAAGCATTCTGTCTCTAAGGTGTGTCTGCATGTGTCCCAGCTGTGGGCACATTTGAGTTGTGTGCCCCCAGAAGATGTGTTGAAGTCCCACCCCCAGTTCTTGTGAATGTGATCTTATTTGGAAATAGGATCTTCACAGATGTAATCAAGTTAAGCTGAGGTCAGTAGGATGGGTCCTTGTCCAGTACGATGCGTATACTCTTAAGAAGAGGGAGATGTGGGCACAGACACACAGGGGGAGCACCACAGGATGACAGAGGCAGAGGCTGGAGTGAAGCAGCTGCAAGCCGAAGGGTGCTCCAGGCTGATGGCCACTACCAGACGCTAAGAAGAGGCAGGGATGACTCCTCCCCTACAGGGCCCCACAAACACCTCAGTGAGGACTTCCCATTTCCAGAACTGTGAGAAAAAAAAAAATTCTGTTGTTTTAAGCCACCCAGCACTTTGTTATGGCAATCCTAGGAAAGATCCATGATTGGGGTATTAATTAATTTTGGGGTACTTCAAGATCATAGTATCTTGCTTGTACCTCTATGAAAGTCTTTAGTGGGTAAATTCACTCTAAAAAACTGGCTACAAATTGAAATGGTCATCGTAATTGTTTTAAATCTATAGGGAGAATGCAAGAATCATAAAAAGGAGATGGTGGTGGTGGGGAAGAAGTATCATCCTTGGTTACGGTAGTAGGTGTAGCATTCTGACCAGCCAGCCCCATGAAGAAGGCACACTGAAAGAATAGTGGGTCCTTTTCTTTGGAGGGCCTTCCTTTGAAAATGACCCATAATTGCAAACGTGATAAGCCATTCTTAGCAACTTGTCCAGTCCTTTGTACCCATTGTTCATCCATCAACAGCCTTTTGTAGATGCGGCCAGGCTTCTCTGTTAATTACCAGCAGCATGTCATTCTTAGAACATGGGCCTCAGGTGATGTGGTCTGGCTCAAGCAGGATCAGGCAATGAAAGTAAATACAGTAAATAGTTAATCTTTCTTTCTAATGATTTTATATAGACAATTAGAAATGTAGGGTAAGGCCAGGCGTGATGGCTCATGCCTGTAATCTCAGCACTTCGGGAGGCCGAGGCGGGCGGATTGCCTGAGGTTGGGAGTTGAAGACCAGCCTGACCAACATGTAGAAACCCTGTCTCTACTAAAAATACAAAATTAGCAGGGCGTGGTGGCACATGCCAGTAATCCCAGCTACTTGGGAGGCTGAGGCCAGAGAATTGCTTGAACCTGGGAGGCGGAGGTTGCAGTGAGCGGAGATCACGCCATTGCACTCCAACCTAGGCAACAAGAGTGAAACTCCATCTCAAAAAGAAAAGAAATGTCAGAGTAGTGCTTTATGTGATAAAATTATTCTGCTTACATTGATTAACAATTTCATTAACTGTCTTTCTGATGTGTATAATAACACTTGGCTACATCATGGAGAAAGCATTAGGAAATTATGACCATGTTGCTATGAAAAGATGTGTTTTGGAAACCTGAAAGTTAAAACAACCTGATTAATCTGTTTAAGAAGTTAAATCGCCTCAATTAGCATGACATCGGTATTTTACAAAGAAAATACTGTCAATTTTTATTATAAAAATGTCAAACTTCTGAACAATGAGAAACATTTGTTGATTCAACAAGCATTTACTAAGCACTAGAGGGAGGCATTGCAGACTAATGGACTGTGGGTCTGAACTATGTAGGCTCATGGTCTGTCTTTGCCACTAAACAACACCAAGACTTCTCTCTGTTCTATAGTTTCCTCGGCTGTAATTATCTGAATGGTGCCTTGTAAGAGTTACATTAACTAACACATGTGAAGTACTGGAACAGAGCACAGCACTTGGCAAATTCTCAGTAGATGTTAGTTTTTGTTATATATGACCCCAGGTTACATTGAATAACTAGAGAAAAATATCTAGAAGGAAATTATAGCTACATTTGCTTCCAAGTTTATTCCTTTTTGTATAATGTGAACAAAATTTGTTTGCAACAAATATGTATTTGTTTTCAGTGATAAACACAATAAATGAAAGCCTCAGTTCATGTCCTTTGTAGGGACATGGATGAAGCTGGAAACCATCATTCTCAGCAAACTATCGCAAGGACAGAAAACCAAACACTGCATGTTCTCACTCATAGGTGGGAATTGAACAATGAGAACACATGGACACAGGAAGGGGAACATCACACACCGGGGACTGTTGTGGGGTGGTGGAGGGGGGAGGGATAGCATTAGGATATATACCTAATGTTAAATAACAAGTTAATGGGTGCAGCACACCAACATGGCACATGTATACATATGTAACTAACCTGCACGTTGTGCACACGTACCCTAAAACTTAAAGTATAATAATTAAAAAAAAAAGCCTCGGGCAAATTTTCTTGCTATTTGATTGCGGGCTCAGGATTCTACTGAGGGAAAACTATTAAAATAACAATAAGAACAGTTTTAGGCTGGATGTGGTGGCAGACACCTGGAATCCCAGCTACTTGGGAGGCTGAGGCAGGAGAAGCCTGAACCTGGGAGGCGGAGGTTGCAGTCAGCCGAGATCATGCCATTGCACTCCAGCCTGGGGGACAGGAGGGAAACTGTCTCAAAAAATAAAATAAAATAACAATAAGAACAATTTTAAAGTGATCAAAGGCAGTGTTACATCACAGCGATTCCTGATGGACCATGACCCCGTTCCCCGAGTACTATAGCAGATGCAGGCGGAGGACCAGACCACGGAGGCAGGTGAGGCACATTCAGCTGCAGAGAACAGGGAAATCCCTCGCTGGCCTTAGCTTGAGCATTCAAGATGCTTAAGTAGCTCACAGGGTAGGAAGCCCACAATTCACTGCTTCTGGGATTGCTGCGGTGAATTACCCACGTCAGAGACACTCAAGCTCATTCTCTTTCAGTCACACATTGTCAGGGTGTATGGCTTGTTTCCTGGTGTTTCCAAGGTGTCACCCTCAGCACCAGCCATCTTTCTTTAAATAGCTATATCTGGCAGGGCGCGGTGGCTCACCCCTGTAATCCCAGCACTTTGGGAGGCCAAGGTGGGCGGATCACGAGGTCAGGAGTTTGAGACCAGCCTAGACAACATGGTGAAACCCCATCTCTACTAAAAATACAAAAATTAGCCGGGCATGGTGGCACATGCCTGTAATCCCAGCTACTCGGGAGGCTGAGGCAAGAGAATCGCTTGAACTCGGGAAGCGGAGGGTGCAGTGAGCCGAGATCTCACCATTGCACACCTGGGTGACAGAGCGAGACTCTGTCTCAAAAATAAATAAATAAATAGCTACATCCCAGGTAAGAAGGCGGCTCAGGTCACCCTCTCTCATTAAAGAACAAACTGCTTTCCAGAAGCCCCTCCAATTGAGTCCCATTGGCTATAACCAGGTCAAAAGTCCACAGCTGAACTAACCATCAGAAAGAGAAATAGACGGAGCAGGGTGGCTCCCGCCTTAATCCCAGCACTTTGGGAGGCCGAGGCTGACAGATGGGTCGAGCCCGGGAGTTCAAGTCCAGCCCAAATATAAAAAAATTAGCTGGGCATGGTGGCTTACGCCTGTCTTCCCAGCTCTTCCAGAGGCTGAGGTAGGAGGATCACTTAAGCCCAAGAGGTGGAGGCTGCAGTGAGCTGAGATCATGTCACTGCACTCTTCCAGCCTGGGTAACAGAGTGACACCCTGTCTAAAAATAATAATAATAATAACAATAAAGGAAAGAAAAGAAAGAGGAAGAGAGAGAGAAATAATGCTATTTTTCTAGGGCTAGAAGGGATCCCTTTCCCCGAATATGTTGCCCCCGAACAAAATTAGCACCCCTAAACCAAGAAAGGGTGCGAGGTGTGGGTGTCTGTTGGGCAGGTGACTGGCAGTGTCTGCTGTAGTTGGGAGCTCCAGTGAAGAGTCTGACTGTCCATTGTTATTAGACTAAAAGGGCAGCTACCGATTTACAGCACCTCTATGCTCTGTTAATGGAATGCATGCACGGAGCACTTCCTTCACCATTTCAAATGCTATCATTCAAGAGACGGCGAGAGACCTTCTCAAAGCCAGCCTTTGTATTTCTGGATGACATGCCAATGTTATATCATAGAGTGCTTTGGTAAGAGGCTCATAAAACACAAGAAGAACAGCGATGCACACAGACTTTAGACATATCCATTCCCCCAGAGTTTGTGTTCTCCTGCTAAGCATGTCTCTAGACTGGGGCACAATTCAGGGAGAGCAGAAGTGGAGGGAAAGGAGATTGAAGGTAGATAAAAAGAGAGAGAAGAGGGAGAGGAGGAAGATGAACAACAGAGCATGGAACTGGGGAGACTCTCCTTAAAGTTTGGAGCACACCTTATGACACCTCCTGGAAGTTATTTGAAAGTACAATACTCAAAATCCACTGTGCCAAGATTAAAAAGAAGGTCAATTTTCTAACCACAGTCCTGAGCCATCCCTTCAATACACCCTCCCAGTTTATACACTCTACAATTTTGCTCAGAAATCACCAGGGGCTCCCTAAGGAGGGAGGGTGAGGCGAGGGGCAGTGCCGTTTCCTCCCCTCTCTTCTAAGCTGGGATCTGATATTAGGACCACATACTTTAAGGCCAGACCATGACACATGAGCCAGCAGAGATGGATGACATGGGAGGAAGCTGCAGAATCACTAAGCTGCCAGGAGTGGGGTTGAACTGTGATCGAGGCAGTCTGCAGGGGCCTTCTGTTTCTCATCACTGGGTACGTAATAGGGTTTCTCTGAGGAAGGACGAGCTCACTGGACCCAGTGCTCGTCCCAGTGGAAATTGCTTGAAACCAAAACAACCTGAAGAAGAACAGCTCTTTAAACTCCCTTGCTCTGAAGAAGGGCGATTTTCAGCAAAGTAGCAGACTGGAAAAGAGGCCGCAACTGAGAACTCCCTTCAAAGTCACATGGTGGCCAAGGCAAAGCCCCGCCTCCCCCCAGGAGGTGTGCAGATCCTTGCACTGGCACGGTGGATCTCCAGGTCGCACACTTACGGGCACTCACTCTGTTCACAAGATTACGTCCTTCCTAACCAAGGCCCTTCGCACAGGGTAAAGGCCTCGCTAACAGTCATCCCAAGGTGTGTTTAGGAAGGCTTCTAGGAGAAGTGGACACCAGATCTAACCCTGCAACTGCAAGATGTAGCCAAGGAAAGGAGAGAACAGAGCAGTGAAAACAGAACCCCACAAATGGATAGAAATTTGAAAGGGTGAGGCACACTTGGAGAACTGAGAGGATTTCTCCCTGCTGTCATAGAGAGCTACAATGTTGTTCAGAGTGTATTCATTCAATAATCCTTTAATTATTCCATTGGCAAACGTTTGTGAATTCCTACTCTGTGTCAGGCACTATGTAAGTATGAGGGAATGGTCACACATGAAGCAAGAAAAAAAAGAGAACAAGATCACAAAAAAAACTTAGAATATAAACTAAGGTTTTAAGTGGGGACCTAGAACCCCACACCGTTCTTCCTGGAGTGCTGGCATGTTCTTGGAGTAGGGATTGCAGAGCTGGAGGAGGCTGGAGGGAACGCCGGAGCATCCTGTTTCTCTTGTTTGTTTTCATTCTCAGAAACAGAGCTACTGGAGATGAAATTTGCTGGTGGTAAAAGTGTATTTCCACACAATCTCATGTGCCTATTCCCTTTCTTTACCTCCTGCCACAACTTCAATCTAACATTTACTTTTCCAACAGCTTCTTCTTTGACAAATTACGATGGTCCAGTCACCCTTCTAGATAGTGGGGATACCAAGATGAGTATGATGGAGCTCTCTGTGTTCAAAGTTCTATCCTATTCCAAGGGCTCAGGACAGAGTCCGATCCTATAACAGTGTCTGCAACACAGTATGCTTTTAGACTAAGGGCATGGATAAAGTATGATGGACACCTGAGTAATGAAGCGATTCATCCTGCAAGACGGAAAGGGCAGCGCTATGAAGGACGGATTCTCACAGAGTTGGCTCTGTCCCACTGGAGAGGAGAGGAGGGGCCGCTGCTTGCAGAGGGAGGAGCAAAGAGCCACGACCGTGATGGGCGAGGACACAGAGCAGTCAGGGGTGATGGCACCAAGCATAGGAGATGTGGTAAAACAAAACCAAACAAAATCAAGCAGGGAGATAAACTCGACCCAGCTGCGAAGGGTCTTGAAGGTCACACTAGTTCAATATGTTAATGGTGGAGGGTGTCCAGGTTCTTCGCGTCTTGAACAAAGAATTGGAAAAAACACACAAACAAAGCAAGGAAGGAATGAAGGGTTTTATTGAAAATGAAAGCACGGAGCCGGGCGCAGTGCCTCATGCCTGTAATCCCAGCACTTTGGGAGGCTGAGGTGGGTGGATCGCCTGAGATCAGGAGTTCGAGACCAGCCTGGCCAACATAGTGAAACCCCGTCTCTACTAAAAATACAAAAAATTAGCTGGGCATGGTGGTAGGCGCCTGTAATCCCAGCTACTAAGGAGGCTGAGGCAAGAGAATCGCTTGAACCCGGGAGGCAGAGGTTGCAGTCAGCCGAGATCGCGCCACTGCACTCCAGCCTGAGCAACAAGAGTGAAGCTCCGTCTCAAAAAAAAAAGAAAGAAAGAAAGTACACGCCACAGTGTGGGAGCGGCCTGAGCATAGGGGCTCAAAGGCCCTGTTACATAATTTTTGGGAGTTTAAATACCCGCTAGAGGATTCCACTGGTTACTTGGGGTATGCCCTATGTAAATGGAGAGTTTGAAGTAAAGTTACAAAGTCATTTACAACATAGGCTCTGTGGAGAGGATATTTCCTGTCACAGCTGAAGTCTGAATTGGGCTTATATTCCCTGCCTCCAGACCCTATTTTTCTGCCTCAATCTGAACTTGTCCTATGTAAATAGGGGCATCTCAAGAACTTCAGTCTGTTCCTAATCGATCCCACTATCTCACTCTTCCTAAAACCCAGCTCTTCAACCCATGCTCCTTCCACCATAAAAGCATCTTTATGGCTCCTCATTTCCACTAACTCACTTCCTTGGTCTGGTATTTGAGCTTCCCCACCTCATGCGCTGGCCCATCCAAAATCTGGGGCATCCACATCTGAGGCTTGAAAAGGAGGGGAAGAAAGTGCTGCCAAAATTCTGGCTAAAGCCATTGACCAGCAGGAATGGCATTTAACTGAAGCTTTAAAAAAAATGAGTGCAGGGTGGGTTAAGTGGCTCACACCTGTAATCCCAGCACTTTGGGAGGCTGAGGTGGGAAGATCGCTTGAGGCCAGGAGTTCAAGACCAGCCTGGGCAATATAGTGAGAACTCATCTCTACTAAAAATCAAAAAAATTAGCCGGGTGTAGTGGTGTACACCTGTAGTCCTGGCTACTGGGGAGGCTGAGGTGGGAGGATCACTTGAGTCCAGGAGGTCAAGATTGCAGTGAGCCGAGATCATGCCATTGCACTCCAGCCTGAGCAACAGAGCAAGATGCTATCTCAAAAAAAAAAAATGGGTGCAAAAGTGGAGGAGAAGGCAATAAAAAACAAACTGTGACATCTAAGGTGGGCAAGGTATGAAAAGGAGAATTTCTTAGGAGGTGCTAGAACTAGAATAATTAAGTTTACCTAGAGTGTTCCCAAAATTGTGCTATGCAGAACATGCCTTTGTCACGATGCTGATAACAGTTACCACTAGAAGCGTTCTATAATCAAGTTGGTTTGGCAACTGACTCAGTAATGAAGGTTAAATAGCTTTCTTTATAGCCGGCATCTTAGTTTTTCAATATGCTGGTACGCATTGAGTATTTCTGAGAGGAGAAGGTAGTATACCATCTTTCCCACATCCCTTTGGCAGGGACCCCTTTCACGAGATGTTATCTTACAACACTAGTGAGGAACACCAGTCAATGCCTTAGATGTATGAAGCCATAGCAGGAGAGAATTTGGAACCTGGATTGGGACAGGCCAATGGAAAGCTTTGGATTCATTTTATTCCATCCTAGCAGCATGGATGAACCTGTGCTGGGAGTGGCTAACCAGAGCCTGTGAGTTCTGCTGCAAGGGAAGAAGCTGGATTTCTGAAGAAATGACAAAAGCATTCAGGAAAGAAAGAGGCAGCACCTCAGCATTATGCTGCCAAAGGCCCCGGGCCAGATGGTACCTGTGCCCACCAAGTAAAGGCTTCTCTGTCTTTTATCTCTCTCCTTCTGCGTGCTGAACCCCTCAGATCCTGGAGATGCTCAGAGCCCCAGGTAGCAGGTGAAAGAGCAGGGGGAGTGTGGAGCCAAAGGAAGTCAACACCACGCCAGTCCCGGATGCGGGCGTCCAGCAGGCTGCAGTGGGCCTCGGACAGAGAAGAGGAAATCTCCAACTGGGAAAGGGTTTGTGCTTTATTACTACAGGACGGGAGTTTTGCACCAGGATGCTGGGCCATGCTTTGTGCTATCTAAGTGTGTCTGATAAGCCCTCTAATAAGCCAGAGGCTTCAGCCAAATGGCAGGATGAAAAAAAAAGAGAGTTTTGAGGAAGAAAGAACAAGGGAGGTTTCTGATAGGACTTTACGAGTCCAGCTTGTCCAGCAGACCAGCTCCTCATGGCTCATAGGGTGGACATACCCTGCTTTGCTGCCTGGCTCCCCTCTTTGGGAAATAGCATTGACTTGTTTTGTGGGGGCCATTCCTCCTGCCATTCTCTCCATGTGGTTCTAGTGGGTGCTGCCAACCCCGGCACCCTACTCCCATGGCCACAAACGTGGACATCTATCCCCAGCTAGACCACGCAGAGGCCTGTCCTGAGGTTTTGGAAACCACACTAGGAAAGAGGTCTAGTGCCTTGTTGATGGGAAATGGCAGCCTCGGAGATCCTGGGCAAACCGTGCAAACCGATGCCGCCGTCATGCAGAGAGAGGCACACACCGCGTGGTGATGTCAGAGCCCCTTTCCAGCTCCCCTTCCGGGTTGGGCTGTCCCACAAACGTGCCTCCTTTTTGCCTAAACAACTTTGAGCTTCTGTCCCTTTCTACCAAGTACTCACTCAGATAAAAAAAAAAAAAAAAAAAGAGAGAGAGAGAGAGAGAGATCTCTGCAAGGAGCCAAGAAGATCTCCACGTGAAGGGAGTTGGGAAGGAAAACAAGGGAGCGGGCCTTGATGCGCAGGAGCAGCCGGGCACCCACGGGGCGGGTGCGGGAGCAGCCGGCCACCCACGGGGCTGGTGCGCTCCTCTCCCGTGGGACACAGACACACTCACCACATACCAGCCTCCGCAAGACTGCTCTGTACTAGAAAGCGACACGAAGCACCACCACGTCATAATTTTGTCTGAGTCCAGACAAAAATAAGGTCACTGTGCCACCCTCAAAATACCGTAAACACTCCTCTCTCAGCTCAGTGATTGCTGTTTCTTTCTTTCTTTTCTTTTTTTTCTTTCTTTCTTTCTTTTTTTTTTTGAGACGGATTTCTGCTCTTGTTGCCCAAGCTGGAGCGCAATGGCGTGATCTCGGCTCACTGCAACCTCCACCTCCCAGGTTCAAGCGATTCTCCTGCCTCAGCCTCCCGAGTAGCTGGGATTACAGGCACGTGCCACTACGCCCGGCTAATTTTTTATTTTTAGTAGAGATGGGTTTTTACTATGTTGGCCAGGCTGGTCTCCAACTCCTGACCTCAAGTGATCCACCCACCTTGGCCTCCCAAAGTGCTGGGATTACAGGCATGAACCACCACATCTGGCCAGTGATCGCTGTTTCTTTTACAGCTTTATCCCTGTTCTAGTCTCCTCTTCCTGAATTTACCCATCCTAAGCCCAAATCCTATATAATAGGATTTTTCAACCCCCTTCTTACTCAGATACCCCATGGTGTGTTTCCTTCCTCACTGCAACGACGCAACCCCAACTTCTTTAACTGCGGGTGTGTTCGTTGTCTTTGACTGGAGGACATTAACACTGTGAAAACATCCTTGTTTGTTTAAAAAAACACAAAACATTGGCTCTTCATGAAGTCATTTATTTCTCAGAATTTTTGAAGGAGACCTTATTTAAAAAAGAAAAAAATGTTTGAAGCTTTGGAAGCTTGCATTAGTGCCCAAACCAGCCGAGCTCTGTATATTTTAATTCTTGTTTCAATTTTAGAGGCAGAGCCTTGAAACCACCTTTGCAAAAATTATAGCAGAGAGAAAGCTACGACAGTGAGAGAGACCTGACCTAACCGACTCCATCTTGCTTCTGACCTCCAGGCTGCCCTTGTTCACTCCTGGGCATAGGCCGAACTGACTTTAGACAAGGACGGTAGCCCTTTCCTAAGATAAACCCCCTTCTTGCCTGGGGACCAGACTGCCTTTGTAAAACTAACAAGTCAGCCACAAGATTAGAAGTGACGGCTCTGGAATCACGCGGCCAGAGGCCACAAGATCGCTAGCCTCCTCAATTGCTCCTATGAATAACACAGCGTTATACAACCTAACATTGATGTTTGAGGTATTTTTCAGACCCTGCAGTTGATGGATCTCCTGGCACCACGCAGATCCATAAACGGGCTCACTTGGTCTTGTGGCTCCCACCCAAGAGCCGACTCAGTCCAAAAGGACAGCTTCAACTCCGCATGATTTTCTCTCTCGTCCAACCAATCAGCATTCCCCATTCTCTGTGCCACCGCCCGCCCTCATCAAATTGTTCTTTAAATTTTCCAGTCAGCTCTATCTGGGCAGCAGGCAAGATACACCCATTGGGTGGTTATAGGGTCTCATTCTGTTACCCAGGCTGGAGTGCAGTGGCATGATCATAGCTCACTGTAGCCTCAAACTCCTGGCCTCGGGCAATTCTCCCAGCTTAGCTTCCCAAGTTGCTGCAACTACAGGCTCATACCACCTCGTCAAACTAATTTCTAAATTTTTTGTAGAGACAGAGTCTTGCTGTGTTGCCCAGGCTGGTCTCAAACTTCTGGCCTCAAGCAATCCTCTCACCTTGGCCTCCCAAAATGCTGGAATTACAATGAGCCATTGCACCTGCCCTTTTAATTCTTAAGTACCTGAAAAGGCGTGGTGGGTGTTGTAGTGAAACAGGTGTAACCACCAACAAGTATCTCTCTGCTGCCCAGACAGAGCTAATTTATCAAGACAGGGGATTTGCAATAGAGAAAAGTTTAATTCATACAGACCCAGCTGAACAGAAGACTGGTGTTTTATTACTCAAATCAGTCTCCCCGAAAATTGGTAGACTAGGGTTTTTTTTTGTTTTTGTTTTCTGAGACGGAGTCTTGCTCTGTTGCCCAGGCTGGAGTGCAGTGGCACAATCTCGGCTCACTACAACCTCCGTCTCCTGGGTTCAAGCGATTCTCCTGCCTCAGCCTCCTGAGTAGCTGGGATTACAGGAGCCCACCACCACACCAAGCTAATTTTTTTGTGTTTTTAGTAGAGACAGGGTTTCACCATGTTGGGCAGGCTGGTCTCGAACTCCTGACCTCAAGTGATCCACCCGCCTCAGCCTCCCAAAGTGCTGGGATTACAGGCATGAGCCACCACACCTGGCCTTGAGACTAGGGTTTTTTAAGGATAGTTTGGTGGGTAGGGGCTGGGGAATGGGAAGTGCTGACTGGTTGGGTGGGAGATGAACTCATAGGGAGCCAAAGCTGTCCTCTTACACTGAGCTGGTTCCTAGGTGGAGCTACAGAACTTGTTGGCAGGTGGGTCGAGCCGTTATTTATCGGAAATGCAAAAACTTGAAAAGACATCTTGAAAGGCCAATCTTACATTCTAAAATAGTGATGTTGTCTGCAGGAGTAATTAAGGAAGTTATAAACCTTGTGGCTAATTTGTTGGTCCTACAAAGGCAGTCTGGTTCCCTGGCAAGAAGGAGGTTTGTTTTGGGAAAGGGAAGTTACCATCTTTGTTTCGAAGTTAAACTATGAACTAAGTTCTTCCCAAAGTTAGTTTGCCTGCACCCAGAAATAAACAAGACTAGAAGCAAGATGGAGTTGATTAGGTCAGATCCCTTCAATATCATAACTTTCTCACTGTTAACAATTTTTGCAAAGGCCATTTTACAGGGAGCTCTGCTCTCAGGATCCAGGCACTTATTCCTCCAGCTGCACAGTGAGTTCGCTTCTGACGGTTCACAACTGTGGCCTTCTCCTTGAATTTTTCTTTCTTTTCTTTCTTTCTTTCATCTTCCTTTCTTTTTTTTCTTTCTTTCTTCCTTTCTTTCTTTCTTCCTTTCCTTTATCTCTTTCTCTCTTTTTTTTTTTTTTGACAGAGTTTTGCTCTTGTTGCCCAGGCTGGAGTGCAGTGGCACAATCTCGGCTCACTGCATTCTCCTGCCTCAGCCTCCCAAGTAGCTAGGATTACAGGCACACGCCACCACGCCCGGCTAATTTTGTATTTTTATTAGAACGGGGTTTCTCCATGTTGGTGAGGCTGGTCTCTAACTCCCAACCCCAGGTGATCTGCCTGCCTCCACCTCCCAAAGTGCTGGGATTACAGGTTTGAGCCACTGCACCTGCCCTTGAATTTCTTTTGGCAAAACATTTTACTTAAGGTCACACTTCCTCCCTGGGGCTGCCTGTGTCTGTGACTGGTTGATGTGAGGGCATGGAGAGGGGTCCAGCCCCTTTGCCTAGATTTCTCCCAATTCTCTAGGGTCATTCCAGCTCCAGAGCTCCCCATGGGGCTGGCTAAGAACTCAGCTGCAATTGTGAATTGCATCAGAGTTAATTATTCTCTCTCTTCCCGATCCAGCTTATTTCACTCACTTATAAATCAGAGCACCCCTGAAACTTCCTTCATGCAAACCTCCATCCCAAAACCTGTTTCCTGGGGAACTGACCTAAGAGAAAAGGAAGCTAAATAAGCCAACCCTGTCTACCCAGAAGTCCTCAAACAAAAGTGGAAGAGTTCCACCATTGAAAAGTCTGATGACTCTTGCCCAATGCACACAAAGAATAAAGAATGGTTTGTGAAAATAGCCACATGGCACAACTGTTTTCTCCCATAAACAGGACAGTGGAGCAAGGCTAGAGAGTTGCAAGAGCCAAGAGTGGCTAATATGTCACCTAGTGTAATTAGTAACTAATGAGTGATTGTCCTTTGTTATTTTAACACAGATGTATATGTTTATAGGGGAAAAAAGTGCTTAAAGCCCCTTTTGTTATGTGAGAGCCAGCCTGGCTTTGGACTGTGAAGTTATAGTCTATGTTCCTCTGTTTAACTGGCTGACACCTAAATCTAAGGCATAGATCCCAGGAGGGAATTTCATCATGATGTCTGGGTTTGGCAGTTTAAACCCATAAAGTCACAATTTCAAAACATTGCATCTAAACATCTCTGCCATGCTCTCTGCAGCCTGGTTCCATCCCCTTCGGCACCCCACTATCTCCCGACACCAAGTTCATGTCTCCCTCATGAACTTCTCTCTTGCTGTTCATTCTGCCATCTTCTTCTCCACTCATTGAAATCTCACCCACCTTGGAAGGGGCTGGGTCTCCTCTGTGGAGTCCTCCCTGCCCAGGTCCATCTTTGGAAATCCCTTTCCACCCAGCTTGTATTGCCCACACCTCTAAATCCCATCCTACTGTTCACCATAGTAGTTAACACAGGGCTAGGCACCTGTAGCTGCTCAAAAAATACAATTTTTAATGGCTTTGTGAATATATAATTTACATATCATAAAATTCACCTGTTTTAAGTGTCCAACTCAATGACTTTCAGTAAATTTACATAGTTGTACAATTATTACCATAACCCAATTATAGAGCACTTTCATCACCCAAAAAAGGTCTCTTCCACCTATTTGCAGCCACTCCCCATTCCTGTTCCTAGGCCCAGACAACCACTCATCTGCTTTGTGTCTCAATAGATTGCAAGAAATTCCTTCTAAGTTCTTGATTTGAAGCCCCTTTACATTTTTCAATGGTCACTATAACTTACCGTTGAGTCTCCTTTACAACCTAGATGTATATTTGAACAATTAGACATTGTAAACTAAGTGGCATCGAAAACTCCTCCCCTCCTCACTAACAAATTGATAGCATCTACCTCTGATTACAGTCTAAAAGTTATCATTTTTAGGTACAACCTAAATACCAAGATTTATTTTAAACTCAGTGTCGATTCAGTTGGGTTTTGTTTTGCAATGTGAAAAACAGGAAGAAGTTGGAGTGGACAGATTACATGATGGCACCCTGAGAGGATTCAAACAAGTCAAGTCACTTGGGCAAATCAAACAAGAGCTCAGACAAACATCCTTTTCCTCGATCCCCTTCTCTCAAACCCCAGGGACAAGGGTTCCTCCGGAGAACAATTACACAGGACAGCCTGCAGAAGTTCTGGATGTTACTTCCTACCTAGGTCAGATAGGAGTCAGAGTTTACACCTTTTACTATTTTTATTGGCATTCATTTAGAGGTCATTACCTGTGCATCTTAACCTCTTAAATATTAAGCAACTTAATGATGTATTGAATATGTCATTGATATATCTGAGGCAGGAGAATGGGGTCTGCAGGCAGGGAAACTAAAGGCTTCCTAGAACTCAATCAAATGGAAAAATCCCAACATTCTACCACCAAGTAAATCACTGTAACTCTACCTCAGCTGTGACAGCTATTCATTTGCGTAGGGTGCACAACAAGTAAATAACTTTGTAATTTCACTTTAGCCTCTTCATTTACATAGGGCATAAACCAAGTAACCAATGGAAACCTCTAGAGAGTATTTAAACCCCAGAAAATCCTGTAACCCGGCTTTTGAGCTGCTTGCTCGGGCCGCTCCCACCCTGCGGGGTGTGCTTTCGTTTTCAATAAACCTCTGCTTTTGTCGCCTCATTCTTTGTGCATTTTGTCCAATTCCTTGTTCAAAGCACCAAGAACCTGGACACTCTCCACCAGTAACATATCAATATATTAAATATAGATATTATATATTAAATAGCATTGATATATGACATATTAAGCAACTTGATATATTGACTAATTCACAATGATTTATTTAAAATATCTTATGAATATTTGAGAATATTTGTGTGATAACACACAAAGCATATAAGAAAAGCAGAAGTTGTGATTTTTATTTTATAATGCCAAAATAAAATGATTATTGCACAGTTAAAAAGCAAATCTTAACTAAAATGCTGAAAAGCAGTGTCTCAGCTGTCAGGGTGGCAAATAACATGAAAGTGACAATTAGTCCTCCACACATTCACAGTGTTGGCCGACTATAGACTCTTCAGAACCAGAGGTACAGTGGATATTTCTCATTCCAGGGTCATGGAACTCAGCCTTGGGAATACTGAACTATTTAAATCAAAGTTCCAAAATGTGACATCTCAAATGCTCCCTGAATTCAGCAGACAAATGAACATTTCAGGTATAGAAATTAACTCAGCTTTATAATTTCAGGTTTCTCTTTAAATACTAGAACTATAAATATTTCAAAAAGCTATTCAGGTCTATTTCCAATAATCAGATTCTCTTTTATTGTAAAACTAAAAATTTTTTGTTGTATTGTAAAACAAAATAAAAAGGCGGGGCGCGGTGGCTCACACCTGTAATCCTAGCACTTTGGGAGGCCAAGGCGAGAGGATCACTTGAGGTCAGGAGTTCAAGACCAGCCTGGCCAACATGGTGAAACCCCATCTCTACTAAAAATACAAAAATTAGCCAGGCATGGTGGCATGTGCCTGTAATCCCAGCTACTCGGGTGGCTGAGGCAGGAGAATAGCTTGAACTCAGAGGTGGAGGTTGCGGTGGGCCGAGGTTGGACCACTGAACTCCAGCCTGGGCGACAGAGCCAGACTCTGTCTCAAAAACAAACAAATAAAAAACAAACAAACAAAAAAACAAAAATAAAAATAGTCTTTCTAGATAAGGACTACCTTATGCGTAGCACATTATTTTATGGTAAAATAATACATTCCTTTGAATATATTATACAGCGATCATCATCACTAATTACATAGGAATATCTAAGATGCATTTATTATCATAATTTTCAAGATCAGGAGTCAAAGAATCCCAGTGGGACCAAGTGATTTTGCCAACGCCATCTCCTGAGTCTGTGACCATGGGAGGAAAGTTCTGTTTCCACAAAGCCAAATAGTGATTAGCCTTCAGAAAGCAAGCCTGCCTACAATACTTTTAGTAAGAGAATTGTTTCCACCCTCCCACAGCAGAAACTCATAATCTCAGGAAAATACAAGTCAATATTCATTCAAATAATCATCTCATTAACTAATAAAAATGAATTGCAAATGTTTTCTGCCCTTGGGTATGTATATTAAAAAATATTTAACATTTAACAAAGTCAACACTGAGACAAGTACTTACTAAAATACAAAGTTTTTCCATTGAAAAAATACTGTAATTAAACTTGTTAAAAATATGGGTATATATTTTACTCTTTTACAAAGGAAATAGCATTATACCCATTGAAACAATTATCTTTCATTCTAAGTGCATCCAAAATACAAAAAGATCATCACAAACCCTCATATACCTCTAACTTTTCTTAAAATGAGGAATGTTTTCAAACTCCTTAAGCTGTCATAGGCTCAGTGGCTGATTGTATATTAATCAGTAGACAATGTTCTTACGTGCTTATATGTTTTATTTTGGGTAAAATTAAGTCAATTGTCAAAAATAGGCCTGAAATAAGGAGACACATTTTCCTAGAAGAGATGTAATTGTGATAGAATATAATCATTTACAAATATGAATAAACAAATTATAACACCTTTATGGAAAACTTAAATTTGCCATAGAACTTTTTAAATTGAGAAAGTTTCTCCTTTGCTAATTGAATATTTAAATAAATTTAATGTACAGAGTTTTTGGATCCAAGTGCTACTTGCAATTTATGACGAAAGGCACCTATCCGTTCTTTCTGAACTGGCCAGTTCAAGATGCAGTGAGATTTAAACATTCCTCTTCGCAAACAGAGTGCATGGTTCAGTTTATAATCTGGAATCTCCTCAAGGAAAACCAATATAATGGAATCCAGATTTTGTTCAATAGCTTGTTGAACTGCATGATGTACCTTGAATCTAAGTAAAAAAATGTATTGAAGAATTAATATACGGTTTTTAACAGCCAGAAGCAATACTATTTAAAAATACTCTGTAGAGTTTAAACTGTTACTGAAACTCAGGTTTTTTTTTTCTTAATTTTATTTTAAAAATTCTTTGAGTTGTGAGTAATATTGGTAATATTTAAAAGTTTAATTGAAGCTCACCTGAGGCCAGGAGTTCAAGATAAGCCTGGCCAACACGGTGAAACCCCATCTCTAATAAAAATACAAAAATTAGCCAGGCTTGGTGGCGCGTGCCTGTAATCCCAACTACTTGAGAGGCTGAGGCAGGAGAATTACTTGAACCCAGGAGGTGGAGGCTGCAGTAAGCTGAGATCACACCACTGCACTCCAGCCTGGGCAACAGAGCAGGACTCCATCTCAAAAAAAAAAAAAGAAATTTAATTGAAAAGCAAGTACACACTTAAAATTTCACAATGTTTACCTACCTTTTGCATAATGGGTCTTTTAATAGATGGTGTGTTATAACAAAAATAATTTTTCTGCTTCTTTTGATGCTGTTAACAATTGCTTCTAGTTCAAAAACACCCGCCTCAAAGTCCCTTTCTTCCAGACAAAATTTGAGAGATTGGTCTTCCTTTTCCATTGAAGAGAAATGTTCCCAGACCCAATCCTTATCTTTATAGGCATGAATTATATATGCTGCATATTCAAACTGTTCTGTCTGTCTGTCTATTTCTTTGAAACCAAGAACTCGATGTACTGAAACATTCCAATAAAAAGATATCCTCCAGCCCTCAAAGTGGATGAGAAGTACAATAAAGATAAAAATCAACAGGATACTGGTATTGATCATGAAAAAGAGTTCAAAGGGGGCACTGTCTTTGCAAGATGATGTATCAAAAAGTCTCACTGGGAACCCATGATAGTGAGGTGGAGTGTTGCAAAGGTAGTGGCTTGACAGCTCAGGGATGTTGGTATGGGTCTCGTTAATCCAATTAACAAACCAGGCAATACTTTCACACGTGCAATCAAAGGGATTAAAGCGCATATCTAACTCAGTCAGGTTCCTGAAAGCTGGCCCGAAAACCTTCTTCTCAACGGATGTTATGAGATTCTTCTGAAGGTTCAATGACTTTAGAGACACCTGATTATTAAAGACAGATGCTGGAAGTGTGTTTAAATTATTCAATCCTAAATCGATGATCTTTAGTTCAAATAAATCCTTGAAGACCTCAACTGGGATCTCGTCAAAGCCGTTGGACTCCAAGTTAAGGATGTGGAGGTGAGACAGACCCTTTAGGAAATAAATGGGACCACCAGGGTTTGCGTGTTTCCAGAGCCGTGCTAAGTTGTTATGCTGCAAATCGAGAATTTCTAGTTTCTCAAGACCCTCCAACATGTCATCATTTATGTTGGCTATGTTGTTGTTGCTTAGATCCAGAATGGTCAAGTTACGAAGAGGCTGGAATGGTGAAGGAGAGCTATCCACATTTTTAAGGGCCACCCTTCGGAGCATCAGTCGTTGAAGGCTTGGGACCAAGGCAAAGGAGTTCCTAGTCAGCTGCAGGTACTTGTTGTAGGAAAGATAGATTTCGAAAATATTTTCTAGACCTCTCCATTCCTGGCCTGTGAGTTCTTGCCCAATTTCATTAAGGCCCAGGTCAAGTACTTCTAGGTGGCCCAACCAAGAGAAAGCATCACTCTCTATTTTTGAGATTTTATTCTTGGTTAGGTTGAGTATGTGTAAGGGAGAATGAGCAAGTGATACAAATGTTTCATTTGTCAAAGTTCGCAAACTTGTAAAGGAGTTGGATAGACTTAAGTATTTCAGGTTTATCAATCCTGTGAACATATTGCTTTTTATGCCTGGAATATCATTATCTTCCATGTTAAGGTGCTCCAAACATTTTAGCCACTGAAAAGAAAAATCATCAATCTTGGGGAGTGAGGCAAGGGAAATACTTTGTTTAGTAAAAGACCGTTTCAAATTCAGGTACCTCACATTGAAAAGCCCGTGCAAAGAGTGAGAAAACAAATGCTGTATATTATTATACTCTAGGAAGAAATATTCTAGTTGTGGAAGCCAAGCAAAGGAATCGTTACCAACCACATTTAAGTTGTTGTAGGAAAGATCGAGCATAGTGAGATTTGTCCACTTTAGTCCCAAGAAAGTTGTATTGCTGGTGGTGGACAGCTGGCTGTTACTCAGAGACAGATTCCGAATGCTTGTGTTTGCTAATTCCAAACATAGCTTCTCTGTAAGGCTGGGACCCAGCTGGACATTGTTCAGAAAGAGGCCAAATAATCTTCCAATTGCGTGAAAACACCCTGGAGAAAACTAAAGGTAGGAAAAAAAAAGAGGTTAACAATCAAAAGAACACAGACTCTGTAATGCTGTTGAAAGCCTTTTTTTTTTTTTTTTTTTTTTTTTTTGAGACGGAGTCTCGCTCTGTCGCCCAGGCTGGAGTACAGCAGTGCAATCTCAGCTCACTGCAAACTCCACCTCCTCAGTTCAAGCAATTCTCCTGCCTCAGCCTCCCGAGTAGCTGGGATTACAGGCATGCGCCACCACGTCCAGCTAAGTTTTGTATTTTTAGTAGAGTCGGGGTTTCACCGTGTAGGCCAGGCTGGTCTTGAACTCCTGACCTCATGATCCGCCCGCCTCAGCCTCCCAAAGTGCTGGGATTATAGGCCTGAGCCGCTGCACCCGGCCAGATGCAGTTCTTTACTCCATCTCCGCTCACCCTTCACCACATCCCATGGGCAGAGCATTTCTCCCCCTTCCTGTAATGCACGAGTCCTTCCTTACTCGGTTCCTGCAGCGCCCACCTCTTACTCCAGCCTCTGACCTCCCCTGGCCACGGGCTAACTTCTGCTCAGCATTCACAGCCTCAGCTTAGATGCCACCTTTTCAGGGAGGCTTCTCTGACCTTCCAGTCCAGGATCCATCTCCTGGTACTTTTTCTTTATCACCATGAGAACAATTGCAATGAATAAACTGCTCGTGAAGTCACTCCTGGGGCAGTTCCTGGTTGTGTCTTGGTGCCGCTGTTCTCAGTGAGCCTCATGGAAGGAAGTTGTGGATGGCTTTTATGATGAGGCGGTGACGGCACACTTTCCTTTCTGGAACTCTGAGCTCTAGCTCTCCCTCTCGTCTTTCCACCCGGATTTTCTCCTGACTTTCTTTTACTATCGTGTTTTTCCAGCTCCCTTCTGCTCCGTCCTACACCCTTACCAGAGCCTTGGCTGTTCTGGGACTCACTTCGGGGACAAGAGAACAGCAGGTGGGAGAGGAGGAATCCAGAGAGAATGGAGGCCAGTTCCGGCAGGCAGTCGAAACCGCCAGAGGAGTAAAGGGCTCTGATTTCTTTTTCTTTTTTTTTTTTTTTGAGACAGAGTTTCGCTCTGTCCCCCAGGGTGGAGTGCAGTGGTGCGATCTCAGCTCCCTGCAACCCTTGCCTCCTGGGTTCAAGCGATTCTCTTGCCTCAGCCTCCTGAGTAGCTAAGATTGATGTCTCCTGCTCTTTAGATTTAATATCATATTATGAACATCTCCCATACAATTAAGAAGCATTCCAAAGCTTAATTTTAATGCCTGTAAAATAATGCTATCATGCAGATTTATCATACTTAATTTCATAATTTTCTGCTTTGCATTTTAACTCATTTGTTTATGATAAAGCACCCTTTCTTCTATACTTCTCTCTTTTTTTGCATTAGCCCTACTGTCCCCCAAGTGACACATTACAAATCAGAGCCCCCTCCAGGCTGGGCGCGGTGGCTCACGCCTGTAATCCCAGCACTTTGGGAGGCCGAGGTGGAGGTGGATCATGAAGTCAGGAGTTCGAGACCAGCCTGGCCAACACGGTGAAATCCTGTCTCTACTAAAAATCCAAAAATTAGCCAGGGGTGGTGGCAGGCACTTGTAATCCCAGCTACTCGGGAGGCTGAGACAGGAGAATCGCTTGAACCCGGGAGTCGGAGGTTGCAGTGAGTCCAGATTGTGCCACTGCACTCCAGCCTGGGCAACAAAGAGTGAAACTCAGTCTCAAAAAATAAAATAAAATAAAATAAAATAAAATATTGATTAAAAATACTATATACATAAAATATTTTTAAAAATTTATCACAGCACTTGACACACAGTTAAGTGCCTTAACAGTGTGAATTTCAGTACAGTAAGAATTTAAGCTATCGTTTTTCCTTATAATTATTTGGAGAAAAGCCAGGGATAAATATACCCAAATGCTAACAGTGGTTGTTTCTGACTATGGACATTTGAGTGATTTTTTAAAATCACCCCTTATTATTATTTTCTCATTTATTCATATATTTAATAAGATTACTACAATAAATGTCTTAATCATAGAAAAATGCAGTTTAAAAAATAAAATGAAGAGCTTGCACAAAACATCTTAATATCTTAGGATAAATTTGTACGCCATTTATTTTTATGTCTGAAAAAAAAAATAGAGTTGTAATTAAGGATTTCCAGTAGTCTTATAGCCTGGAACAAAATGAGTGTAAAATACAGACAAACCTGTATGTGAAAATGCAGAGTCCTATTTAGGGAAAAGTAGTCAGTTGGCGGGACCGAGAGAAAGCAAAAGAGCAGGTAAATTATTAGTCTGTCTTCATGATCCAGGACACGTAGCCCTCCTGTGCAAATAACTGACAATCTTCCTGTGCCCAGCTATCACCAGGCCCCTGCGAGTTAGCCCACTGCAACCTGGGCGCTGTCAGTGCAGCTCAAAGCCCTCTTCAGCACACAGCATAAACAAGACCCTGTAAAATCCCCAGCAAGCCTTTGTTTCTTTGCAGTCAGCTTCTCTTGCTGATATGCCCGTTGCCTTCTCGCAATGTAGTTTCCTACTTTCACGAATAAATGTGCCTTTCTCCACCTGCAACTGTCTTGGTAAATTCTTTTACCCCTGTGCCACCGGTCCAGATAGTTGTTGCTCTCCCGTGACAGAAAATGATTAGCTTGAAGATCATGATTCCAAAAAGAGACAGTCCTGTCAGTTATTTAAGCTGACTTCATTATAGGAAGGTTTTTATAACCACATACTGCTGCTGATCATTTCCTGAGCACTGCCTACGCCAGACACGGTCCTAAATTCTTTACCACACAGTCCTATGAAGCAGAGTCATTATCACGCCCATTTGAAAGCTGGGAGGCTAGAGAGGGAGAACTTGAATAACTTGCCTGATAACATGATTGTTAAAAGACAAAGCCCAGAGACCAAGCCAGCTAACCCGACTGTGAACCTGGGGCTCTTGACCATCGTACTCTTTAATTAATAACTCTGTCAGAGAGTTTGTGTGAGAGAGCACTATTTCCACTTTATAAGTGAGGACACAGACTCAGAGATGTTAAGGATGTTCGCAAGGTCACGGCACAGGGGTTCCACCCAGTGCTGCAGGGCGGCAGAGTCCCGTCTCCCGACCTCTCCTGGGGCTGCCTGAGCTCTCAGGAGGATGACACCAATGCCCCCAAGCAGTAGGTGGGAAGGATTGCTGGAAGACAGGCAGAGGCTAGAGAGCATTACATTCCTGTGTATGTGACACAGATAGGGACTATCCACCTTAAAGGCAGAATGCAAAATAATTTTACCTTACTTCTTACCTCTTTAATTTGATTCGATGACAACTCTAATTTTTTTAAAGATGAATTGGCAAAGATATCCAGTTCTTCACTTTTTAGCGCTTGAATTTTATTGTTTGATAATAGAAGCTCTTGGAGATTTTCCAGCTGAACCTGAGTTCCTAATTTTGTAGATGACAAGCCATTATGAGACAGATCTAATGTGATTAAATTCTGAAGGGAAAAAATAATATGCATATGTTAGAGTCTTGCTGTCAAAAACAGTTCTTTTAAATGTAAGTACATCTGAAAAATACTTCAACAGCAAAATCAACACCTCTCTATTATTCTGTAGAATACTAACAGTAAGCATAATAAAAAATCTTTGATCTGATTAATCTTTGTTACGTTATAATCTTTGTGATGGTCACCCTTGCAACCATTGTAGGAAGGATTTTATTTCTTACTTCAAGAATCATTTTATTTCTCTTACCAAAATAAAAAAGACTTAAGCTTATTTATGATATAAGGAACATTGCTAATTTATGAACTTATTTATCATAACCTTTTACTTATGATGCAAGAAATTTTCACATGGCTTATCAAACACACAGTGTCATGCTTTAACCTTGAAAATAAGTATCAGAAAAAAGAACAGAATGTTTTCTTAAAAAGCATGAGAATTTTGCCATCTATGAAATTTTAAATAGATTTTTATACTGAGAAAGGGTCATATTATATAAATTTTGAGTCATGACTAGTACAGAATATTAAGTTTTGTTTGCTTTATCAGTACTGTGGGATGTTTTTATCACCCTTTGCTATTTTTGAATATGTATGCTTCAAATTCAGGCAAAAGGTAAGGGAAAGCGATACCAGTTAAGGCAAAGTCTAATGTAATCGCTGTTAACGAGAAGCAGGTTTTTTAATTTAAGTCTTTACAAAAATAACATTTTGCAATGATTTCTCTAGCCAGATTTTGAGGCCTTTGTATTCAAAGATATTTCATCCACATTAGACTCTAAGAAGACCCAAGAAAAGATTTAAAATAGCTAGGGAGCAAATCACTTTATGTTTCACAGCATATTTACATTTGTACATTATTCTTGGCATCTGAGGAAGAGCAATGTTCAATTTTTTATAAGGCCATAAAATGAAGTAACTTGAAAATCGCTTTGGTTAAAGAAAAGCACTTAATAATTGCCTCAGATTTAGAAACAATAACATGCGTTTTTTTTTTTCTGGTGCTCTAAAGCATTGTAGGGTGAATATGGTTAACTACGATTTATTGTGTATTTTTTAAAAGCTAGAAGAGCGTATTTTGAATGTTCACAACACAAATGAGAAACATTTGAGATGATGGATATGATAATTACCCTGATTTAATCATTACACATTATATACACATACTGAAAAATCATTCTCTATCTCATAAATATGTGCAATTATTAAACATCAACTAAAAAGAAAAGAAAAAAAACTAAAATTCGAGCAAAGTTTTGAAAAGAAAAAGGAATCATTGAAAAAGTGACACCACTATTGAAAAAGTCATTGAAATAGCCACTGAGGAGATTTCTGAAACCAGGAGTAGGTAATTTTTAGTTGAACAATTCACTTGATCATTGTATCAATTTGTTAATTTTATTTAAGTCAGAATTTGGACTCAAGACTTTTGTCACGACTTCACATGCTAAATCAGCAGCATTGAAAGTTTAGTTTCCATGTTCTTAGGGGATATTCTGATTCTTCTCTGTTCATTACTTCTATCTCTTGCGTCTAAGTTCTATTTCTAATGGGAGAAAGCGAGAGAGGCAAACATTGAAAATTAAGGATGAAACTGATTTAAGAGTATATTTTCTCTTTTGGAAGCATTTTCTATTATAATGGCAATATTTGTGGCAAATTGGATTAGATCAAATTTCTTCCTCTTTATTTCCTTGATATTTAGATAGTAAGTCTAAGGATGGGTAACTGACTTAAAAACATTAGTAACAATAGACATTTTCAACTTACCTTCTGCTTGACAAAGGGATTATTTTTAATTTTCTGGATTGAGTTGGACATGAGATGGAGTTCAGTCAAATTCGTGCAGAAGGCAAAGGTTTTATCAGAAAGTTGAGATAGCTCATTGTGCTGGAGGTTCAAAACTTTTAACATGGGAAGTTTCTGGCACAATTCTGGCTCCAGTTTTGAGATGGTGTTAAATCCTACATCCAAGCTAGTTAGCTGGCTATACCTTGTGAAGTTGGCGGCTGGTAATCTTCTGAGTTGATTATGGGTAAGGTTCAACACTGTTATGTTTGTGGGTAGATCATCGGGTACCTGAGTCAACTTCAGGTGGCTGCAGTCAGCAACTTCATGGCTAACAGTGCACTTGGTGGTGGAGGATGCACACAGCATCCCAAAGGGCAAAAGGCCCCCCCAAAAGTAGATACAAGGCAAAGTCTGTCTCATGATTCTGCTGTAGAAAAGAAACATTAAAAAGTATGAGCAACATTAATAGCAGATGGCTTTCAAATGCATTGGTATATTCCTTGTAAAATATATCACCAAAATATGACCATGTATGATGTTATTACTCATAGTTTTATGCCATACAAGTACATATTATACAAGTCATACATCAAACGGAAAAATGTCAAACAGTACAGAAAGGTAAAAAATAAAACATCCAAACTTCCTTCCTATCCTTCACCTTAATGCCAGTTGCAGCTGCAATGTCTCTCTTTTGATAGGTTCTATCTGTAATTCTCATGATTACCTCCATAAACTTAATATTCTTGATCTTCTATTTCTTCATTTACTCATTTCACTATAAAGATAAGGAATTTAATTATATTTTTCTCTCATTCTATTCACAACTTTTCTTTAGTTAATTTTGTTTGTTTTTGTTTCGTTTTATTTTGTTCTGTTTTGTTTTTGAGATGGAATCTGGCTCTGTCACCAGGCTGGAGTGCAATGGTGCAATCTCGGCTCACTGCAACCTTCACCTTCTGGGTTCAAGTGATTCTCCTGCCTCAGCCTCCCGAGTAGCTGGGATTACAGGCACCCGCCACCACACCTGGCTAATTTTTATATTTTTAGTAGAGACGAGGTTTCACCATGTTGGCCAGGATGGTCTCGATCTCTTGACTTCATGATCTGCCCACTTCAGCCTCCCAAAGTGCTGGGATTACAGGCGTGAGCCACCGTGCCCAGCCAGTTAATTTTTATTTTATTTTAAATAAATAAATACATTTTTCTTCACATTTCTTCCTTTCTTACATTTCCTAAAACTGTCAGCTATAACATTGCTTGACATTGTCAAGATGTGAAATGTTAGCATTTTACCCTGAAACTATGATTACATATGAGGTCCTTGGCCTACATTAATTCAGCAAATCTAAAGTCAGTAAATATTATTTACAATTTTAAAAATTATTTGTATTTATTTATTTATTTTTAGAGACAGGGTCTCACTCTGTCACCCAGGCTGGAGTACAGTGGTACTATCATGGCTCACTGCAGCTTCCAACTCTCGGGCTCAAGGGTTCCTTCCACCTCAGCCTCCCAAGTAGCTGGGACTACAGGCATGTACCACACCCGGCTAATTTTTTATTATTTTTTAAATTTTATAGAGAGATAGGGTCTTGCTATGTTGCCCAGGCTGGTCTCAAACTTTTGACATCAAGTGATCCTCCAGCCTTGGCCTCCTAAAATGCTGGGATTACAGGCATGAGCCAATGTGCCCAGCCTCAATCACAATTTTACAATCATATAAATAAATAGTCACTGCAGATCATAATGGAACTGAAAAATTCTTATCACCTACTAATCTAGCCGTCATAATATCATGGTGCAATGCATTCCTCACATGTTTGTAGTGATGCTGGTGTAAACAAACCTACTGCACTACTAGTTATATAAAATATAGCACACATAATTATTTACAGTACCTAATAGTTGATAATGATAATAAATGAATGTTACTGATTTATGTATTTACTATACTATTCTTTTTATCATAATTTTAGAGTGTACTCCTTCTACTAATTTTTTTTTAAGTTAACTGTAAAACAGCCTCAGGCAGGTCCTTCAAGAGGGATTCCAGAAGAAGGCACTGTTGTCATAAGAGATGACAGGTCCGTGCGTGTTGTGGCCCCTAAAGAGCTTCCAGTGGGACACGACGTGGTGGAAGGCAGTGACATTAATGATCCTGACTCTGAGCAGGCCTAGGCTAATGTGTGTGTTTGTGTCTTCGTTTTTAACAAAAACGTTTAAAAAGTTAAAAAAAAAGAAGAAAATTAAAAATAGAAAAAAGCTTATAAAATAAGAATACAAAGAAAATATTTTTGTATAGGTGTACAATGTGCTTGTTTTAAACCAAGCATTATTACACGAGTCAAAAAGTTTTGAAAAATTAAAACTCTTATAAAGTAAAACAGTTATAATAAGTTAATTATTACTGAAGAAAGTAAAATTTTTAAATAGGTTTAGTATAACCTAAGTGTGCAGTGTTCATAAAGTCTGCAGTGGTGCACAGTCATGTCCGAGGCCTCCACATCCACTTCCCTTCTCACTCACAGACTCACCCAGAGCCACTCCCAGTACTGCAAGCTCCACTCGTGGTAAGTGCCCTATGGAAGTGCCATTTGTAACCTTTTGTACCACATTTTCACTTACCTTTTCTATGTTTAGATACACAAGTACTTCCCATTGTGTTACAATTGCCTCCAGTATTCAGTGCAGTCACACGCCGGCTGTCTGGTTTTGCAGGCTGGGCGCCACAGGCTGTACTACCTAGTTCTGTGTAAGCACTCCCTGTGACGTTCCCACAAGGATGAAGTCCCCTCACGATGCATTTCTCAGAACATATCCCCATGATTAAGTGCCACATGACTGTGTTCTATTTCTTTGGGGTAAATAACTAGGATTGGAATGCCTGGGCCATTTGGTGAGGCCATTTGGTTTTACAGGAAACTGCCAGATCCTTTGGGAAAGTGTTGCACCACCAACTTTCCTGACAACATTTGGTACCTATTTTTATTATTATTTTTAATCATTCTGCTGAACATATAGTGATAGCTAATTATGGTTTTCATTTGCATTTCCCTGCCGACTAACGATATTTAACAATTTTCATGTGCTTATTGTTCATTTATCTTCCCTTATATGTTCAAATATTTTGCTCATCTATTAGATTGTTTCCTGTTTATTATTGTGTTGTAGGAATTTTTTATGTATCTGAGTGTCAGTCCTTCGTCAGATTCCTATTTTGTAAATATTTATTCCCAGTGTGTGAGTTGCCTATTTATTTTCTTACTGATGTCTTCTTAATTATGATGAAATCTAGTTTATCATCTTCTCTTTTATTTTTATCATTTCTGTGTCTCCTCTAAGAAATTTTCCTACTCCCATTACTTAGATACTCTCCTCTAAAAAGCTTTATGGTGTTAGCTTCTATGTGAAGGTGTGTGACCTCTCCTAAGTTAATTGTTGTGTATGCATGAAGTAGGAGTCATGGTTTTTTGTGTGTATATCCAGTCAGTCAGATCTTGTTTTTTGTTTTTTTTTTGAGATGGAGTCTCACTCTGTCACCCAGGCTGGAGTGCAGTGGTGCCATCTTGGCTCACTGCAGTCTCCACCTCCTGGGTTCAAGTGATTCTCCTGCCTCAGGCTCCCGAGTAGCTGGGACTACAGGCACGCGCCACCATGCCTGGCTAATTTTTATATTTGTAGTAGAGACAGGGTTTCACCATGTTGGCCAGGCTGGTCTTGAACTCCTGACCTCAGGTAATCCATCCACCTCGGCCTCCCAAAGTGCTGGGATTATAGGGGTGAGCCACCACGCCTGGTCCAGTCAGACCATTTTTTAAAGAGACTTCTTTCCCCCACCGGATTGTTCTGTGCTTTCCTTAGAAACCGAGTAAATGTTTTAAGCGAGGGTCTATTTCTGGGCTGTCTACTCTCTTCCACTGAAATATTTGTTAGTTCTTAGGCCAATACCACATTGTTCGGATTACTTTAGCTTTACAACAAGTCT
The DNA here is from genome assembly GCF_000001405.40 of Homo sapiens. Lineage (NCBI taxonomy): Eukaryota > Metazoa > Chordata > Mammalia > Primates > Hominidae > Homo > Homo sapiens. The sequence continues at coordinate 186,073,051 of NC_000004.12, read as the reverse complement.
TGAAGTTCAGTGAGCGAAACCTCCCATCTTGCTCTTCTTCTAGATTGCCTTTTCCGTTGCTATGGTTGATGGAAATTATCCAATATTGTGTATTATTTATTATTAATTATTGCTTCTCACTAGAATGTGAAGCTATAATAGTAGAGGACATAGTTCTTATTCCATACGGTGTTGTCTGTGCCTAGAACAAGACCTGGCACTTTGTTGGCTCTGAAGAAATAAATATATGTTGAATACATAGCCGATATGGTTTGCCTCTGCGTCTCCACCCACACCACACGTTGAATTGTAATTCCCAGTGTTGGAGGTGGGGGCTGGTGGGAGGTGACTGGCTCATGGGGCAGAGTTCTCACAGATGGTTCAGCACCACCCCCTCGGTGCTGTTCTCCCGATAGTGAGTGAGTGAATTCTTATGAGATTCGGTCGTTTAAAAGTGTGTGGTGGTTGGGCGCAGTGGCTCACGCCTGTAACCCCAGCACTTGGGAGGCCAAGGTGGGCAGATCACCTGAGGTCAGGAGTTTGAGACCAGCCTGGCCAACATGGTGTAACCGTGTCTCTACTAAATACAAAAATTAGCTGGGTGTGGTGGTGGGTGCCTGTAATCCCAGCTACTGGGAAGGCCGAGGCAGGAGAATCGCTTGAACTAGGGAAGCGGAGGCTGCAGTGAGCCGAGATCCCACCACATGCACTCCAGCCTGGGTGACAAAGTGAGACTTCGCCCCCACTCCCCCCAAAATAAATAATAAAAAAATAAAAGTGTGTGGCACCTTCCCCTTCTCTCTTCTTCCTGCTCCGGCTATGTGAAGGTGCCAGCTCTGGCTTTGCCTTCTGTGGTGGGTGAAAGCTCCTTGAGGCTCCTCCAGAAGCAGAGGCTGCTATGCTGCCTGCACCACTTGCAGAACCATCAGCCAATTGAACCTCTTTCTTTATAAATGACCAGTCTCAGGTATTTCTGTAGAGCAATGTGAGAATGCACTCATACAATAGCTTTCCATGGGCATTTAGTCAGCTCAGGAAAGCCACTCAACTCCATACATTGTCACACTTTATTTTGGTGGGATGTGTACCCAGTGTGATACTCTGTGGTGTGATCAACAACCAAATTTCAGATATTTTAAAAAATCAAATACACCCACAAGGTATGGAGATGAAGCAGTGGTAATGATATCTAAATAGATATTCCACAAGATCTAAAAGTCATGACATGAAAATTATTCCAGGTAAGTGTCAGGTAATAAAATCACCTTAGGTGACTAATCCTAGGAAAACAGAACTAATGTGAGTATATAGAATTGTTCTAATATACTTAAAAATAGCGATTTTACTAATATTCTAATTTAGTTCTCAGAAACAGAAAAAACAACAAAAAAAACTGGCTTCCATAAACTAATATTCCCATCTCATGGCCTTTACAACTCTGGCACTAATCATTGTAAAGCTGTGCACATTCTTTATATCCACAGGCCATGAGGAATGCCACAGCTAGGCCAGCAAGGATGCATTTGCTGACTTGCCCAGGCACGTGAAGGATGCAGGGCTGGCAATGATACCTCTCAAATGCTGGGGACCAGCTCCCCACCTGCCCCCTCTCTGAGAGTGTCCCAAACCTCTCTTCCAGTTCCTTCAGAACTTCCTATCTCTATTTACCAACTCATAGGTAAGGTCCCTACAATACATTCTCCTTGCTTAGGTGAGATGTACCCCTCTGGTAGGGCTCCTGCTATAGGTCAGAATTGCTGAGAAGGACTAATCCATTACAAAGCATATCCCTGAATGACTTAAGGACTTGCCCCATCTGAAGACATTTCATCAGTGGGCAAAACTCACCAAATGCTAGGCAGGAGGAGTGAAAGAGGAACAAACTTGGAGAGACTCCTATGAAATTTCAGAATTGCAACCATGCACACAAAAATCCTAAAACCTTCATTTCCAAAGAAAAGAGATCTTGATTAATAAAAAACTTTTCATCAGTAACATGAACCACTGGAAAACAATAGAGATAAGCTTTCCAAACATTTAGAGAAAATTATTTTGAATTTAAAATTTCATATCCAGGCAAAGCATAGTGGCTCATCCCCACAATCCCGGCACTTTAGAAGGTGTAGGCAGAAGGAGATCAGGAGCTCAACACCAGCCTGGGCAACATAGTGAGACCCCGTATCTACAAAAATATTTTAGAAAGTAGCCAAGTGTGGTGGCACAAGCCTGTAGTTCCAGCTACTTGGGAGGCTGAGGCAGGAGGATCGCTTGAGCCCAGGAGGTTAAGGCTGCAATGAATCATGATCACACCACTGCACTCCAGCCTGGGCAACAGAGCAAGACCTTACCTCTAAAAAACAAGAAAATTACCTTTGACCAGGCCAAGAAAATTACCTGTGGCTCATGCCTGTAATCCCATCACTTTAGGAAGCTGAGGCTGGAGGATCCCTTGAGCCTAGGAGTTTGGGACCAGCCTGGGCAACACAGGGAAACCTCATCTCCACCAAAATTTTTTTTTAAATTAGCTGGCCATAGTGGTTCACACCTGTGGTCCCAGCTACTCGTGACACTGAGGTGTGAGAATTGCTTGAGCCAGGGAGGTCAAGGCTGCAGTGAGCCACGATCATGCCACTGTACTTCAGCCTGGGCAACACAGCGAGACCTTGTCTCTAAATCGATAAATGAAATAAAATGAAATAAAATAAAATAAAATAAGATAGGGAAATTTCACATCCATCTGAATAACTAAATAAAAAGGTATAAGTATTTTGAGATATGCAAAAATTCAGTAAGTTTATAGCCATACGATCTGTATGAAAAGGTTATTCTAGGACATGCTTCAGTAAAACAAGCAAAAATGCAGTTAAAGGATGAAATGAGAGTGAAGAAAACGTTGCTGTTGAATGAGATCTAGCAGAAATAAAGAAAATGAAAAAAAATTAAAAAGAGACTCACTCAGCCTTAGAATTTTGGAAATATTTTGTGAGGGCACATGGAATTCACATTCTTTGTCCAAGTGAGAGACAATATTGCCTGATGGTTAGGACATGGGGTCTGGAGGCAGACTACCTGGAGTTAACCACTATCCATAGTTTGATTTGTAAACTTTGCAACCTTTGTAGTAGGTTCATACACAGGCACGCCCATATGAAGACACATACCAGCACGTAATCATCTGTAAACCTGGGAATCAACTTGCTGAAGCCAACTCCATTTTTACCCGAGTACCCCACAATTGCCGATACCAGTTTCTGATCTTCCCATACACCTTAACAACTTTCCACTTCTCCACTTCTTCCATTATCCTTCATTAGGTGAAAGAAAGCCATTTACTTACTCCTAGGCATACCTGAATGTTCTCTCCTATCTAAGACATTGTCATACAATGCCAGCTCCTGTCTCCCCTCCAGCCAATAAAACTAACAAAAGGGGATACGCTCTTTTAACCTCTTGGAGTTTTGTTTCTTTAAGGCAAAGATGTGATTTGCTAAAAAGACTGTTGCAAAATGATTTCCATAGCTTCCCTAATGTGTTTTTTCCAGGTACAGAATGCTACAGAGAAAAAAATTAAATACTGCATAAATACATTATCACATTAACTAGATATTGGTGCTATTACTTGTGTTCTGAGTTATACCCTTCTCCCATGCCCATATCATATCCCTTTTCTTCCACTTTCCTTCCTGAATAATTCTGACTAGATTTCAAGCACCAGATCAAAGAAAGACCAAAGAAGGCTAAAACCACATGCATTCTGCTAGCAAACTCTACTCAGCAAGAGAGACCCTGCCCAGTAAGAACGTGAAATGAACACCTTCACTTACTTGGATGACTGCTAGCCTTTCCTTTTTTCTTTAGTCCAAATCCAGACATTTCATCAGGGAAGTGTGTGGCAAATAGACGGCACTCTCGAAAGTGAAAGTAAAGCTTGAAAAAAAATGCTTTTATGTTTGGTGCATTCCAAGAAGGGCAAAGGGAGAAAACAAAAACAATCTCTGACAACCTCAGAGAGGCGTTTCAAACCGCCTCTGAAAAACACCTAGTTTTTATTTTATTTTAACTTTTTTTAAGCTGAGATCCTTGGATTTCATTGAAAGGGTCACAGATTTAGCAACAGCTAAAGTTGAAAGTGGGGACCTCACCATTTGATGTGGGCGGGTCTGGACCTCTGCAAGTTAAGGAATAACAGTGAATCCCTCAATTTTCTGCTAGACTCATGCGAAGCTGTCAGAATTGAGTAGTGTATGGTCACAGGGACAGAAAAAAAAATCCCTAATCAAAGCTGAAGTACTTTCCCTTCTTTCGTCTGGCTTTTATCTCTTTGCAACACTGTAAAATAACACCGGCAGAAATTAACCTCTTGATCCAGGAAGAAACTGAGTTTCACAGCAGAGAAAGAGCCAAACATGGCAAAGCTGAGAGCCAGTCCCACTCCTGCTGATCCACTTTTCCACGGTCAGACGCGTTAGGGAACAGATCAGTATGCCCAGAAAAGTTCAGATTAACTAAGAATTTCGTTCTTAATTTGCTTTAATGACTCCAACTAGTTAAGTAAATGTACTTGTTAAGAAATGAACTCACTTTTTTTCATTACAGATGTGCTATGATCTATTATAACTATATTGTTATATAGTGAAATATCACAATTGGAAGGAACTATAGACCACCTAATCTAACTCCCTTGTTTGAGAAATTAGGAAAACGAAACCTAGGGAGGTGAGTGGTTTGCCTAAGAACATGCCACAAGCCACCATATGCTTCAATCACACAAGTCATAAAACAACTGGACGGCTGGGACATGGCATTAGCTTGAACTCATTGCAGAGCTGATGGCAAGAAACAAGCGTGCATCATGGTGCAAAGTGCCCTCTTGTGGGCTCCAGCTTCAGCTAGACCGCTTTATAGTTACTGGGCTCAGGGCTACATGTCTCTGATTTTCATTTGTGACATCTGTAACATAACACCATAAGCAAACAGATGTCCTGAGTACGTGACTGTCCCTCACATCTATCCATTGGGATGTCCAGGAAAACTTCACTAATATTCAAAAGATTTCTTCTCTGTGAGCGCCTTGAAGGCAGGGTGAGGTTTATTCTTTGCATTATAGCTCCCCAGCAACCCTCTGAGGTAGACTGTTTCTTTGGCCTTCAATGAAAGAGACTCGTCCTCAGAATTCAAACCCTTGTGTGGCCTTCTCCCACGCTGACTCTAGGCTTGGCCATTTGACTAGCTTTGACCAGTGGGATATTAGCAAGCATGCAACAAGGTCTCATTGCCAAACACGATTACCCAGGCTTGAGAAGCAAGCAAATAAATGATTGTTGTTTTAAATTTAAAAAAATTGGAATGGTGTCATATGCATTATTAGCGAAATAAAACACATCATCTCAACAATCCTTCATACCTATCCCTTATGCCTTATGACTCCTTATACAGATTAAATTTCCCACGACTTTGGTTGACTAATGAATGGCTCTCGATAAATAAATTTTATTGATGGTCTCCTGATGCAGTAGTTTGGGCTTAATACCAGTTCATATTCAGATATTATTAGTCCTTAATTCTTGCTAGTTTCTAAATACAACACAGATTGTTTTCTCTCTACTGTACATTTCTTAACTATGTGCATTAACTTATTTAGCTATGATGGTGATTGGAGCAATAGTGAAAAACCTCATTTTTCCCCTTTTTAAAAGAATTAAGGCTGGGAGCAGTGGATCATGCCTGTAATCCCAACACTTTAGGAGATTGCTTGAGCCTAGGAGTTCAAGACCAACCTGGGCAACGTGGTAAAACTCCATCTCTACAAAAATTACAAAAATTAGCTGGGCATGTTGGTGCATGCCTATAGTCTCAGCTACTTGGGAGGCTGAGGTGGGAGGATCACTTGAGTCCAGGCAAATTCAAGTTTGCATTGAGTCATGAGTGCGCCACTGCACTCCAGCCTGGGTAACAGAGGGAGACCCTGTCTCAAAAAAAGAGAGAGAGAGAATTAAAAAAAAATGTATGCCCATAAATGTAAAATAACAAATTTAGTAAACACTGATATTTCACAGCATTACAGATCAGCCAATCTCAGAATAATGGGAAGCTGTATATTCCCAGCAAAACAGAGATCTACAGAATTCTAGAAGCCAAAGTCCCTTAAATTTATTCACATTCTAAAAACTCTAAGTTCCCTTCTTCCATTTGAGGGGCCTCTTTAATGAGAGTTTAGTAAGATAATATACACAAAATTTCTGGAAGAATCACTTGACAAAACACAGCAAGTTACAGAGACCGGAGTGACAAGCCAGATATAATTAGCAAATTACCACTCACATGCTGAACTACACAGACACTGTTCTTCTCTGCCCGTTCCTAATAACAATTCTTAATAAAACAGCCGTTTTTATTTTTTTTAATCTTTTTTTTCCTGAGACAGAGTCTTGCTCTGTCACCCAGGCTGTAATTCAGTGGCGCGATCTCAGCTCACTGCAAGCTCCGCCTACCGGGTTCAAGTAATTCTCCTGCCTCAGCCTCCAGAGTAGCTAGCTGGGACTACAGGCACGTGCCACGACGCCCGGCTAATTTTTTGTATTTTTGGTAGAGACGAGGTTTCACCGTGTTAGCCAGGATGGTCTCGATCTCCTTACCTCGTGATCCACCCACCTTGGCCTCCCAAAGTGCTGTGATTACAGGCGTGAGCCACTGCGCCCGGCCAATTACAACCATTTTACCTATAGACAAAGATAGTGTATAGTCTGTAGGCAGTCTAGTCAATTCATTATAAGATTTATAAGGGAAAGTTTATCATTTTCATTATCATCATTATCAGCACCTACAATACTGAGGCTTTACGGAACCATCTTTACAATCTCCCGAATGAATGAATTTAGACATGAGGATTGTGTCACCGCAGTTTCTAACCACAAATATAGAGAATTGAAATTGTGGGGCAAACAGAAGACTCTCCTCTCAATGCATGTATGTGAAAAGGCAGATTAGTACTGAACAATACAATAATTACACTCTGTGAGGGCCAAATATAGAGAGAACTAATTGCTCAGTAATACTTAACATTTGTGCCAGCAATGAATATCCAATTATGAGTGAGCTGTTGGGTATTTGAGGCAATATCATGCATAGGTTTAATTTAAACGGGCTCTTAGAGTCTCAGAAGTAAACCTTTATTCATGGTGTTAAAGTACATTAAAATGGAGACCAGGCCAGAAGAATCCATGAACATACCAAACCAGCAAGGGCTCATAAGCGACCTCGACCTTGCTTGATCTGCAAACATAAGTGACATACGCAAACATAATAACTTGAGCACTATATCTTGTAAATGCCTATATTAAAGAAAACGTAAACACAACCAATCAGAAGCAGCCAACAAACTTATATAACTAAGGACTTTCCAATGAGATAGACCAAATAAGGTAGCTGTATAACTGTAAACAGTCAAGCGCTGTCTTTGCTCTACTTCTGTCTCTGTCCTGAAAAAGCCTTCTCTTGTGTTCCCTTGGTGGAGCTCCCCAACCACTTCTGGTTCATGAATCATTGCTGGTTCAGAAGCACTGTAAAACTGTATTGTGCCTCAGTTTACTTTTTTATTTGTATAGATTTATGGGAGTACTAGTGCCATTTTGTTCCATGCGTAGATTGCATAGTGATGGAGTCAGGGTCTTTAGGGTATTCATCACCCAAATAACATATATTGTGCCATTAGTATCAGTTTACTTTTTAAGAATAGGAACAAGGAGATTGGACCAACCAATGTTCTCTGGGTTGGCAGGAAGCCAAAGTAAGGCTAGACCTTTTCATCATTCAAACTTCTCATGGGTATGTAATGCGATGAATATATTATGAACCTAAACAAATGGTTAAATTCCCTGAGAGCACCAGATAGACAGTCATTGTGAACTGCACTCAACTGGTCCCTTCACAGCCCCCATTCAGAAAGGACATGGTTCTGATCTGTATTGGCTGAAATTCTAGGAAGCATTTCTTTTCTTTCTGAATCCTTTCTCTAAAGTGAAGATACAGTTCCTCTTACCAGTGTCACTTCTATTTCTGCTCACTGAGCTTTCGCTAGTTTGAACTAGGCTCAACCAAAGACCCCAGCAACAACTTTAAGAGAGAAAATAACAAATGTCCCTCTCCCTACTCTCGCTCATGTCCACTGAGCAGTATTGAAGTTGAATTTCCCCTCTGAAAAAGAAACCAATGTTTGCCACAGAGAGCTTCTGGTTTAATCTAAACTTTTTTTTTTTTTTTTTTTTTTTTTTTGAGGTGGAGTCTCACTCTGTCTCTCAGGCTGGAGTGCACTGGCACGATCTCAGCTCACTGCAACCTCTGCCTTCCCGGTTCAAACAATTCCTGCCTCAGCCTCCTGAGTAGCTGGCACTACAGGTCCCTGCCACCACACCTGGCCAATTTTTGTATTTTTAGTAGAAACGGGGTTTCACCATGTTAGCCAAGGTGGTCTCGATCTCCTGATCTTGTGATCCACTCACCTCGGCCTCTCAAAGTGCTGGGATTACAGGCGTGAGCCACCGCGCCCAGCCTAACCTAAACTTTTATTTATTTATTGTATTTTTTGTAATTTTACAAGGTAGTTGAAAGTGATACTTTTTTTTTAATGTCATGAGATATGCACTGTTTTATTCCTTCATTTTAAGCCACTCTATCGAGGTATGATCGATATACAAAAAGCTGTGAATATTTAATATATATAACTTGATGAGCTTGAAGACAAGTATACTTCTGTGAAACCATCACCACAATCCATACCATAAACATATCCATCACTTCCAAAAGTTTCCCTTTATTCTATTCATTTATTATTATTTTTGTGATATATCACAACATGAAATTACCTTTTTGGCAAATTTTTAAATATATAATACAGCATTGTTAACTATAGGCACTAAACTGTACAGTAGATCTCTAGGGCTTACTCATATTGTATAAGCTGGACTTGGTGCCCTTTGACTAATACCTCTCTGTTTATGCCTCCTCCCAGCCCCTGACAGCCACCATGTCACTCCCTCCTTCTATGAGTTTGACTATTCCAGATTCATCATATAAATGATATCATGTAGCATCCTTCTGTCCTTCTGCATCTGGCTTATTTCACTCAGCGTAACATTCTCTGGGTTCATCCATGTCGTCACAAATGGCAGAACTTCCTTTTGTAAGGTAGAATAATATTCCATTGTATGTGTATGCCATATTTTCTTTATCCATTCATCCATCAATGGGCATATAGGTTGCTTCCATGTTTTAGCTATTGTGAAGGCAATAGCATTGAAAAGAATAAAATACTTAAGAAAAAACTTAAAGAAGTGAAAGACTTGAACACTGAAAACTATAAAACATTGATGGAAGACATTAAAACAGACACAAGTAAATGTAAAGACATCCTGTGTTCATGGATTAGAAGAATTAATATTATTAAAATGTCCATACTACTCAAAGTGGCCTACACATTCAAACATAATCTCTATCAAAATCTCAATGGCATTTTTATAGAAATAGAAAATTTTCCTAAAATGTATTTGAAACCACAAAAGACCCCAAATAGCCAAAGCAATCTTGAGCAAGAACAAAGCTGAAGGCATAAAATGTCCTGATTTCAAAGTATGTGACAAGGCTACAGTAATCGAGACAGTATGGTACTGGCTTAAAAACAGACTAATGGAACAGACTAGAGAGCCCATAAATAAACCCATGCATAGATGGTCAAGTTCTTTGACAGGGCTGCCAAGAACACACAACAGAGGACAGGATAGTCTCTCCAGTAAATGGTGTTGGAAAGCTCAGTATCCATATGCAAAAGAATAAAATTGAACCCTGTCTTACACCATACACAAAAAATCCACTCAAATTAGTTTAAATACCTAAACATGAGATGTGAAACTGTAAAACTCTTAGAAGAAACACAGAGGAAAAAGCTTCTTGACATTGGCCTTGGCCAGTGATTTTTTTGGATATGACACCAAAAACCCACGCAACACAAGCAAAAATAGAAAAGTGGTAACATCTTGTTGTTTCTTATAAATCTATGAAATGGATTTAGGTGAATGGGGTCTCTCCTTTATTAACAATGTTATGACACGGCTGTTCAGTCCCTAGGCCCTGAATTCAATATTTATTTATTAAAATCAAAAGTAAAATTATAGATACAACTTCACTATCATCCTCCATTTAAAATATCCTAATTAAATCCACTAGGCTTCTAATAAATGGAAACACAAATGTCTGACAAAACTTCTAAGTGATCACAGAAGGAAGTCTGAAGTATCAAAAGCAAGCCATAACTTACCATAATCCGATTGAATTGGTTATTGGAGAGTTTATGATCATGCAAATTGACCTCCATTTTATAATGCAAATTTTAAATCAACAGGAGAAATTAAAAGAAAGCCCAGAGTTGGAAGGGATGCTGTTGCTTTTGAACATGCCTCTTGCTTTTCACCTAAGAGTAACCTTTATCTGTATCATGGGATGATCTTATAATAAGAATATGAGAGCTGGTCCCTAAAAAGTAGGAAGTAAAAGTGGAAAGAACTGGGGAGAGGGAAGCCTTACTATCATAAATATTTGTTGATAAAATAGGTAAATCCAAAACTCAAAAAGAAACCTCTAATATAGTTTACAGCATGTATAGAATGCCTAGTCTTATTCTTTATCTAGAAATAGGACTGTTTAAGAGGTGAGTGTATACTTTAAAGTCATCAAAAAAAAGTAGCATTTCTTTTTCTTTAAATTAGCTGTTTATGTCATTTACTTGATTTTTATATTTTTATTATGGATTTGTAAGAGGTTTTATGGACATTACCGAAATTAGCTTTGGTCTAAGTGTGTTGCTAATTTTGCTTGATCTATTGTTTGCTTTTGGTTTTTCAAAGTGATAGTCTTAACTAGTCAAAACTTCCTCAAAGGATTGACATCAGCAAAATGGCAGACTAGGAAGTTTCAATTCCTCATTTCCCCATGGAACTATCATAAAATGACCAGAAAATTGCTGAACAAATCTTAGAGTAGCTCTGGAAAACAAAGGTCTACAACAACCACGTAAATACCTAATAAAAAATTCACCTTAAAAATGTAGGAAATTGTATGGCATTTTTCGTTACCCCTGCCCCACTCCGTCCTTGGCTCAGCATGGTCATGTTCTAGAGGAGGCAGCAGCTCAGCTTCTGGTTATCTCTTTTTGCCTCTCTGCAAAAGCTGAGAGAGGTGGCTGTTTATTCAAGTATTTAAGTGCCAACAAAAAATCATAGGGTACACAAAGAAGCAGTAAAACATGGTCCAATCAAAGGAAAATGTAAATCTCCAGATAATATCCCTAGAAAGCATGTATATTGGACCTACTAGACAAAGACTTTAAAATAGCTGTCTTGAATATGCTCAAAGACCTAAAGAAAAACACAAAGAACCAAAGAAAATGAGGACTACAATGAACGGACAAAATAAGAATGTCAGCAGAGACCACAGCAGTGGCCCATGCCTATAATCCCAGCACTTTGGGAGGCCGAGGTGGGCTGATCACTTGAGGTCAGGACTTTGATACCAGCCTGGCCAAAATGGTGAAACCCTGTCTCTACTAAAAATACAAAAATTAGCTGGGCATAGTGGCACGCACCTGTAATCCCAGCTACTTGGGAGGCTGAGGTGGGAGAATCACTTGAACCTGGGAGGCAGAGGTTGCAGCGAGCCGAGATCGCACCGCTACACTCCAGCCTGGGTGACAGAGCAAAACTCTGTCTCAAAAAAAAAAAAAAGTCAGCAGAGAAGTTGAAATTATATATATATATATATTTTTATATATATATATATATTATGCAGCTGAAAAATACAACTGAATTGAAAAATTTACTAGAGGGATTTCAACTGCAGATTTCAGAAAGCAGAAGAAAGAATCAGTAAATTTAAAGGCAAGACAATTAAAATTATTGAGTCTGAGGAGCAAAACAGGAAAGAAAAAAAAGAATAAACAAAAGGGAATAGAGTCTCATGGCCTTATGAAACACTGGCAAGCAGGCCACTATAGGCATTAGGGGAGTTTCAGAAAAAGAAGAGACACAGAACGGGGCAAGGAGGTGGTGTGAAGAAGTATGGTCCCAAATTTCACAGATGTGATGAAATACACGAGTCTAAAAATCCAAGAAGCCCAATGAACTTTAGGTAAGATGAACCTAAAGAGACTCACACTGAGACACATTATAATCAAAATAAAAGTCTAAGACACACATAATCTTGAAAGCGGCAAGAGAGAAGTTACTCACAACATACAAAAGATCCTCAGTAAAATTATTGGTGGATTTGTTAGTAAAAACCTTTGAGGCCAGAATGCAGTGAGGTGATATATTTAAAGTGCTGAAAGAAAAAAAAAAATCTGTCAATCATGAATTCTATATCTGGCAAAACTGTCTTTCAAAAATGAAGGAGAAATTAAGACATTCCCAGATAAGGAAAAGTGGAGGGAGTTCATTATCACTAGATCTGCCCTACAAGACATGCTAAAGACTAGGGATCCTTTAGATTAAAATAAAATCATTCTAGATGGTAATTCAAAGCCATATAAAGACATAAAGATCTTCAGTAAGCTTAGGCACATGGTTAAAAAAGAAACGTTTTATTATAATTTTGGTTTGTAACTTCACTTTTTTCTTTTCTGGAGAATTTAAAAGATAAATGCATAAAAATAATTATAAATCTATGTTAGTTGAGTACATGTTGTATAAAGACGTACTCTGGACATAAATAGCATAAAGTCACAGGAGGTGGAGATATTTATAAGTCCACTTGTGTGCAATTAAAGTTAAATTGGTATCAATTCAAATTAAATTGGTATGCCTTTAAAATGTTGCATGCAATTCCCACGATAACCACAAAGAAACTGCTGATAATATAGCTAACCAGATAATTCTAACCAGAATAATTCTAACCAGAAAGGAAAAAGAGGCATTAAAACGGATTCTATTTTTTAAAAATGTATTATAAGAGTACTGTGAAGAACCATATGCCAACAAATTGGATAATGTCAGTGAAATGGCCAAATCCTTAGAAACACACAACCTACCAAGACCGAAACATGAAGCCATAGAAAATCTGAATAGACCTATAACTAGTAAGGAGTTTGAATCAGTAACCAAAGCATTCCAACAACAAGATCTCTGAACTAGATGGCTTACTGATGAATTCTACCACACGTTTGAAAAATTAGCACCAACCTTTGTCAAACCTTTCCAAAAAATGGGAGACAAAGGAACACTTCTAACTTATTTGATGAGGCCAGCATCACCCTACTACCAAAGCCAAAGTCACCACAAGAAAAGAAAATTATAGGCCAGTATCCCTTATAAATACCGATATAAATATCTTTAACAAAATGCTAGCAACATATTTAACAGACTATACATCATGACCAAGTGGGATTTATTCCCGGAATGCCTTGATGGTTCAACAAACAAAGATTAATCGAGGTAATATTCCACATTGACAGAATGAGAAAGAAAGCCACATGATCGGCCCAGCACGGTGGCTCACGCCTGTAATCCCAGCATTTTGAGAGGCCAACTCGGGTGGATCACCTGAGGTCAGGTGTTTGAGACCAGCCTGGCCAACATGGTGAAACCCCGTTTCTACTAAAAATACAAAAATTAGCCTGGTGTGTTGGTGGGTGCCTGTAGTCCCAGCTACTTGGGAGGCTGAGGCAGGAGAATTGCTTGAACCCGGGAGGTGGAGGTTGCAGTGAGCTGAGATCGTGCCACTGCACTCCAGCCTGGGCAACAGAGCAAGACTCTGCCTCAAAAAAAATGCTACCAATAATAATAATAATAAATAAAAACAAAAACACATGATCATCTCATATGATGCAGAAAAAGCATTTGCTCCTGTTAAAAACCCTTTTATGATACAAATACTCAACTCTTTTATATGATTTAAAGATTGTTTTGATGACAGGGCAAAAAACAATGACTCCCAGATAGGTGAAAAGCAGAATTATTTGTTACTTACAGTTCCAAATAGAGAAGGCTGCCAGGCAGGGCCACGCAGGGGATTGAGCCTAGGCCGGGTTAACGGCAACCTGGAGATGTGGGAAGCAGTGTGCGTATGGCAAGCTGGGTGGAGCTGGCTAGATTCTGTGGGTTTCCTGTGGGTTGGCTATTTGAATACTTTCAGAGGGCTCTGGGGGATAGGGGCTGTCCCTTGTGCTATGGTAACTGGCCCTAAGGTGATTCGGGTGGCTGTGTAGTGGCCTGCAGCGTGAGAGCCCTGTAAGGGAAGTGGTTCAGTTGTGGACTTAATCACCTCCTCGATGAGGGGAGCTGACCAGCCTCTGACCAGCTTCTCACAACTGGGTCAGGACAGATTTTTAAAAAGCTGTATTACAGTTGACTCCTTGATGCCTTGATCTCAGTTTTAAGCCTAGTTTTTTTTTGGTGGGTGTGTTGGGGGAGGTACTTGAGTAGCCCAAATAATAGAGATTTCCAGAGAGTAGGGCATAAGTTGTCTTAGACAGCATAGAAAACAACTTATTATGAGAGTCAAAAAGAGAAAAACAGGGAAAAGTATATAGAGCCCCTGAAGGCTGGCTCATAACCAAGTTCCCTATTCATAATTGTCAAGAACGCAGACCTGAAATCCCCAGGGTCTCTAACAATATCTTGGTGGAGTTGTAACATATGTTCAAAGTATGAGTTATATTTTTATGACCGTAACACCTTGGTGTATTTCTTGGGTCAAGATGGCAGGTCTAGCAGTTATGTTGGGGGAAAATATGAATTAATCACTTAGTAAGAGACAAGTAAAGACTAATGGCATTTGTAACCAAAGGAAAGGAGTAGCTGTGGTGGTCACGGTCAAACACGCAGGGCAGGAGGTTGTGGTGGATGGTGGGAGGTGGATAGCTGGAGGTGGATGGCGGGAGGTGGATATCTGGGTGTGGATGGCTGGAGGTGGGTGGCTGGAGGTGGATGACTGAAGGTGAATGACTGAAGGTGGATGGCTGGAGGTGGATGGCGGGAGGTGGATAGCTGGAGGTGGGTGGTTGGGGGTGGATGACTGAAGGTGGATGACTGAAGGTGGATAGCGGGAGGTGGATGGCGGGAGGTGGGTGGTGGGAGGTGGGTGGCGGGAGGTGGGTGGCTGGAGGTGGATGGCGGGAGGTGGGTGGCTGGAGGTGGATGGCGGGAGGTGGGTGGCGGGAGGTGGGTGGCGGGAGGTGGATGGCTGGGGGTGGATGGCGGGAGGTGGATGGCGGGAGGTGGATGGCGGGAGGTGGATGGCTGGGGGTGGATGGCGGGAGGTGGATGGCTGGGGGTGGATGGCTGGGGGTGGATGGCGGGAGGTGGATGGCTGGGGGTGGATGGCTGGGGGTGGATGGCGGGAGGTGGGAGGTGGATGGCGGGAGGTGGATGGCGGGAGGTGGATGGCTGGGGGTGGATGGCGGGGGGTGGATGGCGGGGGGTGGATGGCGGGAGGTGGATGGCGGGAGGTGGATGGCTGGGGGTGGATGGCTGGGAGTGGATGGCGGGAGGTGGATGGCTGGGGGTGGATGGCTGGGGGTGGATGGCGGGAGGTGGATGGCTGGGGGTGGATGGCTGGGGGTGGATGGCGGGAGGTGGGAGGTGGATGGCGGGAGGTGGGAGGTGGATGGCGGGAGGTGGGAGGTGGATGGCGGGAGGTGGGAGGTGGATGGCGGGAGGTGGATGGCTGGGGGTGGATGGCGGGGGGTGGATGGCGGGGGGTGGATGGCGGGGGGTGGATGGCGGGAGGTGGATGGCGGGAGGTGGATGGCGGGAGGTGGATGGCGGGAGGTGGATGGCTGGGGGTGGATGGCTGGGGGTGGATGGCGGGAGGTGGATGGCTGGGGGTGGATGGCTGGGGGTGGATGGCGGGAGGTGGGAGGTGGATGGCGGGAGGTGGATGGCGGGAGGTGGATGGCTGGGGGTGGATGGCGGGGGGTGGATGGCGGGAGGTGGATGGCGGGAGGTGGATGGCGGGAGGTGGATGGCTGGGGGTGGATGGCTGGGGGTGGATGGTGGGAGGTGGGAGGTGGATGGCGGGAGGTGGATGGCGGGAGGTGGATGGCGGGAGGTGGATGGCTGGGGGTGGATGGCGGGGGGTGGATGGCGGGGGGTGGATGGCGGGAGGTGGATGGCGGGAGGTGGATGGCTGGGGGTGGATGGCTGGGGGTGGATGGCGGGAGGTGGATGGCTGGGGGTGGATGGCTGGGGGTGGATGGCGGGAGGTGGATGGCTGGGGGTGGATGGCTGGGGGTGGATGGCGGGAGGTGGGAGGTGGATGGCGGGAGGTGGGAGGTGGATGGCGGGAGGTGGGAGGTGGATGGCGGGAGGTGGATGGCGGGAGGTGGATGGCGGGGGGTGGATGGCGGGGGGTGGATGGCGGGGGGTGGATGGCGGGAGGTGGATGGCGGGAGGTGGATGGCGGGAGGTGGATAGCTGGGGGTGGATAGCTGGGGGTGGAAGGCAGAAGGAGATGGACAGGGGGAGGTTCTCTGTTCTGTGGGTCAGAGAGTGAACTGATACGAGGAAGGTGCCTCCTGGGGGAAGCAAACATTTTCATTAATATTTAAGAATAGCACAAACAGTGGTGACTATGATATGATTTGCCTTTAGACATGGGATTGTACAGGTGTATGTTTTGGCAGAGAGCAAGGTGCATACTAGGATCAAGGACTAGGCAAGTGGCAAGCTCAGGAAGTGTAATAGATTCTCTAATATCAGAGGAAGAAAAGTGATAAATAGCCTGTGTCCAATTTGTCAGTGCCTTAAGAAAGGCAGCCTGCGGGCTTTACTGGGGCGGTAGTTTCAGCATTGGGTTGCGCTTGTCTTCGACGTAGGGAGCAGTATCCTCCTTAGGGGCAAGCTAGGATGGTGTCCCATTTGTGGAACCAGGCTGTCCTTCCCAAGTGGATACCCATTTGGGTTAATGTGAGTCAAGCTTTTGTGACTCTGTGGTACTGTAACAAGGCTGAGCTGCTTGTAGAATTTGAGGGCATTGTTGGGCCTGGGAGCTTGACTTGTAAAAAAAAAAAAAAAACTCCCAAAGCAACAATAATAACAATAATAAAACAAAATAAGTGTTGTTAAGGATGTGGATCTACTGCAACCCTTGTGTGTTGCTGATAGGAATGTAAAATGGAGACGGCACTGTGAAAAACATTATGTTGAGTCCTCAGAAAAATTAAACATAGAATTAGTATATAATCCTACAATTCCACTGCTAGGAGTATACCCATGAGAATCAAAAGCAGAGACTTGAACAGGTACGTGCACACCAATGTTCATAGCAGCGTTACTGCCAATACAGAAAGGGGGAAACATGGCCGTCGATGGGTAGACGCATAAGCAGGATGTGGTATATACCTATGGTGGAATATTATTCAGCCTTAAAAGGGAATACAATTCTGCCATTTCCTTCACTATAACATGGATGAAACTTAAAAACATTATGCTGAATGCAATAAGCCACACTCAAAAGGATAGATATTGTATGATTCCATTTGATTAGAATAGTCAAATTTATAGAGATAAAAAGTAGAATAATGGTTCCTAGGGGCTAGGAAGCAGAGGGTAGCAGGGAGTTACTGTTTATTGGGCACAGAGTTCAGTTTAGGGTAAGAAAATAGTTCTGAAGATACGGAGCGTTGCACCATCTGGAGACTGATGGTGCCACAATACGAATGTGACTAATGCCACTGAATTGTGCACTGAAAAATGGTTACAAGGGGCCGGGCGCGGTGGCTCACGCCTGTAATCCCAGCACTTTGGGAAGCTGAGGCGGGCGGATCACGAGGTCAGGAGATCGAGACCATCCTGGCTAACAAGATGAAACCCTGTCTCTACTAAAAATACAAAAAATTAGCCAGGCGTGGTGGTGAGCGCCTGTAGACCCAGCTACTCGGGAGGCTGAGGCAGGAGAATGGCGTGAACCCGGGAGACAGAGCTTGCAGTGAGCCCAGTTCGCGTCACTGCACTCCAGGCTGGGCTGCAGAGCGAGACTCCGTCTCAAAAAAAAAAAAGAAAAAGAAAACCAGACAGGCAGTACCTCTAAGTACAAACAAATGTACAACAGCTGTCAGCATGTCCAGAGCTGCATTCCATGAGCAACGTAGTGTTTCCCAAGGAGTATCCATAGGCCCAGGCTGGGAAACAGCACCTGACTTTGTCTGTAAAATCCCCATCTGGTGGCACTCAGACACCGTGACAGCCAGGTGGCTGCACGTCCCAGGACATACCACCAACACATTCAAAAGGGAGATTGGCCGAAGAGATACCATTGACATGGACTTTGTATCAAGGTTTTAAGAGACTTAAAAAATGTATGTTTTTAAAAATAAGCATATGCTTTTAATGTTATGATACTTATTGTTGGATTTTCATAGAAAATGTTACACAGATTACCGAATTTCATTCCTGATGTATGTTACTCCACCGAATAGTTCTTGAGAATAGCTGCTTTCATATATTCTCAAGGAGAGTTAAACTTTGACAGTCTGATAAATGGAAAAGAATATCTTACTGTTTGTTGATTTTAAATCTTTGCAGCTGAACATTTTTATATTTTTAATTTTTGTTATATATTATAACTTTAATTTTTAATGTTATTTTTGTTCATTTGTATTTTCTTTTCACCAAAATGCCTGCTTCTGTCTTTTTGTCTTTTGTCTTGTTTTTCTACTATTTTTATGTATATATTTTTATTCATAAGAAGTTTTTGAATATTAAAAAAATTAGTCTTTTGTCATACAGGCTACTGTTTTTGTCCGGTTTGTTGTTTTTTTGTTTTGTTTTTTGAGACAGAATGTCACTCTGTCACCCAGGCTTGCTTTCTTTTTTTTTTTTTTTTTTTTTTTTTTTTTTTGAGACGGAGTCTCGCTCTGTCGCCCAGGCTGGAGTGCAATTGTGTGACCTCGTCTCACTGCAGCCTTAACCTCTCAGGCTGAAGAGATTCTCCCACCTCAGCCTCCTGAGTAGCCGGGACTACAAGCACGTGCCACTGGCCTAATTTTTGTTTTCGTTTATTTTTGTTTTTGTTTTTGTTTTGTTTTGTTTTGTTTTGTTTTGTAGATTTCACAATGTTGCCCAGGCTGGTCTCAAACTCCTGGGCTCAAGTGACCCACCTCCCTCAGACTCCCAAAGTGCTGGGATAACAGGCATGAACCACTGTGCCTAGCCAGGTTTGTTGTGTTTTGTATCAGAAAACACACATTTATCAATTAAGTTTTCCACCTTATTTGAGTGTGGTTTGTGGCACCCCAAAACAATTTCAATAGTAACATCAAAGATCACTAATCATAGATCACCATAACAGATGTAATAATAAAACATAATATATAGTAAATACTGTGACGTATAACAGATTTAATAAACAATATATAAATGAAATAATAAAAAGTTTGAAATATAATGAGAATTACCAAAATGTGATAGAGATATGAAGTGAGCATGTGCTGTTAAAAAAAAAATGATGCCGACAGATTTGCTTGACACAGAATTGCCACAAACCTTCAATCTGTAAAAAGCGCAATATCTGCAAAGCACAATAAAATGAAGCGCAATGAAACAAAGTGTGCCTGCATTAGTATTGTTATTTTAAGACTGCGTCTACTGCAAAGAATGTGGGGTAAAGCAAATAAGTAATTAGTGGATATTCCAATTCTATCATCCCTTGTATCCTTGTAAACCAGCATTTTCTTGTGGAAGAAAGAAAATATAGATTTAATATGGAAGCGTAAAGTAAAACTATGTAGTTCTGAATTTGCATCAGAAGTACTAGTGTAGGCTGGGCACAGTGGCTCAAGCCTGTAATCCCAGCACATTGGGAGGCCAAGGTAGGCAGATCACAAGGTCAAGAGATCCAGACTATCCTGGCCAACATGGTGAAATCCCGTCTCTACTAAAAATACAAAAATTAGCCGGGCATGGTGGCAGATGCCTGTAATCCCAGCTACTCAGGAGGCTGAGGCAGGAGAATCGCTTGAACCCGGGAGGCAGAGGTTGAAGTGAGCCCAGGTCACGCCACTGCACTCCAGCCTGGTGACAGAGCAAGACTCTGTCTCAAAAAAAAAAAAAAAAAAAAAAGAAAGAAAGAAAGAAAAAGAAATACTAGTATAGGCTGGGTGCGGTGGCTCACACCTGTAATCCCAGGACTTTGGGAGGCCGAGGCGAGTGGATCACCTGGAATCAGGAGTTCGAGACCAGCCTGGCCAACATGGTGAAACCCTGTCTCTACTAAAAGACAAAAATTAGCCGGTCCTGGCAGGCGCCTGTAATCCCAGCTACTCTGGGAAGCTAAGGCAGGAGAATCGCTTGAACCTGGGAGGTGGAGGTTGCAATGAGCCAACATCCCACCACTGTACTCCAGCCTGGGCGACTAGAGAGCAAGATGCCGTCTGGAAAAAAAAAAATACTAGTATAAACTCTGCCTAGAGACAGAAGGAATGAGTACTCTTAGTCCCAGATTGTGATTTTTATATACTATTTCCCAGCAAAAGAAACCAGGCTTCTAAGAGAAATGGATAATTTCAGGTCTAGGGCAGGAAATGTACAAAATGAGCCTGAGACATCATATTCTTATCATTCTTATATCAAGGAAGATATCGAAGATTACTAGGATAGTAAAATTTATATAAAAACTCTTTTTTCCTTGCAATATTTTAGCCACTAGTTTTTGTTTTAAAGAACTGCTTTATTTGTAGTGAAACATAGCTAAATGAATGAATTCTGGGAAGTGCATCCATTTCCAAAAGGTAAAAAAAAGCCCCTGGTGGATATGCGTGTGCTCGTCCATGCTTCCAGCATCTCAGCTCTCCTGACACTCCCTCAACTAGTTCAGACCAATTAGCAGCTACCGAGTTGAAATGGCCTCTTTTTCCCAATCCTTATTCTCTTTCAAGATACAGATGACAGGTTTTCTTCACACCTTATACAGTACTGGAAAACAATATTCTAAAGTAAGCTTTGTGGTGTCAGAATGATTCCCAACAGTGCATTAGAAAGCCGTATATTTGCATTACTGGTCATAAGCTAAAATTGTTCAGTCCACAGGTGTTTTTTGTTTTTTGAGATGGAGTTTTACTTCTGTTGCCCAGGCTGGAGGGCAGTGGTGTGATCTTGGCTCACTGCAACCTCCACCTCCCAGGTTCAAGTGATTCTCCTGCCTCAGCCTCCCGAGTAGCTGGGATTACAGGCAGGCATGGGCCACCACGCCCGGCTAATTTTGTATTTTTTGTAGAGATGGGGTTTCTCCATGTTGGTCAGGCTGGTCTCGAGCTCCCGACCTCAGGTGATCCACCTGCCTCGGCCTCCCAAAGTGCTGGGATTACAGGCATGAGCCACCGTGCCTGGCCTCCATGCACATTTTTAATGTAACTACTGTTTTGGCATAGTTTCATTGGAAATATACATTGTGAGCCTTAAAAAACTAATGTATAACTTAACTTTGGTCATACAATTCACTTGCCCATATTTGGGGACACCGGTTGTTTCGAATTCTACCACAAGACATACACCTGGGATCATTTACAACTGACAAGTAAGCTCTGATAATTATGATCTGTTAATATTTTCAAAATAAAAGTTATGGGTTGAAAAGGAAAGTAAATGTAATCATTGCATGCAAATGTATTTGAATAGACTGCTGGAATATTCCTCAGACACTGTGGAGAGCAATTTGCAGTCACGCCTCGTCGTCTTCTGCCGCTCTGGGAAGCAGGCTGCAGGGAAGACAGGAAGAGGAGGGGAGGACACCCGGTGGGTGGGACTTTCCTGATATTGCATTCCCACCTCCTCCACCACCCCCGGGGTCTGGTTTCTCCAGAATCTGTTGGCTAACGGACTGATAACTCCCAAGACACCAGCGCGTAATAGAGAGCACTCCTCCTGGCCGCACTGTCTTTTGGTTGCAGAAAGTGAGGAATACATTTGCATTGATAATAGATTATTATTGCGATCATATACAAACCTAGGTCTTTAAGTTGGTGGTGACGATGCTGTTGTCTCCATTTGTATGGAAAGCCTCAGGCCAATGAGGTCAAGACAGGATTGAAGGGTTGGTCTGCCTCTCCACACCTGTGGGCGTTTCTTGTCGGGTGGGACGAGGGACTGAGAAAAGAAACAGACACAGAGACAAAGTATAGAGAAAGAAAAGTGGGCCCAGGGGACCGGCGCTCAGCCTAGGGAGGACCCCTGCCAGCACCAGTCTCTGAGTTCCCTCAGTATTTATTGATCATTATCTCTACCATCTCGGAGAGGAGGATGTGGCAGGACAATAGGGTAATAGTGGGGAGAGGGTCAGCAGGAAAACATGAACAAATGTCTCTGTGTCATAAACAAGGCTAAGAAAAATGTGCTGTGCTTTGATGTGCACTTACATGAACATCTCGGTGCATTAAAGAGCAGCATGTCCCACCTCCAGCCCTAAGGCGGTTTTCTCCTATCTCAGTAGATGGAATATACAATCGGGTTTTACACCGAGACATTCCATTGCCCAGGGACGAGCAGGAGACAGATGCCTTCCTCTTGTCTCAACTGCAAAGAGGTATTCCTTCCTCTTTTACTAATCCTCCTCAGCACAGACCCTTTATGGGTGTCGGGCTTGGGGACGGTCAGGTCTTTCCCTTCCCACGAGGCCATATTTCAGACTGCCACACGGGGAGAAACCTTGGACAATACCTGACTTTCCTAGGCAGAGGTCCATGTGGCCTTCCGCAGTGTTTTGTGTCCCTGCGTACTTGAGATTAGGGAGTGGTGATGACTTTTAACAAGCATGCTGCCTTCAAGCATTTGTTTAACAAAGCACGTCCTGCATAGCCCTAAATCCATTAAACCTTGAGTCGACACAGCACATGTTTCTGCACAGGGTTGGGGGTAAGGTTACAGATTAACAGCATCTCAAGGCAAAAGAATTTTTCTTAGTACAGAAGAAAATGGAGTCTCTTATGTCTACTTCTTTCTACACAGACACAGTAACAGTCTGATCTTTCTTTTCCCCATACAGGATGATGGGAGCAGTCCAGAAGACAGATGGCATATTGTCCCTTATTTCCACGTAGTAGGGTCTAAGAGTGGTAGGGAAGGAGCTGTTCTTAGCCTCTGTCTCCTAAAGGAAGAGTGGACTTTTCAATGCTTTTGACATCTTTTTTTTTTTTTTTTTTTTTGAGCCGGAGTCTCGCTCTGTTGCCCAGGCTGGAGTGCAGTAGCGTGATCTCGGCTCACTGCAACCTCTGCCTCCCAGGTTCAAGCGATTCTCTTGCCTCAGCCTCTCCAGTAGCTGGGACTACAGCTACATGACACCCCACCTGGTTAATTTTTGTATTTTTAGTAGAGATGGGGTTTCACCATGTTGGCCAGGCTGGTCTTGAACTCCCGACATCGTGACTGTCAGGCCTCTGAGCCCAAGCTAAGCCATCATATCCCCTGTGACCTGCACGTACACATCCAGATGGCCGGTTCCTGCCTTAACTGATGACGTTCCACCACAAAATAAATGAAAATGGCCTGTTTCTGCCTTAACTGATGATTTTATCTTGTGAAATTCCTTCTCCTGGCTCATCCTGGCTCAAAAGCTCCCCTACTGAGCACCTTGTGACCCCCACTCCTGCCTGCCGGAGAACAACCCCTCTTTTTCCTTTATCTACCCAAATCCTATAAAACGGCCCCACCCCTATCTCCCTTCGCTCTCTTTTCGGACTCAGCCCGCCTGCACCCAGGTGAAATAAACAGCCTTGTTGCTCACACAAAGCCTGTTTGGTGGTCTCTTCACACGGACACACATGAAATTTGGTGCCGTGACTCAGATTGGGGGACCTCCCTTGGGAGATCAATCTCCTGTCCTCCTGCTCTTTGTTCCATGAGAAAAATCCACCTATGACCTCTGGTCCTCAGACCAACCAGCCCAAGGAACATCTCACCAATTTTAAATCCGGTAAGCGGCCTCTTTTCACTGTCTTCTCCAACCTCCCTCACTATCCCTCAACCTCTTTCTCCTTTCAATCTTGGCACCACACTTCAATCTCTCTCTTCTCTCAATTTCAATTCCTTTCATTTACTGGTAAAGACAAAGGAGACATATTTTATCCGTGGACCCAAAACTCTGGCGCTGGTCATGGACTCAGGAAGGCAGCCTTCCCTTTGTGTTTAATCATTGCAGGGACGCCTCTCTGATTATTCACCCACGTTCCATTGGTGTCTGATCTCCGCAGGGACGCCTGCCTTGGTCATTCACCCACGTTCCCTTGGTGGCAAGTCAATTGTGGGGGCGCCTGCTTTGGCTGGTCACCCACATTGCAGCCAGGGCTGCTCCCCACCTCCTTCTCCGTGTCTCTACCCTTCTCTTTAAACTTGCCTCCTTCACTATAGGCAACCTTCCACCCTCAATTCCTCCTTCTCCCTTAGCCTGTGTTCTCAAGAACTTAAAACCTCTTCAACTCACACCCAACCTAAAACCTAAATGCCTTATTTTCTTCTACAATGCCACTTGACCCCAATACAAACTTGACAGTAGTTCCAAATAGCCGGAAAATGGCACTTTCATTTTTTCTACCCTACTAGATCTAGATAATTCTTGTCGTAAAATGGGCAAACGGTCTGAGGTGCCTGACGTCCAGGCATTCTTTTACACATCGGTCCCTCCCCAGTCTCTGTTCCCAATGCAACTCGTCCCATATCTTCCTTCTTTCCCTCCCATCTGTCCCCTCAGTCCCAACCCCAAGCGTTGCTGAGTCTTTCTAACCTTACTTTTCTACAGACCCATCTGACCTGTCCCCTCCTCGCCAGGCTGAGCTACGTCCCAATTCTTCCTCAGCCTCTGCTCCTCCACCCTATAATCCTTCTATCACCTCCCCTCCTCACACCCGGTCCAGCTTACAGTTTCATTCCACGACTAGCCCTCCCCCACTTGCCCAGCAATTTCCTCTTAAAGAGGTGGCTGGAGCTAAAGGCATAGTCAAGGTTAATGCTCCTTTTTCTTTATCCGACCTCTCCCAAATCAGTTAGCGTTTAGGCTCTTTCATCAAATATGAAAAACTCAGCCCAGTTCATGGCTCATTCGGCAGCAACCCTAAGATGCTTTACAGCTCTAGACCCTAAAAAGTCAAAAGGCCGTATTATTCTCAACATACATTTTATTACCCAATCTGCTCCTGACATTAAATAAAACTCCAAAAATTAAATTCTGGCCCTCAAACCCCACAACAGGACTTAATTAACCTCGCCCTCAAGGTGTACAATAATAGAGTAGAGGCAGCCAAGTAACAATGTATTTCTAAGTTGCAATTCCTTGCCTCCACTGTGAGACAAACCCCAGCCACATCTCTAGCCCACAAAAACTTCCAAACGCCTGAACCACAGTGGCCAGGCATTCCTCCAGAACCTCCTCCCCCAAGAGCTTGCTACAAGTGCCGACAATCTGGCCACCAGGCCAAGGATTGCCTGCAGCCTGGGATTCTTCCTAAGCCACGTCCCATCTGTGCAGGACCCTACCGAAAATCAGACTGTTCAACTCACCTGGCAGCCACTCCCAGAGCCCCTGGAACTCTGGCTCAAGGCTCTCTGACTCCTTCCCAGATCTTCTTGGCTTAGCAGCTGAAGGCTGACACTGCCTGATCGCCTCGGAAGACCCCTAAACCATCATGGACGCTGGGCTTTGGGTAACTCTCGCAGTGGAAGGTAAGTCCGTCCCCTTCTTAATCAATACGGAGGCTACCCACTCCACATTACCTTCTTTTCAAGGGCCCGTTTCCCTTGCCTCCATAAGTGTTGTGGGTATTGACGGCCAGGCTTCTAAACCTCTTAAAACTCCCCAACTCTGGTGCCAACTTAGACAATACTCTTTTAAGCACTCCTTTTTAGTTATCCCCACCTGCCCAGTTCCCTTATTAGGCCAAGACACTTCAACTAAATTATCTGCTTCCCTGACTATTCCTAGGCTATAGCCACACCTCATTGCCGCCTTTTCTCCCAGTTCAAAGCCTCCTTCACATCCTCCCCTTGTATCTCCCACCTTAGCCCACAAGTATAGGACACCTCTACTCCCTCCTTGGCGACCAATCGTGCACCCCTTACCATCTCATTAAAACCTAATCACCCTTACCCTGCTCAATGCCAATATCCCATCCCACAGCATGCTTTAAAAGGATTAAAGTCTGTTATCACTCGCCTGCTACATCATGGCCTTTTAAAGCCTATAAACTCCCCTTACCATTCCCCCATTTTACCTGTCCTAAAACCAGACAAGCCTTACAGGTTAGTTCAGGATCTGTGCCTTATGAACCAAATTGTTTTGCCTATCCACCCTGTGGTGCCAAACCCATATACTCTCCTATCCTCAATACATCCCTCCACAATCCATTATTCTGTTCTGGATCTCAAACATGCTTTCTTTACTATTCCTTGCACCCTTCATCCCAGCCTCTCTTTGCCTTCACTTAGACTGACCCTGACACCCATCAGGCTCAGCAAATTACCTGGGCTATACTGCCACAAAGCTTCACAGACAGACCCCATTACTTCAGTCAAGCCTAAATTTCTTCCTCATCTGTTATGTATCTCAGCATAATTCTCATAAAAACACACATGCTCTCCCTGCTGATCATGTTTGACTGATCTCTCAAACCCTAGCACCTTCTACAAAACAACAACTCCTTTCCTTCCTGGGCATGGGTAGATACTTTCGACTTTAGATACCTGGTTTTGCCATCCTAACAAAACCATTATATAAACTCACTAAAGGAAACCTAGCTGACCCCATAGACCCTAAATCCTTTCAGCACTCCTCTTTCTGTTCCTTGAAGACAGCTTTAGAGACTGCCCCCATCCTAGCTCTCCCTGACTCATCCTAACCCTTTTCATTACCCACAGCCGAAGTGTAGGGCTGTGCAGTCAGAATTCTTACACAAGAACCGGGACCGCGCCCTGTAGCCTTTTTATCCAAACAACTTGACCTTACTGTTTTGCCTAGCCCTCACGTTTGCGTGCGGCAGCCACCACCACCCTAATACTTTCAGGGGCCCTAAAAATCACAAACTATGCTCAACTCACTCTCTACAGTTCTCATAACTTCCAAAATCTGTTTTCTTCCTCACACCTGATGCATATACTTTCTGCTCGCCTGCCTCCTTCAGCTGTACTCACTCTTTGTTGAGTCTCCCACAATTACCATTGTTCCTGGCCCAGACCTCAATCTGGCCTCCCACATCATTCCTGATGCCACACCTGACCCTCCTGACTGTATCTCTCTGATCCACCTGACATTCACCCCATTTCCCCATATTTCCTTCTTTCCTGTTCCTCACCCTGATCACACTTAGTTTATTGATGGCAGTTCCACCAGGCCTAATCGCCACACACCAGCAAAGGCAGACTATGCTATAGTACAAGCCACTAGCCCGCCTCTTAGAACCTCTCATTTCCTTTCCATCATGGAAATCTATCCTCAAAGAAATAACTTCTCAGTGTTCCATCTGCTATTCTACTACTCCTCAGGGACTATTCAGGCCCCCTCCCTTCCCTACACATCAAGCTTGAGGATTTGCCCCCGCCCAGGACTGGCAAATTAGCTTTACTCAACATGCCCCGAGTCAGATAACTAAAATACCTCTTAGTCTAGGTAGACACTTTCACTGGATGGGTAGAGGCCTTTCCCACAGGGTCTGAGAAGGTCACTGTGGTCATTTCTTCCCTTCTGTCAGACATAATTCCTCAGTTTGGCCTTCCCACCTCTATATAGTCCGATAGCAGACCGGCCTTTATTAGTCAAATCAGCCAAACAGTTTTTCAGGCTCTTAGTATCCAGTGAAACCTTTATATCCCTTACGGTCCTCAGTATTCAGGAAAAGTAGAACAGACTAAAGGTCTTTTAAAAACACACCTCACCAAGCTCAGCTACCAACTTAAAAAGGATTGGACAATACTTTTACCACTTTCCCTTCTCAGATATCAGGCCTGTCCTCGGAATGCTACAGGGTACAGCCCATTTAAGCTCCTGTATGGATGCTCCTTTTTATTAGGCCCCAGTCTCATTCCAGACACCAGACCAACTTGGACTGTGCCCCATAAAACTTGTCATCCTTACTATCTTCTCTCTAGTCATACAGCTATTCACTGTTCTCAACTACTCATACATGCCCTGCTCTTGATTACATTGCCGGTTTACACTGTTTCTCCAAGCCATCACAGCTGATATCTCCTGGTGCTATCCCCAAACCGCCACTCTTAACTCTTAAAGTAAATAAATAATCTTTGCTGGCAAGGCTATGCTGAACCTCCTTAGGCACTCTCTAATTAGATGTCCTAGGTCCTCCCAATTCTTAGACCTTTAATACCTGTTTTTCTCCTTCTTTTATTCCGTTTAGTTTTTCAATTCATACAAAACCATATCCAGGCCATCACCAATAATTCTACACGATAAATGTTTCTTCTAACAACCCCACAATATCACCCCTTACCACAAAATCTTCCTTCAGCTTAATCTCTCCCACTCTAAGTTCCCACGCCGCCCCTAATCCCGCTCAAAGCAGCCCTGAGAAACATTGCCCATTATTTCTCCATACCATCCCCCAAAATTTTCCAGTCCCAACACTTTACCACTATTTCGTTTTATTTTTCTTATTAATATAAGAAGACAGGAATGTCAGGCCTCTGAGCCCAAGCTAAGGCATCATATCCCCTGTGACCTGCACGTACACATCCAGATGGCCGGTTCCTGCCTTAACTGATGACATTCCACCACAAAAGAAGTGAAAATGGCCTGTTCCTGCCTTAACTGATGATATTGTCTTGTGAAATTCCTTCTCCTGGCTCATCCTGGCTCAAAAGCTCCCCTACTGAGCACCTTGTGACCCCCACTCCTACCTGTCAGAGAACAACCCCCCTTTTTCCTTTACCTACCCAAATCCTATAAAATGGCCCCACCCCTATCTCCCTTCGCTGACTCTCTTTTCGGACTCAGCCCGCCTGCACCCAGGTGAAATAAACAGCCTTGTTGCTCACACAAAGCCTGTTTGGTGGTCTCTTCACACGGACGCGCATGAAAGTGATCCACCTGCGTCAGCCTCCCAAAGTGCTGGGATTACAGGCGTGAGCCACTGCGCCCGGCCCCTTTTGCCATCTTTCCTATGAGTTTACCAAATGTGAAAGTGGTAAAGTAGTCTCTACCTCTGACATCACATGTGGCAGACATTCATATGCATATACACCCAAATATTCACAGTCAGCACACTGTGCATGATGCGGGATAAAGAACATAAATAATCATTGAATATTCTATCATCTGCATCCTTGAAAATCAGCATCTTGTGGAAGAAAGAAGATGCAGATGTACACGGAAGAGTTATTAAAATATGTTGTTCTGGACTTTGGCAATGTTAGTATGAATTCTGTGTGCATGTGTACGTTCATATATGTGTATTTCACAGGTGGGCGGAACCATCATGGTATGAATTCTGTGTGCATGTGTACGTTCATATATGTGTATTTCACAGGTGGGCGGAACCATCATGGTATGAATTCTGTGTGCATGTGTATGTTCATATATGTGTATTTCACAGGTGGGAGGTACCATCATGGTACGAATTCTGTGTGCATGTGTATGTTCATATATGTATATTTCACAGGTGGGAGGTACCATCATGGTACGAATTCTGTGTGCATGTGTATGTTCATGTATGTGTATTTCACAGGTGGGCGGTACCATCATGGTACGAATTCTGTGTGCATGTGTATGTTCATATATGTGTATTTCACAGGTGGGCGGTACCATCATGGTACGAATTCTGTGTGCATGTGTATTTTCATATATGTGTATTTCACAGGTGGGCGGTACCATCATGGTACGAATTCTGTGTGCATGTGTATGTTCATATATGTGTATTTCACAGGTGGGGGGTACCGTCATGGTATGAATTCTGTGTGCATGTGTATGTTCATATATGTGTATTTCACAGCTGGGAGGTACCATCATGGTACGAATTCTGTGTGCATGTGTATGTTCATATATGTATATTTCACAGGTGGGAGGTACCATCATGGTATCAATTCTGTGTGTATGTGTGTGTTCATATATGTGTATTTCACAGCTGGGAGGTACCATCATGGATCTGCGCAAGTGTTTATGGTTGTCAGTGAAACCTTGAAATAATAAACTGCTTCTCAGAATAAATGAGGTGATAAACTTCACGATTCCTTTTTAAAAATCTCACCTCTATTTTAAACTTCGAGTTTGGTCCTTCAAATTCTATTAATGACATTCTAAGTTACATATCCAATTACAAAGAAATTGACTTTCTTTCAGAACATTCACTGAGATTCTTTATATTCACCATTTTCCAACAGTTCAACCATATAGAAGAGCTGAAAAAATTGTACAGGGAACACCCACATACCATTCCTTAGCTTCCACAATTAACGTTTATCGCTTCTCGGCCGTTTGGCTAAGATTAAGTGCACAATTAACGTTTTACTGTATTTGCTTTACCACATAATCATCCATCTATCCATCCCTCTCTTAATCCGTCTTGTTGTTTGATGCATTTGAAAGTAAATTTCAGACATCTATATACTTCACTCCTAGTCTTCCCAAGGCACATCGTTAAGTAGAGTTGGATATTTGTTTAAAGTGTTTTTTAGATAATATTTACATGCAATGAAAATGCATAAATCTTAAGTTTTCACTTGATCAATGTGGATAAATGAACACATCATTAAAATATAGAACGCAGCCTGGGCAACATGGCAAAACCCTGTCTCTACAAAAAAATGCAAAAATTAGCTGGGTGTGGTTGTGCATGCTTGTGGTCCTAGCTACTTGGGAGACTGAGGCAGAAGGATCACTTGACCCAGGAGGTTGAGGCTGCAGTGAACTGTGACCACACCACTGCATTCCAGCATGGACAACAGAGTGAGACCCTGTCTCCAAAAAAAAAAAAAAAAAGAAGAGATAGAAACGTTATTGCTTTGGTCCAGGAAGTTCTCTAGCTCATTCCCTGCCAGTATTCCCCAGACACCTTCTCCCAGAAGCATCTGCTGTTCTGATATCTTTTTTACCACAGGTAAGTTTTTGCCTATTTCTGGAATTTCCAATAGATAGAATAATATATTACGTGGCTTCTTTCACTCAGTATAATGGTATTTGTTTGTTTGTTTGTTTGTTTTTTCTTAGACAGAGTCTCCCCCTGTCACCCAGGCTGGAGTGCAGTGGTGTGATCTCAGCTCACTGCAACCTCTGCCTCCTGGGTTCAAGCAATTCTCCTGCCTCAGCCTCCCAAGTAGCTGGGATTATAGGCACCTGCCACCACACCCAGCTAACTTTTATATTTTCAGTAGAGACGGGGTTTCACCATGCTGGCCAAGCTGGTCTCAAACTCCTGACCTCAGGCGATCTACCCACCTTGGCCTCCCAAAGTTCTGGGATTGCAGGTGTGAGCCACCGCGCCTGGCTCCACTCAGCATAATGTTTTTGAGAGTCGTTCATGCTACCGTTTGTATCAGCAGTTTATTTCTTTCTATTGCTGTGTAGTATTCCCCTGTATAATTCTATAGTTATCCACTCTCCTGTCAGTGATCACCTGTCTTATTTCTAGGTTTCGTGTATTATAAGGAAAGTTGTTGTTGTGAACATTCCTGGGAAAGTCTTTTTGTAACAAAGGTTTTCATTTTCTTAGGTAAACACCTAGGACTGGAATTGCTGGTAGGAACGTCTTTAGTTGTATAAGAGAATGCCAGGCCTTTTGCTAAGTAATCATGCCCTTTCTTACTCCCGTCAAAAATGTAGGCGCCTTCCAATCACTCTACATCTTTGCCCATACTTGTTATTGTCGGTCTTTAGAGTTTAGCCATTCTGGTCGATTGTGATTTAATGTACATTTCCTTGATGACTAATATTGAACATGTTTCCATGTGATCATTGGTATGTCTTTCTTTGTGAAATATCTTCAAATACTTTCCTCCTTTTAAAAATTGGGTTACTTCTCTTTTTTCTCTCTGGCTGGCTTACGTGGTGTCTGCAGCTTGTGCTCTGCCCTGAGAGGGACTCGGTGTCTCTGGACTCTCGCACAGCCACCCTGTCAGGGGCACTTCAAGAAGCCATCTTGGGCCAGGCGCGGTGGCTCACACCTGTAATCCCAGCACTTTGGGAGGCCGAGGTGGGCAGATCATGAGGTTAAGAGATTGAGACCATCCTGGGCAACATGGTGAAACCCCGTCTCTACTAAAAAAAATACAAAAATTAGGCTGAGTGTGGTGGCTCACGCTTGTAATCCCAGCACTTTGGGAGACTGAGGCGGGTGGATCACGAGGTCAGGAGTTCAAGATCATCCTGGCCAACATGGTGAAACCCCGTCTCTACTAAAAATACAAAAATTAGCTTGGCGTGGTGGTGGGCACCTGTAGTCCCAGCTACTCAGGAGGCTGAAGCAGGAAAATCGCTTGAATCCGGGAGGCAGAGGTTGCAGTGAGACGAGATTGCGCCACAGCACTCCAGCCTGGAGACAGAGCGAGACTTCGTCTCAAACAAACAAACAAACAAACATAAAAACCGAAACCTTCTTGACTTCAGCTGGTGCAGTGAAACACCAGTATGCCAATAAGAACGCTCCCGGGAAGCTGGCCACTGCACTGCCTCTCCTGTTGCACTTTCAGCTTTTGGACGTGCAAATTATATCCACCGACATCCCCCAACTTCCCCCATATAAGCTCTGGAGTATTAAGGACATAAACTTTTGTTTTTGTGCTGACTTGAATTTACTAATTTATTAGTAAATTCATAATAAATTCAGCTATAAATTCCAAAAGAAGTAGATTAACATAATTAACATTTCCCTGCATTAGAGTTCTGGTAGCAAGCTTAACTACTGTGGCAATAAAACACACGTTAGCCCTAAATCAAACTATCCTGGGATACTTTGGAGAGCTGAAAAATGCCACACTGGCCACCTCCTTCATGCCTATTTAGTGTAAAAGCGTGTTTGTTTTTGTCTCAAACTGAAGAGTTGGACAACCCGGAACATGATCAATGGCTCGGCGTTTGCACAGAACAGCATCCTCCTCAGCCGGGAGCACTTCAGCCGCTTGAGTTTAAAGAGTGCTTGTGGAAAAGCCAAATACAACTAGAGAGAACATTTTCCCCAACGTCTGGTTTATGTTTTGGGAAGCTCTTGACAGGTACTAGCAGGAACAAGCTTCTTAAGAACCAGCTCAGTAGCTAAGGAAGGAGAGGGCTCGGCACCTCTCACGTTGGTGCTGAGGCTGCGGTTCGGCTGCTGCTTAACCAAGTCAGGGAGCCGAGGTTTCTGCAGGAAAGACTCATCGGCAGGGACCTGCTTCTCACGCGGTCCGTGTGCCAGCGGTGCTTGGTCCTTAGATGGAGGTCTCTGCGTCCTGGAATCTGGAAATGCTGCATGAAGTCACACTTTTCTTCCTTTGCCTCAGGATTCCAGTGTGTTCCGAGTTTTAAATGACCATTTCAGCCAGGTTGTACTTTTTGCAGCATTAAATGGTTACCTCTGGATAGATCACGCTCTTCTAATGAAAATGTCAGGAAATAGATTCAAGGTTACAAACCAAAAGAGGGCCTGCAGCTTTTAGGTTTACAGTTGGTCAAGAATTTAAAGCATTTCTGACAGAAAGAGGCAGCATTACACAGCAATGAAAAGCAGCGTTTTGTAATCAGAAAGATCGAGCTTCACACCATAGTTCTGCCTCTTGGTGACTATCTGTGACCTTGAGCAAGGTTATTCAGCTCCTTAAGCCCCAGGTTTCATATCTGAATAATGGTCGTGTCTACCTTAGGGGACTATTGTGAGGATTAAATGGAATAATGTGCGTCTACTTCTAGCATATAGTAAATACAGAGTGATCGTTATAATTAGTAACTTTCAGTGATAATTTTACTTTCCTATTTAATACATTTGATCAATATGCTTCTTATAATCAAATAGCCCTATGACAGTGTATTTTACTTAATGATTCATTTATTTTCACCAGATATAATTCCATGATTTAATATCCTTCCTTCTCTCTCTCCTTTCCTTCCTTCCTCTAGTTGTACATCAGCTTCTAAGTCCATAATGTAATTGTCAATGATCTCATGTTGCTGTTAAAGTTAACCTCTAGAAGGTTACATTCTCAGCCATGTTAGTTCTCATTGTACTAAGAGTAAAGTTTTTTGTTTTTATTTTTGAAATAGGGTCTTGCTCTGTTGCCCAGCCTGGAGTGCAATGGCGTGAGCATGGCTCGCTGCAGCCTTGACCTCCTGGGCTCAAACGATGCTCCTGGCTCAGTCTCCCTGAGTAGATGGGATGCACAACCATGCCTGGCTAATTATTTTTATTTTTTATTTTTATAGAGATAGGGTCTTACTATGCATAGGGTGGTCTTGAATTCCTGGGCTCAAGGGATCCTCCCATCTCAGCCTTTCAAAGGTCTGGGATCACAGGTATGAGCCACTGCACCCTGCTAGAGTTCTCTTCTATACCTGAACTTCCAGATGATAATAGGATCATAATTGCTGCCTTGCCCTAGATTTAGGGATTATCTTACTAACTATCGAGAAGATTCATTTGGTGCTAGGAATGCATAATCTTCTGCTTTGAAACACTTCTCACGGTTATGTAACAGGAGAGGCTAATCTTGCTATTTCTGGTTATGTAAGGCTGCCTGCAGCTCCTCTGGGCTGAGACGTCAAGAAGTGTGTCATTTCAAGACACAACACTAGATGGCGCAAAGATATCACCTTTTCCCATTTAAGTCCCGAAATTCGAAATTACTGGCAAAGCACAATTTCATTTCATAATTAGGTGATTAAATAAGCTAATTACAGATGCAAAGAATTAGACACTTGAGTGTTCCCTTTGCTCCTTCCCTTCCTCCTCGCTGTCCTCTCATTTTCCTCGCTTGTTCCTTTAGCATGCCTTGAGATTTGGGCTCTCTTGGAGGAGTAGAAAAGTCAGGGCTTTTCCTGCTGCCGAAACAGTGTAGGTAAAGGATCCACAGAGTCGATTTTCCTTCACCTGTGGAAACACTAGGGAATGGCATTGGTGTGTGCCTTCCATCGACTTTTGGGCTGCCTATCTTCCAGGTTATAGAAGGCCTTACTGGGCTTGTGGCCCTCTCTGCCCTGGTCCTTCCCATCCCCTGGCTGGGAAGCTCAGCAGAGTGCCCACAGGTCTGGATTCCAGGTGCTGCTTCCATCTGTGATTCCCGCCTGCCCTGCAGTATTGCTCCCTCTCCTAACAGCTCCATCTCTCCTATCTACATCCTGCCTAGAGGGGCACACCTGTGCATCAGCTCCCTAGTGTGTGCAATCAACAAATTGAGTGAGGTTATCTCCAGAATCACTTTCCCAGTCTAAAGAGCTTATAATTCTTTGAACCAGCTTATCCCTTTGTTCTTTTTGGGGTCCTAATTAGGGAAAAGGAGTCAGGCTGGTGGGACCGAGGGAAAGCAGAAAGAGGAAGCAGATAAGTTATGTAGGCTTGCCTTTCTTCACCAGGACCAGTCCTCCTATGAATATAACTCAATCGTCCTCTACCCACCTTCTCACCAGGCACGGGTAAGTGAGCTCCCTGTAACCCTGGTGTTATCAGTACTGCTCGTAGCCCTCTTCAGCACACAGCAGAAGCACAGTTCTATAAAATCCCCAGCCCTGCAAGACTTTGTTTCCTGGCAGTCAGCTCCTCTTCTGCTGGCCTACCTGTTGCCTTCTTGCAACATATTTTTATACTTTCTTTATTAAACCTGCCTTTCTTTACCTACAACTATCTTGATAAATTCTTACCCCCGTGCCACTGGCCCGGATAGTCACCAGTCACCCATGACATTCTTTTCCCTTCTGTTCCCTGTATGTCATGTCCCACGGCAACCTTCCACACTTTATTCTAAATAAGCACTCATTTGGTCAGTGACTAGGTTAGCAAGTGAATGAATGACCAGCTTCTGTGACCTCATCTGCCTACCTTCAACATTTCCTTTCCTGTCCTCTTCCCCACCCTGCCCCCCAATATGTGCTTTTCTTCATCATTTCACTGTCCTTCCCAGCAACTGAATTTAGAGTCTTCATTCCAGCTCCTCCTGCTCCATTCCTTCCTGCACTCTTTGCTGCTGTTCTCTGCTTGCTTCCCTGCTGTGTCATTTCAGTTGCTAGAGTTTTGTGTTTTGCTTGCCACATCAGTCTCTGGCTTATCTGCATTATATTCCTGCTCACCAAAATAGAATGACTGAGATATTGATTGAAGTGGCAGATTTGGATTCGCCTCAGCTCTGGTGTTAGGTTGTTCTTGGCTTGCTATAAAAAAAATACCTGAGACTGGGTAATTTATAAGAAAAGAGGTTTAATTGGCTCATGGTTCTGCAGGCTTTACAGGAAGCATGGTGCTGTCATCTGCTTGTCTTCTGGGCTGTCTCAGGGAGCTTTTACTCATGGTGGAAGAAAAAGAGGGAGCGGGTGGGTCACATAGCCAGAGCAGGAGCAAGAGAGAGAGTAGGGAGGAGATGCCACACACTTAACCAATCTCTCTGGAACTCACTGTCACAAGGACAGCACCAAGCCATAAGGGATCCACCCCCATGACCCAAAAACCTCCCACCAGACCCCACCTCCAACACTGGAGATTATAATTCAACCTGAGATTTGGAGGGGACAATATCCAAACTGTATCAGCTCACAAATGAGATTTGAATCTGAGTAGTAAGTTTATGACAACCAAGGTGAATTGGTAATGGGAATAGTTAGGAGTATCAGACAAACATAAGAAACAAGTTAGCTTTTTTTTTTTTTTTTTGAGATAGAGTCTTACTCTGTCACCCAGGCTGGAGTGCAATGGCATGATCTCGGCTCACTGAAACCTCTGCCTCCTGGATTCAAGCAATTCTCCTGCATCAACTTCCCCAGTAGCTGGGATTCCAGGCACCCGCCACCATGCCTTGCTAACTTTTGTGTTTTTAGTAGAGTGGGGTTTCACCATGGTGGCCAGGCTGGTCATGAACTCCTGACCTCAAGTGATCCACCCCCCTCGGCCTCCCAAAGTGCTGGGATTACAGGCATGAGCCATTGTGCCTGGCCACAAGTTAGCTTTAATTCTCTGGAGGACAGTCCATGGTCAATGGTCTCAGATGCTTGTAAAATACTTGAAGAGTTGATGCTGCTGCTCAAGCCCACCTCATCAATTCCCAGCCTTTACCAGTTGATAACTGATGGTCTGCAGAGGGATTGGGAACATCGCTCAACCTGTTCCTTATTTCTTATATCAGAGATCGGTACCACATTTCCCCTGTCATGTGCCTGACCCGATGCAATAGCTACTGAATATGTACAAAAGCATACAGACTCTGTATTTGAAAATAAGAACAAGCCCTTGATAGGTAATTGTATACTTATGAATTATCAAAAATTTACTATATGAAAAATAACAGACTTTTTTTTAACCCTGTAAAATGTTTTATAAAAATTTAATT
Source organism: Homo sapiens (assembly GCF_000001405.40). Classification (NCBI taxonomy): domain Eukaryota; kingdom Metazoa; phylum Chordata; class Mammalia; order Primates; family Hominidae; genus Homo; species Homo sapiens. The sequence continues at coordinate 186,035,606 of NC_000004.12, read as the reverse complement.
TTAATTGTAATAACACAAATGGATGGATGTTTAGGTGCTAATTAGAAAAGTAATTGGAAATTTTTTCTGTCAAAGTATCCTCATATGTCTGAGGAAATCTTTCCCTACTTGAGGGCTGGGGAGGGAGGGAAGATACAGCAAGGGGATCGGGAATCCATGTGTGCCTCAGGCTCGATCTGTATCCTGAGGGATTGGTAATCAGTGTGTGTATCAGGTGAGATCTGTACCCTGAGGGATTAGGAATCCATGTGTGCATCAGGTGTGATCTGTACACTGAGGGATTAGGAATCCATGTGTGCATCAGGTGTGATCTGTACCCTGAGGGATTGGAAATCCATGTATATATCAGTCATAATCTATACCCTGAGGGATTGGGAATCAATGTGTGTATCAGTCATGATCTATACCCTGAGGGACTGGGAATCTGTGCATGTAGCAGGTGTGATCTGTACCCTGAGGGATTGGGAATCCATGTGTGATCAGGTGTGATCTGTACCCTGAGGGATTGGGAATCCATGTATGTATCAGTCATGATCTGTACCCTGAGGGATTGGGAATCAATGTGTGTATCAGGTGTGATCTATACCCTGAGGGATTGGGAATCTGTGTGTGTATCAGGTGTGATCTGTACCCTGAGGGATTGGGAATCCATGTGTGTTTCAGGCATGATCTGTACCCTGAGGGATTGGGATTCCGTGTGTGCATTAGGCATAATCTGTACCCTGAGGGATTGGGAATCTGAGTGTGTATCAGGTATGATCTGTACCCTGAGGGATTAGGAATCCACGGGTGTATCTGGCGTGATCTGTACCCTGAGGGATTGGGAATCCGTGTGTGCATCAGTCATGATCTGTACCCTGAGGGATTGGGAATCCATGCGTGTATCAGGTGTGATCTGTACCCTGAGGGATTGGGAATCCGTGTGTGTATCAGGCATGATCTGTACCCTGAGGGATTGGGAATCCGTGTGTGCATCAGGCATGATCTGTACCCTGAGGGATTGGGAATCCGTGCGTGTATCAGGTGTGATCTGTACCCTGAGGGATCGGGAATCCTAGTGTGTATCAAGTATGATCTGTACCCTGAGGGATTGGGAATCCGTGTGTGCATCAGGCATGATCTGTACCCTGAGGGATTGGGAATCCGTGCGTGTATCAGGTGTGATCTGTACCCTGAGGGATCGGGAATCCTAGTGTGTATCAAGTATGATCTGTACCCTGAGGGATTGGGAATCTGTGTGTGCATCAGGCATGATCTGTACCCTGAGGGATTGGGAATCTGTGTGTGTATCAGGTGTGATCTGTACCCTGAGGGATTGGGAATCAATGCATGTATGAGGCATGATCTGTACCCTGAGAGACTTGGAATCAATGCATGTATCAGGTGTGATCTGTACCCTGAGGGACTGGGAATGAATGCATGTATCAGGTGTGATCTGTACCCTGAGGGATTGGGAATCCATGCGTGTATCAGGTGTGATCTGTACCCTGAGGGATTGGGAATCCATGCGTGTATCAGGTGTGATCTGTACCCTGAGGGACTGGGAATCCGTGCGTGTATCAGGTGTGATCTGTACCCTGAGGGACTGGGAATCCGTGCGTGTATCAGGTGTGATCTGTACCCTGAGGGACTGGGAATCCGTGCGTGTATCAGGTGTGATCTGTACCCTGAGGGACTGGGAATCCGTGCGTGTATCAGGTGTGATCTGTACCCTGAGGGACTGGGAATCCGTGCATGCATCAGGCATGATCTGTACCTTGAGTAAATGATAACCTTTGTATGTACGTAGCAATCTTTACATATATAGATGCTCTTCTTTTCATAAATGAAATAACATTTGTTTTTTAAAAATGACAAGTGATCTTTGTTCAAGCGAAAACAATATCCTCTGTTTTTTTTCACCACTTGTTCATGTTCTTTAGAGAGTTCAAGAGTCGGGCCGGGCGCAGTGGCTCACTCCTGTAATCCCAGCACTTTGGGAGGGCGAGGCTGGTGGATCACCTGAGGTTGGGAGTTCGAGACCAGCATGGCCAACGTGGCGAAAACCCATCTCTACTAAAAATACAAAAATGAGTCACGCATGGTTGCAGATACCTATAATCCCAGCGACTTGCGAGGCTGAGGCAGGAGAATCACTTGAACCTGGGGAGCGGAGGTTGAGGTGAGCCAAGATCACGCCACTGCACTCCAGCCTGGGTGATGGAGTGAGACTCCATCTCAAAAAAAAAAGAGTGGAAGAGCCTTTGTTTTTGGATAGTTGGCCCAGTTTCTCTCAGAGTGTGTTAATCACATTTTTCAATTTCTTGTTCTCATTTCCTTAAGTACCACCTAGTCTTTATAGTAGTTGGCAAGTCACAGCACAGAAGTCAGTTATGAGAACATGCAGATTCTCCTAACAGTTATAGAAGCCCAGGGTTTCTGAGGAGAGAAACCGGAAGTTGCCTGTGCTTCTTCCAAGGTGAGGCCATTTCTGGTCACTGCTGAAAAGCAGTCAAGATACTGAACTGACCTGAACTTGACTGGATTGATTATAATCTTTCTCAAGATTGACAACATGCTCCGCCCCTCCATGGGAGGCCGGGGAAACACTGATGTACCCAATATCATTTTTTTTTTTTACTGCCTCAGAGCCGTGCAGCAATGGCAGGAAGAACAAACAAAAAGCCTCCTTTTGAGAAAGCACATTGTAAACAAAAATAAAATTCTAAGCCCTTCAACCAACTGAACGGACCCTTCCTCTTGGCCAAGGGCATTCCAAAGTTAACCTGATCAACGAGTTCGGGCCATGATGGGAAGGGGTGTTTGGATATGCTTTGTTGTACCCTCCTCCCTGTGGCATCCAGCCCAGCTGACCAGCATTAACATTAAAACAGAGACCTTACGACTGACAAAACACACGCTTTCTAGCAATAAGATACCAACATGACAGAGCAGGCCTTAAAGAAACGGAAGTATTTCTCCCCAAAATATATTTCTTTGACATATTTTGGAATGGTCCTGTAAAGCTGTCTCTTGTGGGGAAAATCTATATTCTGTAGAGAATCCCCTTTCCCTTACCACATCTTTTCCCTGATCCAGGAGAGAATTAACTAAAGTCTGGCACCTTTTTAAGTCTGGTAACAAACATTTACAATCTGTTCTCTCTGAAGCCTGCCACCTGGAGGCCTCGTCTGGATAAGAAGAAGCTTGGTCTCCACAACCCCTTGTCTTAACCCAGACACTCCTTTCTACTGATTCCAGCTCTTTAGATAATAACTGGACTCTTTCAACCAACTGCCAATCAGAAAATCTTCAAATCCACTTCTTCTGCCCCTGCCAATGTGAGTTGTTCTGCCTTTCTGGACTGAACCAACGTGAACCTTACGTGTATTGATCGATGTCTCATGTGTCCCTAAAATGTACAGAACCGAGCTGCAGCCTGACCACCTTAGGCACATGTCCTTAGGACCTCGGGAGACTGTTCCTGGGGCCATGGTCACTCATATTTGGCTCAGAATAACTCTCTTCAAACATTCTATAGCGTTTGACTCTTTTTGTTGATGATAAGATTATCACTATGATCTCGGTGTCATTTCACAATCTCCTTTTGCCTCCTACAGTGCTATCCCATCAGTAAAATAGAACATGCAGACGCTGGCTAAGTTTCACTGTGGCTGGGTAGCAAACTCACTCGCATCACAGTCTCATGGATGAAACACACGTGACTTCTCAGTTTCTCGACAAGTGATCGCATCTCACTCCTGAGCCTGAACCTGCCAGCGCTAGGAATGGGGCAGGACTGCGAATCAAGATTTTGTTCAACCGAATTTATTAATTTAAAATCTCTTCTTCAGTAAGTGCTCCGTTTCCTCAATGCTTGGTTGCCCACATTGCCTCTCTCTCCTCTTTCCACCATTTCTCAGCACAAAGGGAACAGAACAACAGTTTGCTCCCCTCCCATCCATTGCATCCTCCTCCTGCTCTACAGCAGCGGGGGTCTCCTGGCCATGCCCTCCAGGCACAAAGACAGCCCACCTCCCATCCTGGACCAATCGTGTGATCACAGACCTCCAGGCTGAGTTCCGCATATGCTTAAGAGATTCATAAAATTCTCTCTTCTCTCTCTCTCTCTTCCTCACTTTTGCTCACTCTTATTCTTTCACTTATCCTTGCTCTCATCCTCTCTCCAAAGTCTAGCCTGTGGTCTTACTGTCTTGCTGCAGACAGCAACAAAAATCAGGTTTGACTGTCCCAGCATATACCTGTAAACTGGAAGAGCAGGAAGCCACTTTTCCCTTGCAGGGGAGGGAAGACAACCCCCCTGCTCTCTGAAGGTTTGATAACTGAGTCTATGAAATACGCAGACAGTAGGCAGATGAGTGGGAGAAAAGGCAAACACATGTATTATATGCACAGGGGCAGCCCAGGGAAGAAAAGTGAGTGCCCAAACCCAGTGTGGTCTGGAAGCCCACAAACCTCTTCCCAGGGAAAGAGGGGAGGTGCGGGAAGCCTGGGGTGAGAGAATGACCTGGGGGAAGGTGAATGGGTGATGCCTGTGACTGAGTCTGCCTGGATGTCCTGTGGACCCCAAGTCTCTCCTGGATAATCCTCCCAGGTTGATGAGATTCCCAGGGAGGAGATGCATGACAATTGAGCTCCTGTTGGAGAGTTGGGTTTTTAGGCAGATAGGCAGGTTCAGAGAAAGCCCCTCCCTGCATTGCTGCTCCTCCAGTGCCCTCCATTTGAAGCAATCAGTATATTTTGCGGTCGCATTTCCTGAACCCTTTTACTCTTGGAGCACTGCAACCCACAGCTTCAATGACTGGGACACCCAGAGCATGAAGATTTACGGGAAATGGAAAAATATGCCTTCAAGTACATCTCAAAAGACACTGTGCTCATTATGAACCATCTACAATATGAAGGGAGATGAGCATAAGGAGTTTTCTTTTTCCTCCCCTTCCTCCTTCGTGAATAGCCTCAAATTTCATTAAAAAATGTCTGAGAGATGTGTTTATCCAAATGACACAGCTGTAGGAGGGGAGGTCATTAGGAAGAAGTTCCATGGAAAAGAGGAAAATGAAGGTTGATTGTTACCAATAAATTAGAGTAATTTTCTTAATTTGCGGTCCCTTTGCTTGCTTGTTCATTGCTGGCGTGCCTTATGAAATATGAAAATCTGACAATTAGTCACTTGGAAGGAGCATGTCTCCACGCCAAGTCCAGGTCTCTCTGCAGCACCAGGGGATTTACTGTTCTCCCTGGGTAGCCAGAAAAGAGCTGAGCAGCCCTCATCTTTGTTCCCACTGGCAGCCTGAGAGGCAGCCTGCAGCAGCCTCCTGCTGTGACCTTTGGGGTGGGGCTGGGAGACAGCGTCTTCATGACTGACCCCATGTCAATCCCTTACTGGCAAAGGAAGAGGGAAGGCGTACAGGGGCTCTGGAGCCAAGGGAGGGGGGACACCAACAGAACGAGCAAGTCAAACACACACAGCATTACATTCTTCTCGTGCTAAACCCAAGAAAAATCTCCCAGCTCTCACAATGCTCCTTGCTAATCTCCCTTTCTGGCTATTATTCAGCTACTGTGAATCCTTCTCAAGCTTCCAGCTTCCTTTTAGCTGTAGAAAGAGAATGAAAAAAATGTACCCTAAGACCTTGGATTTTTTTTTTCTTCCTTTTCTGTTGCCAGTGAATCTGTTTGAAAAGCAGCTGGCGCAGGCTGCAGCATTATGTGCCAGCGCTAATGGAGACACTCCAGGCACAGCCAAACATGGGCTTCGTGCAGGCGTGCACTCCCAGGAGGGTGACCTGCCAGTGACACGTTTCAGACATGCACTCCCGGGAGGGTGACCTGCCAGTGACACATGTTTCAGACCCAAAGAGGGAGTTTGGAACATTGAAACTATTTCCCCTCTTTATTTTTTTTGGAAGGTCACATACATTTTAATAGTTCCATGATCAAAATTGCTGCTTCCAAGCAAGTTAACTAGAGCAGACCTCATCTCATCCCCTCCCCGCATTTCCTTTTGGGAAATTCAGGAAGTTGAGTATAAACATGTCTGGACATCTAAGTATTTATTTTTCCATAGAAAGGGCAGTCTTGCTTTTGTTTTGTTCTTAACCAGTTCTTAAAGGGCCTGATCATTTATTCAGCAATATGTATCAAGTGCCAACCATATACTAAACACTGTGGTTTAGAGTGAGGATACCCCAAGGACGAGGTGGACAAAGTGCAAAGCGTGAGTGTTACTGGCAAAACCAAACTCTGTAAAACAGCTGAAGAGGTTTATTCTGCACCAATATGAGTGGCCATGACTCAGAGAACAGTCTCAAGGGGTCCTGACAGAGGCTGTCTGAGGTGGTCGGGTTATGGCTTGGTTTTATAGATTTTAGGGAGAAAGAAGTTACAGACAAAGACATAAATCAGTACATGTACAGTGTACATTGGTTCTGCCTGGAAAGGTGGGATATCTCAAAGGTGAGAAGTGGGGGGCTTATAAGTCATAAGTAGATTCAAAGATTTTCTGATTGGCAATTGTTTGAAACAGTTAAGCTTTGTCTAAAGGCTTGAAGTTGGTAGAAAGAAATGCTTGGGTTCACATAAGGGGAGTTGTGGAAGGCAAGGTCCTTGTTATGTAGATGAAGCCTCCAGGTAGCAGCCTTCAGAGAGAATAGATACTGAATGTCTCTTTTCAGAACTTAACAGGTGTCGGACTCTGTTTTTTTTTTTTTTTTTTTTGAGACAGAGTCTCATTCTGTCACCCAGGCTGGAGCGCAGTGGCGCAATCTTGGCTCACCGCAAGCTCCACCTCCCAGGTTCACGCCATTCTCCTGCCTCAGCCTCCTGAGTAGCTGGGACTACAGGCACCGCCACCATGTCCGGCTAGTTTTTTGTATTTTTAGTAGAGACGGGGTTTCACTGTGTTAGCCAGGATGGTCTTGATATCCTGACCTTGTAATCCGCCTGCCTCAGCCTCCCAAAGTGCTGGGATTACAGGCGTAAGCCACCACGCCCAGCCAGGTGTCAGACTCTTAGTTAATCTCTCCTAGATCGGGAAAGGCCAGGCTGCATGAATGAAGATTCTCTACAAACTTCCTCCATGAAAGATGGCTTTGCAGGGCCATTTCAAAATATGTCAATGAAATATATTTTAAGGTAAAATACACTTGATTTCCTTCAGAGAGTGCTATCTGTCATATGATGCTATACCAGAGTCAGGTTGGAATTTGTTATCTTATTGCCATGGAGTCTGTTTTGTCAGTGTTATGATCTCTGTTTTCATGTTAATGCTGGTCAGTTGTACCTAAACTCCAAAGGGAGGGGGCATAGCGAGGTGTGTCTGACATCCCTTCCCATTGTGGTGGGGAATTCAGTTTTTCAGGCCTCTCTGGTGTATTAGTTTGTTTTGCATTGCTATAAAGGGATACCTGAGACCAGATAATTTATAAAGACAAGTTTACTTTGGCTTACAGTTCTGTAGGCTGTATAGGAAGTGTCTTGCCAGCATCTGCTTCTTGTGAGGCCTTAGGAAGCTTCCAATCATGGTGGAAGACTCAGGGGGAGCCAGCGTATCACAAGGCAAGAGAGGGAGCAAGAGAAAGAGCAGTGAGGTGAAACTGCTTTTGGAAAGATGATGACAGTGAGAGAAATCTGACATAGGTGACTCCATCTTGCTTCCGACCTCCAAGCTGTCCTTGGTCATTCCTGGATGTAAGCCAAGCTAACCTTGGGAAAAATTTAGTTTATAGTTTAACCTTAAGACAAGGATGATAACAGCCCTTCCCAGAACTGAACCACCTTTCTAGAACCAATGAAAGACCTCATGGTTAGGATTATGGGAGGGGCCTGAACCTGCTAAGAGACAGGTGTTGTTCCTACAATCCCTAACTACTCAGGGGTCACGTGGCCAGGGGTCACAAGATTTGAGACCTTCTCAATTGCTCCTATGGATGACATCACTACTGTAGAACCTAAGATGGGTTTTCTGAGATGTGTTTCAGACACACCCCACCTGGACTCCTGACTCCTGACTCACCTGATCCTGTGGCTCCACCCAGCAGCTGACTCAGAGCACGGGGATTGTTTCTGCACCCTGTGATTTCATCCCCAACCAATCGGCAGCGCCCATTCCCTAACTCCCCGCCCACCAAATTGTCATAAAGACTCTAACCTCTGAGCCTTCAGAGAGACCAATTTGAATGATAGCTCCAGTTCTCCCATGTGGTCCGGCTTCGTGTCAGTTAAACTCTTTCTGTACTGCAATGCTGTGGTCTCAGTGGATTGATTTTGTCTGTGCAGCCAGCAAGAAGAAACTGTCTGGCAATCACAGAGGTGCCGGGTTATTTTAGACAACCAGCTCTCCCATGAACTGATACAGCAAGAACTCACTCATTACCATGAGGATGGCACCAAGCCATTCATGAGGGATACATCCCATGACCCAAACACCTCTCACCAGGCCCCACCTGCAACATTGGGGATTACATCAGCATGAGATTTGGAGGGGACACACATCCAAACCATATCATTTGAGGTCTCCTTGGCTCAGAAGGGATCCATTCAGTCGGTTGAGGGCTTAGAGTTTTAGTTTTTGTTTACACGAGGCATGAGCGGAACTTATAAATGAATGGGGCAGAGGAGGACATTAAATAAGTAAAAATAAACCACCATTATGTGTATTTTGTTTTGTTGTAACTGCTGTGGCACTGTAAAGGAAATGAACAGGGCCTCTGACGTAATGGTATTTAGTGGGATGAGAGGTGCAGTAGAAATTATGGACTGGCTTTTCAGCTCCTGTTCCAACCCATTTATGGAATCACTTTCTGAACTACAGCTAGAATGCCTGTTTGAACTGCAGAGGCAGAGAAGAAAGAGAAGAAAGAAAGGACAAGAGAGATGAAAGGGAAGGAAGGAAGGGAGGGAGGGAGGGAAGGAAAGAAAGATGGATGAAAATTACACTTCCCAGCCTCTTGTAGCTAAGGTCTGACTGCCCCCCATCCCCTGCTTTGTGAGTCTTAGGTGAAGAAAATGAACAGCATAGCTCTCTGCAGTGGCTGTATCATAGCCAATGAGGTTTATCCAAGGCATGATTATTGCTAATTGAAAATGAGCAGCGCAAGGCAGTGGACCTTGTGAGGAGTTGAGATATTTTCACACACCTGGTGACAGAAGCACTAGATTCTTCTAGACACCTCCGCCAAAGCACTTTGCCTGTTCTCTGGGCTTGTAGGGGCTGAGAGGAAGGTGGTGATAGTGAGCTTTCCACAAAGTGGTGTCACTTTGCCCAGCAGCTATTCCTCCTGCTTGCAAAGCTTCCCAGCTCCCTTCCCCATGGTAACCGCCTTCGCTTTGCATCCATCACAGGATCTTGCACCTGAGTATTTTCCAGGTCTTCCCCCAAGGACAAACAGCGCTTTTGCTTCTTCCCCTCCCCTGAAGCAGTATCTGTGTCAGGGACAGTAGCTGGATTGTCCTTCCCTGTCCAGATCTTCCTCAGGAGCACACAGTGGAGATGGTGGAAAGAGCTAACACTAGGTGAATGCAGGTTCTCCTTGTGTCTCAGGCCCACCGGGGCTTTCTCAACCATCTAGCACACAAGCTCACACTCAGACTTTAAGAATTTGCTACATTCTGGCTGGGTTTTTTGTTTTGTTTTTGTTTGTTTTGTTTCGTTTTGCTTTTTTTGTTTTTGAGACGGACTCTCACTCTGTCGCCCCCCGGACTGAAGTGCAGCGGCGTGATCTCGGCTCATGCAACCTCCGCCTCCCGGGTTCAAGCGATTCTCCTGCCTCAGCCTCCCGAGTAGCTGGGATTACAGGCGCCTGTCACTATGCCTAGCTAATTTTTGTATTTTTAGTAGAGATGGGGTTTCACCATGTTGGCCAGGCTGGTCTCGAACTCCTGACCTTGTGATTCGCCTGCCTCGGCCTCCCAAAGTGCTGGGATTACAGGCGTTAGCCACCGCACCCGGCCCATCCTGGCTGTTTTCTTCCAACCTGCTTTTACGGCTGCTCCATCCACCCTCCTCTCACACTCTGCCAAGGGTGAAACCATCTGTGCGGCCCGATTCTCCCCGAGGGACCTGTCACTCCTCAGAACTGACTTCACTTGCTTGCCTTGCAACCTCAGCTTTCTGAAGTGCTCAAGAAAAGTTGGCACTGTGAAGATCACATGGCTTTTCCTCCTTGCTAAGGTGGGAGTGACATCTTTGTAAAGCCATCTACATATGAAGTGAAAACAGGATTCCCTGTTTCTGTTTCAAGATCCCACATGGGTGGTCTGAAGTTTAGTTCCCTCCCAGCAAGGGATCAACAGCATCCATGCTGCCAAAAGCTTCAGAAATGAACTCTGTGTTAACTCCGCGCATCTTTGAAGGGCCTACTATTTGCACATCACTCTACGAAGAGCTGAGATACTGAGATGAATGAGGCACAATCCTTGTCTTACCCTCGCTCACAATCCTGGGGGAGGCAAGGCACAGAAACGAGCGTCATAGAGTCATGAGTGCCGCCCCGAGAGTGGGAGAAACACGGTGGGAACGTGCATCTGAATAAGTAGCAGGCAGGGGCATGAGGAGGCAGAGTTATTTGAGTTGCTTCTTGAATTTTGTGTAAGTTTTCTATACTGAGACAGTAAAGAGGCATTCACAGAAAAGTGTTCCTTCTATTTCTCATTCTCTGATACACAGTTCCATTTCCTGGAAGAGTTTGCCTGGATCAGAACTCTCTAGATCCCATAGGCTGACCTGGTCTTAGCCACAGTGAACTCTGTGTCTGCGTCCTGCAGGTGAACCCAGCATTTCGCAAGGTCAGCGGGTTCTGCGGTGGCAGTATTAATAATAGAAACTTCGCTGCATTTGAATAAAATCAGTATTTTTTTCTTTAAAAAGCTTGATGCCAATATCTAATCTGCTTTCTTTCATATTTGTCCTCTCAATATTTATTTTTATTTTATTTTTTTTTTTTATTTTTTGTTTGTTTTGTTTTTTGGAGACAGGGTCTCACTCGGCCCTAGGCTGCAGCTGGAGTGCAGTGGCGTGATCTCGGCTCACTGCGACCTCTGCCTCCTGGGTTCAAGCAATTCTCCTGCCTCAGCCTCCCGAGTCGCTGAGATTACAGGTGCCTGCCACCATGATTAATTTTTGTATTTTTACTAGAGATAGGGTTTCACCATGTTGGCCAGGCTGCTCTCAAACTCCTGACCTCAAGTGATCTACCTGCGTCGGCCTCCCAAAGTGCTGGGATTACAGGCATGAGCCACCACGCCCCACCTGTCCTCTCAATATTTGTATTAACCTCTATATTTGTTGTCCCTGGAGGGGTGGATGTCTGGATATTAGTTTATTTGTTGGAACCACTGGGGTGTATTTCAGCACTGGTCTGGAAAGAATGGAGAGGCTTCACCGCTGCCAAAGCTCTCCTGGTTCGGCCTCACCTGGACGGTCGACTACATCGGTGCCGAGACAGGAACGGTGCAGCCCAAACAAGGACTCACTACAGTCAGACGCCCACGGGAACAGGGCTCATCAGCCAAAATCTAGTCGTTTTGTGAAAGGTGAGCCTGCGGCACGTTGAATGTAGAGAAGAGTTTTAGCAGAAGGTGTCAAGTCCCAGGCGTTGGAGTCTGGGGATCAGTCTGTGAACAAACCCAGGCTCAGAATCTGGTGAGAGGGGCAGAACAGGAGCAGGAGCCAGGACGGGAGCTGGGTGCCCAGCTGGGCCAGGGTGGGCAGAGTCCAGCCCCGCTGTCCCCTTCACCACCACTGGAGCATCGTTTCAGAAAGCCGTGCACGTCATCCACACAAACACACACAGACCACAGCTTTAAAAGCGGAGCCATACTGAACAAAAAGAGCACAGTCAGTGTGCACGGCAGTCCACACGCATGGTGCAGTGGGATTTACTTTAATGTATTAAACGTGGTAACAATACACACTGGATGGCAACTGTCGGAATAGATATAAAACATGTATGTTACAGGCACAAACCTTGTGATTTTAAGAACTAGAGAAAGATTTTTCAGCAATTGAGAAGTTTCCCTTTTTGTGACCTACTAACTAATGAAACAGGTTGACAAAGAGAGTATCGGACTATAAAAAAGGAGGAAAGACGGATCTTGTAGGAAATTCTGCAGTTTGGTCCCACGTAGGCTGACACACCAATGTTCTCCTGCCTTGATATTTAAGGGTCCCCCTGGGCCGGGGTCAGTGTGTGAGCCCTGCCCTGTACAATTCAATTCTGTTTGCAAACTAAACTGCTGGCCCGTTTGTGGTTGCCTTGGCACTCCTACTTAAGTCTTTTGCTGTTAATATTTTGAAATTTTGAATAAGTATGAAGGTAAAATAGTTGTCAACATTTGCCGGATATGATCTGTTTATATTATTTTATTTATTTTATTTGTTTTGAGACTGAGTCTCGCTCTGTTGCCCAGGCTGGAGTGCAGTGGCCTGATCTTGGCTCACTGCTCCCTCCGCCTTGTGGGTTCAAGTGATTCTCATGCCTCAGCCTCCTGAGTAGCTGGGATTACAGGCTCCCACCATCATGCTCCACTAACTTTTTTTTTTGCTGTATTTTTAGTAGAGACGGGGTTTCATCATGTTAGCCAGGTTGGTCTCAAACTCTTGACCTCAACTGATCTGGTGCCTCGGCCTCCCAAAGTGCTGGGATTACAGACATGAGCCATCGCGCCTGGCCACCAGGTATGATCTTAACTATTTTAAAGGTCATTATAAAAGAACTTTCCTTAAAAATCACTTTAAGCAAATGTTTCCTTATTAGAAGTGTTCCTTTGCATCCCATTTCCCTACTGAAGCATATGAAAAGGCATTTTCTCTTGTTTTGTTTCTGAATCTGATATTTCATTGAGAATATTTTTCTTGCAAGGGTGAGAAAAGTCACTACTCTGTTGTATAATTTGAAGCCAAGTATTACCATCCAATTTTTATCCTAACAGAGCAAAAAATTCAGCCATCTAAGTATTTATGATCATCCCCTTCTCAGTATTTTAATAGCTTGAAAGCAATTTTAAGCAAATTGGTGGTGGTATCTGGTAGCAAATATAACCTTCTCCAACGTAGGGCCCACACTCCCCATCATCCATTTCTGTCTGTACCAAACACACGCATGCTTATGGTAATGGTTGTGCAGAGGCGGCTGTCCTGTGTGGCTGCTCTGGAAATGTGGGTTATACCATCCTTGAAGAGAATCCCTGTGGGTGAATTATAAGAGGTTGAAGACACATATTGTCCAGAGTTTAAAGTCACAAAAAAATAAAGCATTTTCTTCGTGGTAAGACTTATCGGTAGGGCTAGAAAGGACGTAATTACATAGAATATAAATTATGTTTTCATTGCATGTATATAAATGGTGATGTTATATATCTAGGTAAAAATCCTGAAACATAGAAGTGAATTAAAGAAGTGTTTTAAATAACAGATAAATGTGCATTTTCCTCAATAATAACTCATTTATTCAGTTTTATACTTTTACATTGTTTTATGCTTTTATTTGATTCTCATCATAAGTCTATGAGGTGGACAAGGAGATATTGTTTGCTCATTTAGCTGATGACAAATTACATGCATATTTAATCAAGATAGAAAAATCTTGATTCTCCCTTGGCAAAGCTGAACTAAGGATAGATTAAATACATGCTGCACTGCCCCAAAGACCAGATAAAACCCTGCAGCTGTCATTACCCAGACAAGGGAGGCAAAGCCAGGATGATTCTGCCCTGGATTTTGTGAACTGTGTCAATCCATTCCCTTTGCTTTGGGAGTGGTATATTGCTCTGGGAATCACTGACAATATGGGAGGAGAAATAAAAACAAGCTTCTTGATTTCCAGTTCTGATCTCTGAGCGCTAGAGGACAGTATTGTTCTCTGCACAGCGCGCGGAGAACCCGTTCTAGGAGAAGTGATGGGACCCCCGCAGTCAGTATACCCCACACCTTCCCAGGCTGGGCCTGGGCCATACGGATCAGGGATGGGATGTGGCTTTGCATCTCCAGTTCCAGATGGCATCTCGTTCCCCAGCCCTGTGCATTCACAGAGCTTTGGCCTCTGTACTGAGTAGCGTGGGATGTATGAGGGGAAAGAGACAGTCTGTTCATTTACATGTTCTGCGTTGGGGTTTCATTACGTCTTTTAGCCCTTGAAACCTCTTCCTAAGTGATAAGCTATCAATGAGTGATTGTTATCATAGGCTCAGAGATTTTTCAGCCTGATTTATTTAAACTCTAGAGAAAGGAAAACAGGAGATGATGGCTTTGATCATGCTATTTGCTATTCTGAAAATTACAAAGGGAGGGGAGAGAGAGAAAAAAAATCTCTGCTCCCCTAATGAACTACTATATAAAAACTGCTATATAAGAAGATACGCGGTGCGATCCCCAGTGTAACGTACTTCACTGATGTTCAACATGCTTCCGTGGGCGTGTGTGGGTGGAAAGATGTTTCTTGTTACTGCCAAACAATCCAGTGTTTCTAGAGATAAAAACAGCCTGTAAAAGTTTTCTACTGTGGAGAATGACAGGCTTTGTGGCCTATGTGATATGTGCTCTCTATAGTCCAGATGAAGACAGTAACTACTGATCTGTGAAACCTCTGCAACACAACGGGGCTGCTCACGGCCACACGCCTGGCCTCACAGGTGACGCCTTCGCCCTCCTCTGGGTTCCCTGTTTCTCCCTCCTCCGAACTGAGCATCTGTCTTCTTCTGACAAGTACTTTCTGCTACCTTGTGCTTCAAGTCAATTTCTAGAGACACCAGATAGATTTCAATTCTGTAAAGATTTACTACGAATCACACAGTGCTGGACGACGTGCTAACACATATTCACATATGATGCTGGCTCCAGAGCTCAGTAAGCTGAGCACCTCCAACATCCCCCTCACAGCCATGGCCTGTCCTGCAGGTGCTGGTTTCTGCTGCAGACACAGGCTCTCCAGGCAGCCCTGTGCTCTTTGCAGCTATTCCTGGAAGCCTTGGGACGTCTCACCGATGCCCTCCATGTTCGGTTCTGCACACCTGCCCTTCTACGAGTCTCTTCTCTCAACGCCTCCTTACCCGGTTGCTGTCCATATTGCAGAAGAGGGCAGGGCCCAGGGAGCTGAATCCCGGCAAGTCCACGCTGCTGAGCTCCCAAGACCTTCAGTAAAGTAGGATTGTCTCTTTCACACCTAGCCCTGCATCCACCGCCATCGACCCAGGGTAAGGACCAGCACATGAAGGCCAAACTCCTTCCCTCGTTTCCCTTTACACCCATGTCTGCCTGTGAGAAGCCCTGGCTCATTCTCCTTCAGCCACAGGCCTCAGGAAGTCTCCTCCCTAGCGGTTGTCTCAGGCACTCTGGGTTCCAGCATGGCCTACGTGAAGCCTTCCTTAAAAGTGACAGCGCAGGACGTCCCCACTCAGGAAGCTCACACTCACGACTGTGCCTCTTCCTACACTCAGTAGAGTAAACTGTTTACAGTAGATGCTGACCAAGTGTTAGGTGAGAGTGGTGACGATGAGTGTGGAAATCTGCCTTAATTTTATGAGTTACCAACCTGTCATTGACTTCATGTTCATTCTGGCAAGAGCTAAGAGAGATACTATTGAGTATTTTAACACAGACTTCACTTGCTTGGGTGAACTGTAGACAGAATCCATCTTTAATGACCTATTTCTGTTACTGAACTGAACTGGTGTCTGCTCTCCTGTGGGGTGAGGCCAAACATCCACACCGTGGTTTGCAGCAGGGGAAAGCAAGGTGTTTATTTGCAGGATGCCAAGGAAAGAGAATTGGGCAGCTTACAATTGAGACCTGACCTCTCGGTGGCTTACAGGTAGGAGATTTTAAATCTGGAGAAGCAGAGATTGCAGGCAAAGAAGTCAATTAATATATTGAGGCTCTATATTGGTTTGGCCTAAAAAAGTAGGGTGTCATGAAGCAGGGTTCCACAGGTCACAGGTGGATTCAAAGATGTTGGGGTTTGCAATTGGGTAAGGAGGTGAAGCTTTATCTAAATACCCCATGACTTTACCAAACACCCCATGACTTCAACTCCCTTGGTTATTGTTTTAAGCTACTATTACCTTCTTGCTGGTCAAGTTGCTCATTTACTCTTCAGGGATAGCTGGGTGCCTGGAATTCCCCTTGAAGAAATTCAAGATTTTTCTTTCATGCTTGAGGGACTTGCAGGCCCCTAAGAGGGATCCCTGCTCTGTCTCATTTCTAATGGTTTGTTGTTAGGAAACCTCTCTAATGAGACCATGAAGTTCTTGAGGTGAAGGCACTGATCTTATATCTCTCCTTTTTTTATCTTATTGTTGTTACACACACTCTCCATAAACTCCATTTTGAGAAACCCAGGTTTCAGCTGCCACTGCTTGTGTTTCTTGCTCAATCCCTCTTGTGTCCATCTCCAACAATCCTCTCTCAGAGACATCCTTCAAATCTTTGCTAAAATGTCACCTTCACAAAGACCTTTTCTTACTGTCTTATTTAAAGTGGCAGGCCTCCTCTCCCCCATCGTGGCATCATTTTACCCCCTGGCTTTTATCACCACCTGACATGCCATATATTTTCACCTTGTTTATTGCCAGCACCCGCCTACCCCACTACAAAATAAGCTCCATGAGGGAGCTTTGTCTATTTAGTCCACTACTGTATCCTCAATGTCTGCAAAAGTGTCTAGCACATAATCAACACTTCATAAACAGGTGTTGAATAAATAAATCCATCAAGCATTTCACACAGCATTTTCCCCAAAGCAGGCAGTTAGGAAATATTTATTTGAGCTAACACAGCTATGTTTTCATCAGTTCAGGAAAGTGGAAGGTCAAGGGTCACTTATAGAAGGTGCCACCAGAGCCTAGGGTAGCTCACCAACTGTTAAAATCTCCAGAGAAGGGATAAATGCAATCTTGGGGGGTAGCAAAACAAGCAAAGAATGTTTTGATATGAAGTCCTTTGGAATTGGAATTATGGAAGGCCCTGGAACTAGCTGAGCTTCTAGGATGATTAGTGGAGGATTTCAAAACCATTTGCACTGCAGTTCTCTTTTGGTGGTGTCAGGCTTCCAAACCAAAGACATGTCTAGAAATGCAGGACAGCATATCACGGGGACCTCTGTAACAGCAACAAAACCCCATGGATAGCATGTGACGTCATGGTAACAAAGCTTCATGCTACAAAACACAGAGAGATAGAGGGTGTTTAGTGGGATAACACTTTGCAATAGTAACCGTTCTTGATATTTCCTTTTTTTTTTTTTTTCCCACCTGGGAGACTAGATATGAATTTTCCATTGCCCAAGTGTTATTTGACACTGCAGAATGCATGTGTCTAACCATGTCTTTTTATTTTATGTATATTTATGGTTTGACATTGGAGTCTGGCTGAGCCTGGGGGGACTGGCAGTCAGTTAGCTTACTACTGTCTCTAGTTAGCCGATTCCTAGAGACAGTGAAGGACCCCCGCCTCCAGAGAGAGCCTTTCAAATGCACATGAACCAATCCAAAGCCCATGCCCCTAACCACGTCCTCTACTGGGGATCTCAAATTCAACATGATTCCCCCTGCCCTGATCACCCCAAACCAGGTACCAGACAGTTAGGGACAGGCCCTATGCCCAGAGTCTGCTGAAATTATTCAAGCTCTCCACCCTGAGCCTGCTCACCCTGCCTTGCCTGCTCCTTCCCATGGAATCCTCTCCCCAGCATTCTCCCCCTGCTCACTCTGCCTCCTGCCTGACCCGGGTGCTACCCGTGTGGCCACACACTGTAGGCGCTCACTCCTCTTGGCATCTGTGAGCATCAGACTTTTTTTTCAATGGTAGTCATCTCCTATCTACTGGTCTTGCCCTATCAAAATTATAACAAAACCTGTGCTTTAAAACAGTATAGGGAAGAAAAGAAGTTAATTCTTGGCATTTCAGGGCCTCTGTAGCTGCGGTACTGGCATATGAACAAACAACTACATTAACAACAAAAAAGATTGGAAAGGATGCACATTCTAAAATTTGGAGAAGAGGAAAGAAGAAGAGAGATGTGGAGGTCATAGGGCGGGCCCCAAAACTGACCTATTCATGCCCCTCTGCTCCCTTCCCCAGGGCTCAGCTTGAAGGAAGAGGTCAGGGTGCTGAACGATGGCCTGAGACACCCTAATAACCAACACAACCAACACCCCTTCTCTCTGCAGGTTCTCTCTGCAGCTCTAGCACCTGGCATCCTCAGACATCTTCTTAATACTCACGCAAGTTCTACAGATGAGAAAATGAGGCTTCAAAAGATGAAGACCACACGATGACTGAATGGATGGTGCTGAGTTATAATAGCAGTATCTGTCATGTATGGGTTGCTTCCTATGGGATAAGCACAATGATGCCATTTCATTTTATCCACTCAATGGCATACACTGGGATAGCATAACAATAGAACACATGGGACTCTGAATTCTGCAGGCTAGGTTTAATTCTGTTTCTGCTACATAATAGCAAAAGAGTTCATCTTGATTCTGCTACATAATAGCAAAACAGTTCATCTTGATTCTGCTACATAATAGCAAAACAGTTCATCTTGCTTTAAGTCATAAGTCACGGCTCCGAAAAGGACACCCCAAGTATGGCCTTGACCTGCTGAGGACTTTGAACTAAAGGGCATTGGAAAGCCTCAGAAGCAGCCTCAGAACCAAGTCTCTGACCTTCTCCTGCCCTCCTGTCTCTCGCCCCTCATTCCCCCAAGAAGTGAGTCATAGAAACCAGAAATCCTCTTCCCTAAAGCAGGTCACGGAAACTAGAATCTCTTTCCCCAAAGCCAGCCATTAGAAACTAGAATCACTACTGGAACTTTCCCTGCCTTTCTGAGTAAGAGCTGGCCATAAAGAAGTTCTCTGACTTACTTTCCTGAAAGTAGGTTATAAGACCCTCATTCCAGAAGGGGCCCTGCCCTACACGCAGGAAGAAGGAACGCCACACAGGGAGGCCAAGAGGAACCCAGACAGGCCCAGCTGGGTCCCCCTCTGTCTGTCACTGTCCCATCGCTCCCTCTGTGTCCAGTCACAGCTCCGCAGGGCTACCACTCTTCATCAAATCTAAGCATAGAAATGGGCAGTTTTCCCTTGGTTCTTTGGGTCTTCATTTCCTAAGGCTCCCATGTTATGTAAAACTTTGATTAAACAAATCTGTGTGCTTTTCTCTTGTTAACCTGTCTTTTGTTACAGGAGAATCGGCAGTGGCCCCTTAGCATGGTGGCACACGTCTGTAATCCCAGGTACTTGGGAGGCTGAGGCACGAGAATCACTAGAACCTAGAAGGAGGATGTTGCAGTGAGCTGAGATTGCACCACTGCACTCCAGCCTGGGCAACAGAGCAAGACTCCCATCTCAAAAAAAAAATTAAATTAAATAAAAATTAAAAAAAATTAAAACTTAGGCCTGGTGCGGTGGCTCATACCTGTAATCCCAGCACTTTGGGAGACTGAGGCAGGCAGATCATGAGGTCAGGAGTTCAAGACCAGCCTGGCCAACATGGTGAAACCCCGTTTCTACTAAAAATACAAAATTAGCGGGATGTGGTGGTGCATGCCTGTAATCCCAGCTACTCAAGAGGCTGAGGTAGGAGAATCGCTTGAACCTGGGAAGTGGAGGCTTCAGGCAGCCGAGATCGTGCCACTGCACTCCAGCCTGGGGGACAGAGCGAGGCTCCATCTCAAAAAAAAAAAAAAAATTAAAACTTAAGTAAAAATATAAATGAATTGAACCAGGAAAGTTCTTGCTGTGAATGTGACATTTTGCCATTTTTTTATTTCTTATCCCTTCTCTTTTACAAATTTCCCTAGATTTTGAGGGTAAAATTATCTCACTGTAGTCATATTTCTGTCTTCATGTTTTACTCACCTCCAGAGTATGTATCGCTTTCCAACGTGTGGCACATCGTCTTTTATATTTTTAGTTTTGTATTCTTTGTCTCCTCTCTCTGGAATGCAAGTGCCTGCGGGCAGGGCTAGCTGTCGTTTGATTCACTGCTGTCACATTGGAGTGGAGAAGTGCCCAGGATGCAGGAGATACTCAGTAAACGCTACTGACTGAGTAACTGTGAGAAAGAAGAATTCTATAGTGGAATTAACAGAGCTGTTCCCGATTAGTGATTGAAACAGGACTATGTGTGATCTGAGAGGACAGAGACGAGGAGATGGGACCGAGACTGAGTCACACAGTTCCCGCACTGGCCATTCTGTGGCTCCCTTAGCCCAGGGTAAGCAGGTTGAATCCAAGGAGGAGAAAGGGTGACATCCATTTAACATGGGCGGTGAGATCGCATGCAGAGGCAGAGAGGAAAGACACAAACTCACAGAACAACTGGCTTCCAAGCATTGCTTTTTCTGACACTTCCATGAATTCAATGCAACATTAATAACTGTCATCCCTACTGTGATGGATCAAACTTCAAATAATAGGACACATGCGCTGACCAAATTATATATCTGGGAAATAGTGGGTTTAGAACTTTCTCAGGCCGGGTGCAGTGGCTTATGTCTGCAATCCCAGCACTTTGGGAGGCCAAGGCGGGTGGATCACCTGAGGTCAGGAGTTCGAAACCAAC
Source organism: Homo sapiens (assembly GCF_000001405.40). NCBI lineage: Eukaryota > Metazoa > Chordata > Mammalia > Primates > Hominidae > Homo > Homo sapiens. Next base: position 186,015,040 of record NC_000004.12, on the reverse strand, counting down.
CTGGCCAACATGGTGAAATGCTGTCTCTACTAAAAAATACAAAAAATTAGCCAGGCGTGGTGGTGGGCACCTGTAATCCCAGCTACTCGGGAGGCTGAGGCAGGAGAATCGCTTGAACCCAGGAGGCGGAGGTTGCAGTGAGCCGAGATCGCATCACTGCACTCCAGCCTGGGCAACAGGAAACTCCATCTCTTAAAAAAAACAAAACAAAACGAAACAAAAAAAACTTTTCAAAGAAATCTCTTATCATTTGAATATCATGACATTTCCTTATTAATAATTGAAGAGCAAAAATTCTAGGTATTTTATGAGTTTAAATAATGTGCTCTCAAATTTTTATTGACTGAGTGCTCTGTTCTGTATTTCCAATTAGGGTAGAATTGTGCATCTGATTATGATCAGTGATCAATGATACATTTCATAAAATCGGTGGCACCCAGTGTTGGGAGGGTCCCATATATCATTTCATCTGTTCCTTATGTCTTTGGGTACAATAAAAAATCGAGTAAAAGGGTTGTGTGTGTGTAAGAAGAAAATAAAATATTTATTAGGTCTTCTTTTATTTTAAATCTTTAATCAAATCCACAGCCATCCAAACTAGCATATTCTATGTCCCTAGATTCTCAGAAATAAATCTGAGGAAAGCAAAACAAAATTAAAGAACATCAAGTTCTTACATTTGATCAGTTGGTTGAATTCACATGAATATTTACATGTGGCATTGGAATGAACTAGTGAGGAAGGTGTTGGTTAATCTATGTGGAATCCATATGAATTTTGTAGATCATTAAAATAATAGTGGAAATAACAGAGGGCCTTAAACCTTGAAGAGATAGTGCATCCTTTTCACAAACTCTGTTAAAAGCACCGTCTGTCCCTTTTAGTACGGCAAGCGATTGCAGAAAACAGTAGGGAAACACAAGGTAAATCAGTTTTCTTTGTTGTTCGAGATTATTTTCTGAAAGTGTTTAAGCTGGTTTCCTTTAATAAAGAAAATCTCATGCTAAAAAATGTAAGCATTTGGCATGTCTTTCACAGAGGGCTTGGAAAACAAGTCCCCTCTATATCATACACCTGGAGTGTTTAATCCCAAATTTGTTAATGTATAGACTTGATGATTTAAATGATAAAACTGCAGACCTTCTTACGGAATTGAATTCATTGAATTCTTTCTAAAACATCCCACAGGAGGCACTCATTTAACTCTGACTCCTTTCTTTGCATTTACAGCCTGGAGAGTTAAACAGCAAAACCTGGATGGGAAAACCAGGGTTCCCAACTGCGAAATTTAGGAAGTAACAAGTCATCATCTTCTGCAAAGTGAGAGGGAAATTTTCAGAAAGCATTAAACAGTGACTTTCTTCTCATCACAACTTAGGGCCATTGCCAGATGTTTGTGCCTGGCCACAGTTCACGTGGGGAGGAGACAATTCTGGCTGACTAGCCACTGTGGGAGGCATTCATCCTGTAGATGTTCTGGAGGGTGACAGATCTTCAGTTTCAGCATCACACATAACCGGCTAGAGGCAAATTTGTAAGGAGACATTCACTGCTTGAGATGTGACTTACTATCTGTAGACAGAGAAACCAGATTTTTCTATAGCTGTAATAAATGCCCTTTATCAAGAAAGTGGCTAGCCCATTATAAACTCATTGGAAGAGACAAAGAATTTTTAAAAAGAGAAACATGAAGAAAAAAATATATAGGTCAGAAATATAGGGTCAGAAATATCATCCCAGATACTGTGTTCACCAGTTCCCAGAGACGGGGGATTTTGGTCAATGCCAGAAACAAATTCATGTAACTTGTAGCTTGGTTGTGTGTGTTTACACAAGTGCAAGAGGTGACTCCAGTGTCGCTGTGTGGGCTGGTTCCATTTTCCCATCATTAGACTTCTCGTGGTTGCGGAAGAGACGGGTGAACTTGGTGTCCCACGTCTTCGGCTTGGGGGCAGCTTCCACTGTGATATTTTGCTTCCCATGTCCCCAGAGTGTGAACCTGTCCTCACTTTCCCATGGGACGGTGGCCACGCTTGTGTGTGTGTGTGTGTGTGTGTGTGTGTGTGTGTGTACGTATGTTCCTCCTGGTCACCTTACAAGCCTGAAAAACAGATAGGGTCACACTAACAGTGATGACAGTGCTGTCACTGGCACAGGACACGAGCATCCTGCCAAATTCTCCCGAGACACTTTTGAAGGTCACTAGGTGTGTGTGTGTGACAGAGAAAGGGATGGCGGGAGCAGTGGGTTTCACTGTCTACTCAGAACCTGCAGACCTCAGACCTCCACATGGCACGCTTCGCTAATTCTGCCATGTGCCAGGAGCTGCGACCCTTTCTTCCCACCTCAGACTCGTGGCAAGGCACTGACGGCCTCATCCTGCAAAAGCAAATGAAAGGTCATCTGTGGAGAAGTGAGGAGCATGTCGCTTTCGTAACTCCATGTTCCTTTCTGTTGGCTAGTGCAACCTCAAGTCACTGAGTTTTTTTTCTTTTTTCTTTAAAGATGTCCGTCTCCCAGGACCAAGTCTGTGGATGTGGGGACGGAGCTGAAAGGCAGGTGCCTTGCTGCACTCAGGTGCACGACGCCTCCCACCCCCATGATGAAGGCTTTGTTCCCAGCGGCTTCAGCTGCCTGAGTCCTTCTTCGCTCGCACTGGGCTCCTTTACGTGAAGAGATCTCCGGTGGCCTCAACAGTAAGCCAGTCACACAGGTAGGTCCATGTTTAACGCTCAGCCGAGGCTGCAGTGGAGCCCATGTTAACATACGTGTTTATACTGCCTATGCGTGTGTGTGCACACACGGACACACACCAGTGTTACTCAATGATGGCTGCTCATTGAAATCACCAACCCGGTTTCCAAAATATATGAACACCTGGACCCCACCCGTGACCATGTGAAACACAGTCTCCAAGCAGTGGGTCTCACACACCTGTTGTTTTTAAACTCTCTGCAGACCATTCTGATGCACGGTGAAGACCAATAACCGTGGTGTGTACACATGGTCTAGGGTAGGGCTGTGCCCAGCAGTGTTTGAAAGCGCGCAGGTAATGCAGGGTGCATGCAGGGCTGCAACCGCAGGCCTGGGCTGCTGTTGAACTAGGTACCCACCGGACAGCTCAGGTCAGCTCTGGGGCACATGATGAAGCTAACCCGTGTAGGACATTTACCACATTCCTCCATAACAGAACACATTTTCATGGTTCTCACCTCAGGCTATGTCAAAATCCTTTGTAGAGCTCCAGCAAACCCTGAGTTTCTGATTGCAAAAGCCTGAGGCAAAGTTTGCAGATCTATTAACTTCTTAAAGTTCTACTGCCTTAATTCTACTTACATGTCACAGGATACACGTGCCACATTAATGCATCAGGTAAATCGTAATTAGTCAGCTGATTGGGGAGAAGTTCTTTCAATGTTGTGGGTATAGACATGACCTTCCACATAGAGTGGAGAATACTTTTAAGCCTAGTAGGTGGTGGTGAAAATGGTAAAGAAAAAAATAAAGTTCAGAGTGTTTTATGATGCTCCCATTACATTTTTAAAAATCATAATCTACCTCCCTTGTTATTCACTTTATTTACATTTTTAAAAAAGTGGTAAAAACATGCATAGGTGAATGTTACAGATCATACCACTACCACCCAACATACATTGTCCAAGTCTGTGATGATTTCTGTATTCACGAACGTCAAAATCAGTGCAGTGACACGTCAGCTGTCATTCTTGATCACACACACAAACCCAGATGTTGCATTGGAAGCGGCAAAATGTCTGATATGGAATCGAAATGGTATCTTTTAAAATTGCTCTTACAAAAGGAAGGAAATTCCAGAAGTCATCTTGAAAATTTTTATTTCTAAATATCAATGCTTAAAATCATTAGAAGAAACTCAGAGTATTTTAAGAAGAGTTAAATGGGAAAGTCATCCCCAAAGTGGCGGCCATTTTTTATGAGGACTCTGCAAGAGATGCTCAGAAATAGGTTCTTACATCATCAGTATGCTGCAAGCGACAGACTGCATTGCAATGGATCGGGGAAGGGATATAGAGAAGCACTGGCATGATTTCGACATAAAATATATTGTCGGGATAGTTTGTGGGCTCGCCTATGGAGAAGGTAGGAAAACCACCGTTTATCTTTATTATTTAGTATAGACACTTAGGCTTGCAATTAGCTATTATACATAAAAGTTCAGTATGGTTTCCCACAATTTAAAGATTGGAAAATTGAAGAGATGGCTGGGATTACATAAGTTATATGGGTAAAATGAGACTGCAATCTAGATGGTTTGAAGTTTTCCAACTTTTATTCTTTTTTTTTTTTTATGATGGAGCCTTGCTTTGTCCCCCAGGCTGGAGTGCAGTGGTGAGATCTCGGCTCACTACAACCTCTGTCTCCTGGGTTCAAGCAGTGCTCCTACCTCAAGTCTCCCAAGTAGCTGGGATTACAGGTGCCCGCCACCACGCCCAGCTAATTTTTGCATTTTTAGTAGAGACGGGGTTTCACCATGTTGGGCAGGCTGGTCTCGAACTCCTGACCTCAGGCAGTCTGCCCCCACCAGCCTCCCAAAGTGCTGGGATTATAGGCGCGAGCCATTGCACCTGGCCTATTCTTACATTTCTTTATTATGGCATCATTTTAGCATTTTAAAAAATGGCTAAATATTTGGGGAAGAATCAGGAGAAAATTTATCTTATTCATAGATTGTAGAGTATATATTAAATATATTCATTTTATATGTATTTGAAGTTATGAAATATCAGTGAAGAGGCCATTCTCAGGTTTGTGATGGAAGGTGCAGTGGGGAACCTTCTCCCTTGATGATCTTCATGGAGCCCAGATGGATCAGGCCACACTGTCCACCCTGGATTCTGTGAGCAGCTGATCTGGTCCTCTGGGGGCCAGGCTACAGTCTAGCCTCTCTCACCCTGATACCATGACTGCACTACTCTTGGAAGGAAGAAAGTGCTGTTCCTAGGTCAGCTGCTAAAGTTCCTAGGTCAGTCTACTAAAGTACTAAGTACTAAGGGCACCTAAATATCATTGGATGTCCCCAAACCAGGATTCTAATAGAGATCATTGTTATGCATAAGAAAATATGAAATTCCACCAGGTACAGTGGCTCATACCTGTAATCCCAGCATTTTGGGAGGCTGAGGTGGGTGGATCACCTGAGGTCAGGAGTTCGAGACCAGCCTGGCCAACATGGTGAAGCCCTGTCTCTACTAAAAATACAAAAATTAGATGGGTGTGGTGGCGGGCACCTATATTCCCAGCTACTCAGGAGGCTGAGGCAGGAGAATCACTTGAACCTTGGAGGCGGAGGTTGCAGTAAGCTGAGGTTGCACCACTGCACTCCAGCCTGGGTGACAAGAGCACAACTCTGTCTCAAAAAAAAAAAAATAAATAAATAAATAAAAAGAAAATATGGAATTCATGACAAAAATTTACTATATCTACTCAGAAATGTGTCATATAGGTATACGCCTCAAAATACAGCTATCATTTACAGTGCATTAAATGAGCAGTGAATGTCTTGGGAAAAGAGAGTTTGGAGAGATCCCAGAAGCAAGGAAAGATCAATTAGAAAGGAGCAAAAGAAGGGGTCCAGCTCCCTGTCCAATACATGTACTGGAGTAGCAATAGGCTGAGCTAAGTCAGGGCTTCAGAGTAGAATAAGTCTTTGCAATAAATACGGTGACTCTAGGCTGTGTATGTTACAGGGAAATTATTACTGAGTATGTTCTGTGTCCAGGAATTGGGCTGGGTGCTGGAAGGCAGTGGTAAGCAAACTCCTCATGGACTCTGAGGAATGCAGTTTCCTTCAGAGAAGACAAACATTAAACGAATAACCACAAATTAATTATGAATAGGCACAGGACTAAGAAGACATACTAGGCATTCGATTGCCAACAGAGGACTTCATTAAATCCAGAGGCCAGCAATGGTTTTTGGAACTGAAATGTGAAGAATAAATAGAAGTTAATTAGATCCAAAGAAGAGCAAAGAGCATTCTTGGTGGACGGAACCATGTGTGTGAAGGTCAATAAGTGGGAAGGGGACGCCACATGCAGGCAATGGGGTGCAGCCCAGCATGGCTGGAGGAGGAAACTCACGCATGGCAGACTCCAAGCCCTGGGATACAGTCACGTGAATTGCAAGCACCTTAAATTTAATGCCAATTTAAGTTTCCTTGAAGCTTGTCAGCTTGCTTCTGGGCTAAAGTGAGGTTCTGAAGAAAAGCATCTTTATTTCAACAAAGAGGAATGTCAGGATAATTGACAACATTATCTTAGTAGGCTGGGTCGAGGACATTTCAGATAGATCAAAGCACAAAGCAGCAATTTAAATTACTCGAATTTTCTTTATGTTGTTATTTGATCTATGCTTAAGGATTCTGAGGAATGTAGTTTCCTTCAGATCTCTTAAAAGACTGTGATGTTGATCACGATTATTCTGGTTACAAGGGACAGAAATCCCATTAAAAATTGCTATAACAAACCAGCCAACTAAAAAAGGAATATGTTGCCTCACATTATTTGAAAAGTCCCAGATACCCAAATCAAATGCTGTTGTACGGACCTCGTCTTTATGTCTCAGCTCTGGTTTTCAAGATGTGGACTTCCCTCTAGGACAGGTTCCCGACATGGTGGCGAGAAGTTTTTCACTTCCCCAAGCTCACCTTATGGCAGTTTAGCAGCCTGGTAGGAAAGGAAGCTCATTGTTTTCTCAATGGTTCAACTAACATCCTGTGGTCAACTCTCCCCTGAACACCTTGGGTCATGTGACCATCCTTAAACCAATCACCGAAGCCAGAGGTCTGGGATATGCCAATGGTCCAGACCAGGATTAACTAGAGCCTGGAGTTGGCATCAGCACCCCCAAAACCACATGGTCTGGAAGTGAAGAGGAACGATGTGGCTTGCTGAAGAAAATCAAGATGCTGTCATCAAAGGAAGTGATGGGATAGGGGAAACAAAAGAACAGATCTTCTCAATACAAATTGAATCTTTTTTTCAATCATTGAGATGTTAGTCTGTTTAGGGTGATTGGATTTAGTCCTGCTTTACCCACAGTTAATCATACTAGTTTGCTACTTAAAACTTAATGAAAAATCTAAAATGTTTCATAAATCATTGTATATGATTTTGTTTTATACAGAGTTATACATAAGGCAGATTTTACAGGGCAAAGCCAATATTGCCATGATATGAATGATTATGTAAAAAAGTCAGTATATTTAATTGGATGTCTGAAAGCATTAACAGACCTAGAACCTAGAGAATAAAGAAAAAAAAAATCTAAGATTTTTGTGGGTGTGAAGGAAGTGGTTGAGAAGCAAAGCCTAGAGTTTTACACGTCAGCAGAAATAAAACAGCTTTGTAAATTTTAAATAGAAGCCATTGCAAGAAAACTTAGACATTAAAACATGCATTCAGATGTTGATTGGGTTGGTGACATTATGTGAAATATGATTCAGCCCTAAAGTTTCTATGGAATTTGTTTATTCTGATAACATGAAATGTGAATGGCCAAGATTCTGAAACCTGAAAACTCCTCCAATATTAACATATCAGAAAAAAATTTAGAACTTAAAGTCTCATGTTTATGAGTGATCAGTTTGTCTGAATTCTTATTTTTCATGTTCTAAACAGTTATGCTGTCAGCTCAGAGAATGTGGCTCCTAAAATCAGATAGAGTCATGATCTCATTCTTACTAAATAAGAGTGTATTATGATACATGACATCAACACAATGAAGGACAAAACCACATGATCATCTCAATAGACACAGAATAAGGATTTGGTAAAATTCAACAACCTTTCAGGATGAAAATTCTTAAAAAATTAGGTATAGAAGAAACATATCTCAACACAATAAAGGCTGTATATGACAAAACCTCAGTTAACAACATACTAAACTGGAATAAGACAAGAATGCCCACTCTCGCCATACTTATTCAACATAATACTGGAAGTCCCAGCCAGAGCTATTAGGCAAGTAAAAGAAATAAAGTCATCTAAATTAGAATGGAGGAAGTCAAATTGTCCATTTCTGCAGACAACATGATTTTACATTTGGAAAAACCTAAACTCCACCGTAAAACTCTTAGAACTCATAAACAAATTCAGTAAAGTTGCAGGATACAAAATCAACATACCAAAAATTGGCAGTGTTTCTGTACACCAGTGATGAATTAGCTGAAAAGGAAATCAAGAAAGTAATCCCATTTACAATAGCTACCCACATAATAAAATACTTAGGAATAAATTTAACCAACGAGGTGAAAGATATCTACAAGGAAAACTATAAAATACTAATGAAAGAAATTGAAGAGGACACAAAAAATGGAAAGACAGCCCATGTTCGTCAACTGAAAGTATGAATATTGTTAAAATGACTATACCCAAAGCAATCTACAGATTGAATGAAATCCCTACCAATAATATTCTTCACAAGAAGAGAAAAAACAATCCTAATATTCATATGGAACCACAAAGAATACCTAAGAGCCAATGCAATTCTGAGCAAAAAGAACACAGCTGGAGACATCACACTACCAGATTTCAAAATATACTACAAAGCTGTAGTAACTACAACAGCACGGTGCTGGTATAAAAACAGACACATAGATCACCGGAATAAAATAGAGGATCCAGCAATAGGTTCAGGTATTTACAGCCAACTGATGTTTGACAAAAGTGTCAAGAACATATATTGGGGAAAGGACAGTCTCTTTAATAAATAATGTTGGAAAAACTGGATATCCACACACAGAAGAATGAAGCTAGACCCATATATCTCATTATATACAAAATATCAACTCAAAATGGATTAAATGCTAGAATGGCTGACCTGAAACTGTAAAACTGCTAGAAGAAAGCATAGAGGAAACATTGCATGACATTGGTTTAGGCAAAAATTTTATGGCTAAGACCTCCAAAGCACAGGCAATAAAAACAAAAATAGACAAATAGGACTATATTAAACTCAAAAGCTTCTGCACATCAAAGAAAGCAATCAACAGAGTGAAGAGACAACCTGCTGAATGGGAGAAAATATTTGTGAACTATTCATTTGATAAGGGACTAATATTCAAACTATACAAGGAGCTCAAACAACTCAACAGTTTAAAACAACACAAATAATGTCATAAAAAAGTGGACAAGGATATGTATGAATAGACATTTCTCTCTCTTTTCTTTTTTTTGACACAGGGTTTGTCTCTGTTGCCCAGGCTGCAGTGCAGTGGCATGATTTTGGCTCACTGCAACCTTCACTTCCTGGGCTCGTGACATTTATTTAAAGAAGACACACAATGGCCAATAAGTATATGAAAAAATCCACAACATCATTAATCATCAGGGAAATGCAAATCAAAACCACAATGAGATATCACCTCACTCTAGTTACAATGGCAATTTTCAAAAAGACAAAAAACAACAAATGCTGCTGAGGGTTAAAGGGGACTCTTATATACTGTTGGTGGGAATGTAAACTAGTTCAGCCACTACGAAGAATAATTTAAAGTTTCCTCAAACAGCTACAGGTTGACCTACCATATGATCTAGCAATCCCATTGCTGGGCATATATCCACAGGAAAGGAAATCAGTGTGTATATATATATATATATAATTTTTTTTTTGAGACGGAGTTTCACTTTTGTTGCCCAGGCTGGAGTGCGAGTGCAGTAGTGTGATCTCGACTCACTGCAACCTCTGCCTCCTAAGTTCAAGGGATTTTCCTATCACAGCTTCCTGCGTAGCTGGGATTACAGGCATGCACCACCATGCCCAGCTAAGTTTTGTAATTTTAGTAGAGACAGGGTTTCACCATGTTGGTCAGGCCAGTCTCAAATGCCTGACCTCAAGTGATCCACCCACCTCAGCCTCCCAAAGTGCTGGGATTCCAGGTATGAGCCACCACACTTGGCAGAAATCAGTATATTAAGAGATACCTGCATCCCCATGTTTATCGCAGCACTGTTCACAATAGTCCAGATATAGAATCAACCTGGGTGTTCATCAACAGATGAATGGGCAGAGAAAATATGGTGTGCATGTATACACACACACACACACACACACGGACAGACACACACCCAATGGAATACTATTCAGGCATAAAAAGAATGACATTCTGTCATTCACAGAAACATGGATGGAACTGGAGGTCATTATGCTGAATGAAACAAGCCAGAAACAGAAAGATAAACACTACATGTTGTCATATGTGGAAGCTAAAAAAGTTGATCTCATGAAGTAGAAAGTAGAATAGTAGTTATTGATAGGGAGAGATTGGTTAAAGGATACAAAGTTACAGCTAGATAGGAGGAATTAGTTCTAGTTTCTGTATCACTGTGGGCTGACTATAGTTAGCAAAAATTCATTGTATATTTTCAAATAGCTAGGAGAGGGGTTATCGAATGTTCCCAACACAAATAAATACTTAATGTTTGATGTGACAGATATGTTAATTACCCCGATCTGATCATTGTACATTGTATGTATTGAAACATCACTATGTACCCATACATATATATCATTATTGTGTGTCAATTTAAAAAATAAAAAGTATTTTTAAAAGAGTGTATCACTCTGCTTGGTTACAATACAATGTTCATTTATTTCAGGTATCTATCTTTGCCAAACAACTAAGAAGTTTATGACTTGAACACTGAATAAAGCAAGTCGAAAGTGTTGAAAATTTAGCAGATGGGCAAAAAATGTTTGTGAATAGTATTTTTTAAAATCATTTGCAAAACTACGGAAAAGTCAGTAGTTCATAATGACTCAATCTGTGAACATGCAGCGGAAAGTGACAAAATTAAAATGTAAATGTATATTCCATAAAGTTTAAATTGCAAAAAATATGATTGTTAGAAATATTACAGGATACTAATTAATAGCATTTGACTTACAAAGTTCTACCCTGCCAGCAAAACAGGTAGTAGATGCCAAAATGTACTCCACCACCTGCAACGATCATATCAAGGTTAGAAAGGTCAGGAATGTACCGTTATGGAATACCTGCTGAAGGTCAAGCACTGCTTACCTCAGTTATCACCAAGCCTATTACGCAGATGAGTAAATTGAGACTCAAGAAGATTAAGAAATTTGCCTAAGGCCATGTAGATATTTACAGGCCTGAGATATGAACCTAAGTCTACGTGGCTCCTTAGCCTACGTCCCTTTAATCACAGAAGAGCATTAAAGCACCACAATTTTGTTTATTTTTTGCAAGAAGGAAACTCATTTCTGTATGATGATTTACGTTACATATAAATTTACCACAGACATTGTTACTTCTTCCATAGATCTATACATGCTTTAAACTCATTTGCTATCTTTTTTTATGAGTGTGTGTGTCTGTGTCTGTCTTTAACAGCAGTAAAGTGTTCAGATTGACCCTTTATTTTTGACAATTCTGATCTAATTATAGAGGAGATATGACACGGCACATCCAATTACAATTGAGGCACTATTATTCTAGGATATTTTCAGGATATAATCTTGCTTTTTAATTAAGTCAGTATATTAGTGATGTTTTTGAAGTTTATTTTACCTTCAGGTATTATGGAAAATTCAATTAGAATATGAATCAAGTCTTTTGTATTTTGTACGTAATCTGGAATCTAATACTTCTGTATTTGGTAAATTATTTTTCGAACCGGTCTACCTGGAACGACACCACCTGTTAATTGATCTTTAAAAAGGAAGCCAAATCCAATCCTGAGAGCCACATTATATTTGTTCCCTCTAGCAGCCTCCCTGACTGGTCCAGTCTTCATACTTTGCTTTGCCCTCAAGCCATTTCCATTTTGCAGAATTCAATTTCTGACTTAAGCTGGTGTTTTAGAGGAATGAGGTCACTCAAATCTCATTTGCCAGATCTCTCCACCAAAGGACAATAACCAAGGACTGAGTGGAAAATCTCGCACAAAGCCAGATTCGAATTTGTGCTAATGAGACAGCAGTGTTGCTTACAGCGATGCTATCTCTCAAAGGCAGCACAGTTCCCAAAAGCACCCTGGTCGCTTCTAGCTCTCCTGGGCAGGCCCAGAGAATGCAAGTCTGGAGGTGACCTCGTTTCCAGGAGCTTTGTTTTCTTCCCCACGCGAGTGGCCAGCACAGGCTCTGAAGACGAAGGTACAGCATTAGGAAAAAGTGCCGTCTCTGGCTACAGCTATGCTAAATGCAACCCATTGTTTCACATCATCCAGTTTTATTAAAATCGTGGTATACTGTAGAAGTATTTTAGTAGACAGAAAAACAATAGATTTGGAGCCCTCAATATGAGTTCACATTTACTTGCTATATGGTTTTGGTTTAAGTCACGCAAGTTCTCTGTGCTTCACTTTCTTCCTTGTTAAAAATTGGAGAAAGACACAGTATCTAACAAACCTAGCTCAGACATGAGGAAGCACGACATAAACATATAAAGACTTATAAATGCACATTATTGTATGTTTGATGTTAAACTAGAAAAAACAAAACTTCAACCTTTGACATGGACAAAAGCTATCATAGCAACACCAAAGGTAATATGAATGGTGTGATATGATCAACCAAATTTACCTTCATATGGTGTTTTGATCAGAAAGGAGTTCTCAACAGGTATTTTTTGTACACATCTGAACAAGTCTAACTCCCATGAAATTATGCTTTTCATGGAAAGTTTGACCGTATTAATCTTGGCAGGGTTTGGGTAGTGTTTTTGGGACTCTGAAAGGACTCTTTCATTTTAATTCCCATGAAAGGCTTTATTTTTACATACTGTATTAGGAAAATCCGAAAAGAAGAAGAAAGCTCCATCGTCCTTCTGATAGTGTTTCGTGGAAATACAACAGCCCAGTCGGAAGTGCATGTTCCGGTGTCATCTTCACAACCACTGTCATCTGTGCGTAAAACGAGCCCTTCAACCTTCAGTCATTAATTAATTGTTCATTTCACACTTAGTCCTTTCATAAATTCATGTTTGCACAGTACATTCATACGTTGACATTTTCACCTCAAGGCAGTTTTTATGCAAAGAGAATTATCTCACTCAGCGATTGATCCCACAGTGAGACAAATTCCCCCAGCTATCTTCTTCTAAAACTCCTAACTTTTATAAAGCACAGTGACTCTTTCAGGCCACTGCAGTGGTGGCCCAGTCGAAATGCTATGCTAGCTTTCTGGAAGAGTTAATTGACTTCAAGGCTAGGTAACGTGCCCTAGAGAAGATAAACAACTGGGAAAAAGCATCTCGAAGCAGGCGATTGCTCCGCACTTACTTACCCCAAGATTTCGGGGGACAGTGGGGACTTATATTCTTAATACTGGATTTGAAATGTGGAATGTTGAAGGATTGAGAAGTACTAAGGGCTGAGACCCAGCACCTTCTGTGTATGATGAGCACATAAGTCATCCTTCTTTGGTGAAAACAGCCTCCAAGTTGTTTTGCCAAACCAAGCCTCTCTAACAGTAGGAGATTGTCAAGGCTTCAATTAGTAAATCCCTAAGCACCAAAGTTAATGATGTGAGCAGTGAAAAGCGGTGGGAAACTCATTCCCAGGGAAGGGAAGAGTCCGATCAGCCGTCATCGCCGCCGGGCACAAAGAAGGGCTGGAGTCCACCACCAAAAGAGGTGTTTGCATTGCCACCAAAAAAGGAAGCAAAACTATTTAATCATTATTCTTGTTAGGTAAGATTCAGTAACATTTTTCCAAGCAATAAAATACTACAGAGAACACTTGGATGCTGACTGCTCTTAAGACAGTAGCTCAAGTCTTAGGCACAATCAGGGAAAATATGAACATATAGTTAAGGAATTAACGAAAAGAGAAGGATAAAAAATAATTTTTCTTTGATAAGCAAAGTTGGGAATCTCTGACTAATATAATGATAAAGGCTGTACCATTTAATAATTGAGAATAATGTCAGTGCTTACAGAAAGAGGGAGGTCAATTTGTATAAAAAATAGTACACTACCGAAATACTACAAAACTAAGCATGAATAGGAAAAGTAATGATGGAAGCCCACATATGTCAAAAGTTAGGTTAAAGCTTCAGGCCCTGGAGACTTCCAAGCCGGGTTCTTTAATGAGTGAATGAAGTTAATAAACATGTAGATACCATCTGAAGGAAGTTATGAAAGCCTACAGACTCTGGGTATTTTATCCTTAAATTACAAATGAGGAAAGAGTTCCTGATGGAGGACTCTGGATATCCAGCTAAACCTCCCTCCCTTTACTCCAGAGCAACCACCCTTGTTGCTGGGCCCATGGCTGCCCAGTCAGATACCACATTTCCAAGTCATCCTTGCAGAACCGATGCAACGGTTCTCACCAATGACATGAGAATAAAGTGATGTTTGCCACTCCCGGTCCTGGCCTTCAAGTATCGGGCAAGCACCCTTCCATACTTTCTGTCTGTCTCTCTCTAAAATGCTGAGGTCCTATTGGACCCTGGGGAAAACACCCCAGGGAATGGAGGAAAAGAAGATGGAAGGAGCTGGTTCCCTGGAATGCCCCCATGGAGAGGGCCACACCGTCAATTCAGACCCCTCACCGCAGTGCGCTTACGTGACAGTGAAAGAAACGTTGGTTTTTAAATAGCATGAACATGGTTTCAATTTGTTTTACGTCTGTTGTCTTGGCATCATTTTAAATGGCATTCCCTTTCGCTGTCCAAGTGAATTACACGTCACCCTATTTTAACTCGGGGTATCATGGTACCTCTTTATATCGGCAGCTTAGTTTCCCTGCAACTGATAGAGCCAGAACCACCACCTGCAACTCGGATGCTGACACAACAGGACCTAGAACCTGTCCACTGAGTAAGCGGCCAGGAGGCAGCAGAGGAAGGCATGTTTATTTCAGGGTAGGGAACCAGTGAGCCTTGTTATGCGCGGGGAAATGTTTGCAAGACTGTCCCCTGTGAGTGAAACGTTTGGAAGACTGTGCCCTGTGAGTGAAACGTTTGGAAGACTGTGCCCTGTGAGTGAAACGTTTGGAATACTGTCCCCTGTGAGTGAAACGTTTGGAATACTGTCCCCTGTGAGTGAAACGTTTGGAATACTGTCCCCTGTGAGTGAAACGTTTGGAATACTGTCCCCTGTGAGTGAAACGTTTGCAAGACTGTGCCCTGTGAGTGAAACGTTTGCAAGACTGTGCCCTGTGAGTGAAACGTTTGCAAGACTGTGCCCTGTGAGTGAAACGTTTGGAAGACTGTGCCCTGTGAGTGAAACGTTTGGAAGACTGTGCCCTGTGAGTGAAACGTTTGCAAGACTGTGCCCTGTGAGTGAAACGTTTGCAAGACTGTGCCCTGTGAGTGAAACGTTTGGAAGACTGTGCCCTGTGAGTGAAACGTTTGGAATACTGTCCCCTGTGAGTGAAACGTTTGGAAGACTGTGCCCTGTGAGTGAAACGTTTGGAAGACTGTGCCCTGTGAGTGAAATGTTTGCAAGACTGTGCCCTGTGAGTGAAACGTTTGGAAGACTGTCCCCTGTGAGTGAAATGTTTGGAAGACTGTGCCCTGTGAGTGAAATGTTTGGAAGACTGTGCCCTGTGAGTGAAATGTTTGGAAGACTGTGCCCTGTGATAACCTGAGAGGCAGACAACGTGTACCGACCAAACCCGGAGCCGTGGTGCCAGAGTGTGGATCTGTGTTGCTCGACCTCGCTGCGTTAGGGAGGTTTTACAAGATAAATAAACACAGGCAAGAACTAGCTCCTTCTAAAGCAGAGATGGAAGAAAGCAGATGGGGCTGGGGCTAGAAATCCCTCCTGCTTCTGTGCTCTCAATGGCAGTAGATACATAACTTGGTTTTCAGAGCCTTTCTTAAAGGCCTACTGTTAAGCCAAAGCCAAAAAGATCCGATTAGGGGTGTTACCTCTACCTATAAGCTCACTGTTTCCCATGGCCTCAGAACTGGTGCCTTTACAATAAAGAGAGGGATGGATCCCAAAAGCCAGGCCATCAGGCAGGCCTGAGAACTATGTGCAGGCTGGAGTTCTGTGCGCGGTTTCTGGAACCTGGGACTCAGTGAAAGAAAATAAACACACGAAGAAGCCCACAAAATTTTTAAAAACCACAAACCTGGTTTACAAATGCTTGTGACTACTTGAAACCTAAGCAAGCAATTAGCCCCACTCCACTTTGGATATGGGTGTGGACACAATGCATAGAGAAGACCCTTTCCAAAAGGTGAAGCCAGCTGTCATAGCTAGATTCATGGGAGATGGTGATCAAGGGTGACTCCGGGAGGCGCAGAGCCAGCCGCAGTGGGGGGAAGTGTCCAAGGACACGCTCAGGGGCAGGGTGGGGCGTGAGCAACTCCTGCCCAGCTGGGGACCATCAGAGATCCGCCCTTTGCTCCTCCCTTTGCTCTTCCCTTGTCCCAACCAGGTCTTCCCTGCAGATGTGCTGTTCCAGCTCCACCACTGTGGTTGTGAGTGGGAGGGACATAGACAACTGGCCCTTTAGCTGGAGGCCACTGGGCAGTGAGCCGCTACCTCTGGACCAGACCAAAAAGACCCTCCAGGCCAGGCGTGGTGGCTCACTCCTGTAATCCCAGCACTCTGGGAAGCCGAGGTGGGTGGATCACCTGAGGTCAGGAGTTCAAGACCAGTCTGGCCAACATGGCAAAACCCTGTCTCTACTAAAAATACAAAAAATTAGCCAGGTGTGGACACCTATAATCCCAGCTACTTGGGAGGCTGAAGCAGGAGAATCACTTGAACCCGGGAGGCAGAAGTTGCAGTGAGCCGAGATCATACCATTGCACTGCAGCCTGGGAGACAGAGCGAGACTCTGTCTCAAAAAGAAAAAAAAATCCTCCAATACCGATACTGCAGCAACCTAGACCTTGGGCTGGGGGAAATGCAGAGGGGACTCTGGGGGCTCCCCGTGGAGGGCGGCACATGTGCCTCGTGTGTCTGTGCGTGGGATAAGAGCACACACAGATATCGGGTGACACTGGAGGGGTCTGAGCTGGACACGGCTAGTTACCAGATTGGCTTCACACTACGCAAACACTGTGCTGATCCTTGACTTGCGGCTGGGCTTCCAGGATGATGTTTCTGAACTTTCCATGGAGAGAGTGGTGGCCTTGTGACTGAGTTCCAGCCACTGGAGTTTGAGTGGAAGTGACATCTGCCACTCTGAACCAGGGCCTTAAAACACTGAGCATGCACTTCTCGACCCTCTCCCTTCACCCGAGCTGGTAGACGCAGGTGCCTCTGACCCGGTTCCCATCATGCAGAAGACGATGTCCTAACCAGATGGGAGGAACGTGTTCTTTGCCAGCCTGCACTTCCCACCACCTAGGGATGGCTTTCTGAGAAAGAGAAATACACATAAAGGTTTTTATGCCACTATTTGGGGGATTTCTTTGTCACCATACTAAGTCTTCACCCTGATGGTAACCAATTATAGCTATTTGTAAATTCAGTTCATCCATCTGTCGGGTAAAGCAATGTGTGGTGACACCTGCATGGTGTCAGACACCACAATAGATTCCTAGGCCCATGTGCTGGGCTACCAGCCAGTCACTGCCACTCTGCGCTCAGGCATGGTGCTGTGCCCACGGCCTCTTGGCAAGCCTGCAGGCTTCTGGCCATGCCACCGCCTGCAGAATCCCAGAGTGTACACAGTGGGACTGGAACCCAGAACTCGCTGACTCTCGAACTGTTTATCTTTCCATTTATAGATGTTCAATTTGGTAACAGATTTGCAAACGCACTAAAATTTTTCAGGAATGTAGGTTTTGCGTGTGTGTGTTTTTAACATATCAGCCATGTTTATTTTGCCTTTTCTATTAGACGTTAAAATTATGTTGCCAATATTTTGATAACTTGATTTTTTAATACAAATAAATAAAAGCATATGCCCCATGCCAATTTAACTTCATTTGCTTAGGCTCTGGGAATTTTCCATATACTTCAAGTTATAATTTTGGATTTTGAATAAAGCAACATTTTAAACTCTAAGAGTTCATGACTGTAGTAAATACTGGGTACAATATATTTTTCCATGTCTTATAATATATTGAACTTTGTAAAGAAATTGCCATTAAAACTTTTAAAGAAAAATATACTTTGGAAGGAATGTTCTTTGGTTTATCTTGGTAAATTCTCCCTAGTTATCTAAAATCGTATTATGGAATGTTTACTTGTTTGTGGAGGAAACACTGAAGGAGAGTGTTCCCCATCAGGTAAAATAATACATGATGTCCAGATGGTTCCTACCTGTACTAATATGAAACAGGAAAAATGCGGGAAAAGAACAATTTCCTCATATTAAGGTATGAAGGTATGTTCTGGAGGCTTCATTCACTTTTTTTTTTTCTTTTTTGAGATGAAGTCTCGCTCTGTCACTCAGGCTGGAGTGCAATGGCGTGATCTTGGCTCACTGCAACCTCTGCTTCCTGGGTTCAGGCAATTCTTCTGCCTCAGCCTCCCTAGTAGCTGGGATTACAGGTGCCTACCACCACACCTGGCTAATTTTTGTATTTTTGGTAGAGACAGGGTTTCACCATTTTGGCCAGGCTGGTCTCAAACTCCTGACCTCAGGTGATCTACCTGCCTTGGCCTCACAAAGTGCTGGGATTACAGGTGAGAACCATTGCGCCCAGCCTTATTTTACTTTTTAGGGTCACATATGTCTTGTAAATAATGTTAAGTAACCTACTCAAGAAATCAGACGTCACTTCTTTGAAATTCTCATAATCGCAATGAAGTTGGGACCCTCTCACCACCCCAGATTTCTATTTTGTCTAAATCTTACTGCAGCGTTGTCTCCAGCCTGGTTCCTGACACCTTCAGGATCTGCTTCCCAGGTGGTCATGCATCTCCAGGCAGCAGCTAAGGCCATAAGAATGAAAGAGAGAAAGATGGAAGCAGACAGTGGAATTCCACAAAAGGATGAGGAACACATAAATCATAGAGCAGGCATCCATTTATGTGAGGATGGACGGCAATTGGATTAATGTTCAGAAACGGTGACACAAGCACAAACTGAGACACTATGATGGCCCAACCAGAGGTTTCTAACATACGCCCTGCCAAAGCAGTTGTGCCAACCTAGGATACAGAAAGCTGTGGGGCTGCTATGAAAGAAAGAAGCTTGCACCTGCTGGGAGCAAGTGGGGATGCAACACATTGTGTGCCGAACTTTATGTGTCAACTTGACTGCACTAAGGGAGGCCCAGATAGCTGGTGAAACATTTTTCTGTGTGGGGGAGGGTGCTTCTGGAAGAGATTAGCATTTGAATTAGTGGCTGAGTAAAGAAGATCACCTTCTCCAATGGGGGCGGACATCAGTCATTCCATTGAGGGCTGGAATGGAATAAAAAAGCAGAGGAGAGGACAATTCGGTCTCTTCCGGAGCTGGGACAGCCATCTTCTCCACCTCCCTTACATTGGAGCTCCTGGTTCTTGAGCCTTCGGACTCCAGGACTTACACCACCAGCCACGCTGGTGCTTAGGCCTTTGGCCTCGACCTGGGAGCAAGACCATCCGCTCTCCTGGTTCTCAGGCCTTCAAGCTCAAACTCAAGTACATCACTGGCTTCCCTGGTTCTCCAGCTTGCAGAGGGCAGATCATGGGACTTCTAGGTCTCCATAATTGCGCAAGCCAACTTCCATAATATATATCTACACACACACACACCCTATTGGTTCTGGAGAACTCTCACTAATACATATATGAAGATATGCCCTATTTTAATTGGAGTCCCCTGAACCAGACCCTGAGGCAAGTGGTTTATTTACTGTATAAATGTTAGGGGTATAAGTGCAATTTTGTTACATGGATATATTGCATAGTGGTGTAGTCTGAGCTTTTAGTGTATCCATCACTCAAATAATATACATTGTACCCATTAAGTAATTTGTTATCATCCACCCTGACTGTCTTCCAGGTCTCCAATATCTATCATTCCATACTTTGTCTCATTTGCTCATTATCTAGCTCCCACTTATAAGTGAGAATATGTGATATTTTTCTTTCTGTTACTGAGTCGTTTCACTCAGGATAATGGCCTCCAGTTCCATCCATGTTGCTGTCAAAGGTATTATTTCATTTTTCATGGCTGAATAGTATTCCATTATGTATGTATACACATATTACACTTTCTTTATCCAATCATCTTTTGATGGACACTGAGGTTAGTTCCATATCTTTGCTATTGTGAATAGTGTTGTGATAAACATATGAGTGCAGGTATCTTTTTGGTATAATGATTTCTTTTCTTTTGGGTAGATACCCAATAGGGGGATTCCTGGATCCAGTGGTATTTCTATTTTTATTTCTTTGAGAAATCTCCATGCTGGTCTCCACAGAGGTTGTGCTAATTTACATCTCCACCAGCAGTGTATATAAGCTTTCCCTTTCCTCCATAGCCGTTCCAACATCTGTTATCTTTTGACACTTTAATAATCGCCATTCTGACTGGTGTAAGATGGTATATCATTGCGGTTTTAATTTTCAGTTTTCTGATGATTAGTGATGTTGAGCATTTTTTTTTTCATATACTTGGTCATTTTTGTGTTTTCCTTTGAAAAATGTCTGTTCATGACCTTTGCTCACTTTTTGATGGGATTATTGTTTTTTGGTTGAGTGGTTTGAGTTCCTGAGACAAGTAGTTTAAATGCAAATTATTTACATGTTGAATCCAGGAAGCAGCCTAGGAAGATGGGGAAGAGCAGGAAGCCAATCAAATGTGTGGTGTTAAGTGCTCACCACTGTGGGCAGCAGAGGCTCAGTCCAACTAGGGAGCTTTGGGAGACAGTAAACGAGGTAGTTTAGTGCATAGGTCTGAACTGCTTTGATGTTGAAGAAAGGGTGAGACAATGCATTTCAGAGTAATGCCAGGAGAATATGGATCAAAACTGGAATATGAAGAGAATGTTTGAGGTTCACAACAGATTCAGATTTGAATGACGTTTAGTGAGTGCCAGGTCTTCCATTACCTTTCCCACAGGTTTCTTGTTTAACTCTCACAATAATAAAGTGGGGACGGTGATCCTCGTTTTCACATATAAAGAAAATGACATTCAGAGGACACGAGTGCCTTATGGAGCACCACAGAGCGAATACAAAGGGAATCCTGGGTCATATTCAGGTTTCTGAACTCAAAATATAGTGATGGCCAATAGAGAATATTAGAAAAAACAGGAGCTTTTAGTCTATTTCTGTGTGTGCTCTATTGCTGTCCATGGCAGTACCTGAATCTTAACAACCAGTAATGGCGTGGCTGACAAAGCAAGACAGTCACTGTGGAGCACATGCGGCTGCCTGCACACCAGCCCTGCCTTTGAACTTTGGACAAGCTCCTTGGCCTCTCTGGTCTTCAATTTCTTCATGGCAAAATTGATACATAAAATCTACTTTAGCAGGTAAAAACTTTGTCCGTTGTCAAGGCTAAACAAACTCAGTTCTGTTCCATTTGTTCCAAGACCCATATTTGATGCCCTAACACCTTGGCATATTCTCAAATCAGCTGTTTCCTGCTGTACATACCAATGTCAACAATGAATCGAGCACTTCAAAGAAATCAACTACTTTTACAGACCAAAAGCTTAGAGGCACGGGCTGGTATAGAGAGAAACAACTTCCACAGCATACTCACTAAACATAAATGCAAGAATTAACATTTCCCTTAGGCCAAGTTTTTCCTTCAAGTGAAATGGTAATTACAGAATTGTGATTCTCTTACTGTTCTTGTTATTTATATTAATTAATCCACTCATCAAATAATTATTAAAGCAACTATTCTGTGCCAGACACTAAACCAGTCCTGGGACAGAGGGGTGAACAAAGCACAGAGATGTGCAGTCTAGTTGGGGAATCAGATGTTAACCAGAAGTGCAGCAAGAAATATTCTCATTTGTGGTTCCAACTGAAAATAATGGCTATGAAAGAGAACTAATATTGCATCATAAAGATATTGAGGAAACCACTTCTAAACAAAATCTTTTAAAATATTAACTGCCCCTGAAAAGAAATTACAGATAGAAATTCTCAGCCTGTGCTGAAGGATGGGTCTCAAGGACTCTTTCAGGAAAAAAAAAAATAAGAGTTTAAAACTCAACAGTATGACCTGCAACTGATTCATTTAGATTGAATTCAATTCAGTTCAACTTAGCTCAGTTAGACTCAATTAAACTTAGCAAACCTTCTTGGAATATTGTATTAGTGTGGGGAAAAGCAGTTCTCACTGTGGTGCCCTAAACCCTCACTTTCCTCTCCAAAGCCCTGATAAGCTTTAGCCCTGACTTCATTCTACCCGACGAGAGCTTAGAGAATGACACAAGTGCTGTGCTTTAGTACACCAGCAGGAATAAATTGCTAAGGTTTTTGTTTTTTTAAAAAAATGAATCAAGGAAGCAATTGACCTGTCCAGTTGAAAGCAATCCATGAAGAATTATGTTCTAGTTTTTTCTACAATAGACAGCAACAATTGCAATCTCTGTGCTGATTATTTCACTTAAATTTGAGTAAATGACTTGAATTTTGTGTGTTTCTTATTTTTAAAAAAATGTCTACGGTTCCTTTTGTTTGCTTTCAGCCCAGCTTCACCTTACAGTTAGTTTGGGGGCCCAAATGACTTTCCTTTAAGTGCAATGGTAATTATATAATTATCATGAGCTTATTTTTCTTAATTCATTCTTCAAATATTTATTAATACATTTATGTCTTACTTAAATGTATTCTGGGGTTCTTAATTCCAACTCTACAGTTTATTGTCTTACCCTTCTTTCCAGAGAAAAATTTTCACTTTTGCCTACTAATGTTCACAGTTTGTCTACTATTAGTGCTGGAAATGCCTTAGACAATTAGATGTGAATTTTCAAAGAAACTAAAATTAAAATTAGTCAGTACTAATTGAAACTTTTATGCAAATGGAAACATTTTCTGCTTGTAAAGCTTTGGTGAAAATGAAGCAAAATAAATTCTACCACTGAGGACTTCAATCACTTTAACAAGTATGATTCCCACAGCTTGGCAAGGATCAGTGACTGACAGACATGAGTTTCGTTCTGTTCCATTCAAACCAGCGTCCACAGCATGTCTGTTTTTATTTTCTGCATGATTGAGAACAAGACTGCTTACATAACACGTTTCAAGTAAAATTTAATGATGACTCAGTGGCTACTTCTTTAGTTTTGCTTTTGATCATCTTCTGAGTAGGGTAAGATTTTGACTGATGAGAATGGGAGCTGTTTATTTTGTTTGAAATTAGCTGAATAAATCTTTTTTTATTTCCATCATGTTAATTTCAATGTATTAAGCACTAATATAGTTCATAACATTACAGGAAAACAAGAGACATCTACAAAGTTCACTTAGTGTTTTCCAGTGACTTGGAGATGGCCGTGATATTAACTGGCAAAAATTTTAGATTTGTGGCACAAGCCAAATCAGACAAACACAAAATTGAAATGACATTAAAAACATTTTAGCCCAATAACTTAGTTTTATAGATCAGGAATATCTAGAAAGCTTTAAGACGAAGAATGTCATTTCCAACCTATTTGACTGACCCAAATCTAGTAAATCCACTAAGGAGGCCTTAGGAGAGGGACCATTATTCCAGAAAATACTGGCTTCTAACACACATCCAAGAGTGGTATTAATCCTGGACCATTGTGTTAATTCTCTCCTTGGGATTCCATGGATTGTCGGAGAATCGCAGACTCTTATAGGGGCATGCTTAGAATTACATAAGTTTTTTTTTTAATTTCCACTCAGATTTGATGCTGAGAAAGAAAAGTGTCCTTCCTGTTGACAATATATAGACTCTTTTTCTAACCTATTCTTTTATTAAGGTTATAGCATTTCAAGACCCTTAGATTTATGAGGAAATCTCAGTCCCAAATCCCTATCATAAGTTGACCTGAGGCCCTGCCTCTTATCCCTCACACATTAAACCCAAAACACAAACTTGCTGGTGTCAGCTAGCAATTCCGGGGCTTCCCTGCATTAGCCCTTGCTTTATCACCTAAAATGAGGTCCTTCAATTAAATGTTCAACTAAGTATTTAAATATTTATTGCATTTTTTTCTGGTATTTTAAAGTTTCTTCTCAGAGGTGTTTTCCGGAATACCTAATCCATAATATTTTGGGAAGTATAATTTCAATATGTTTTTATTGTATTTATCATGGGTCACAGTACTGTCTATTGACTTATATCTATCCTTTCCAAATATTCACAACATTATCTGTCTAGCCCTTTAAGGAAGTTGACTTTGGGGCCTCTGCTTTCATTGGGAGGGTGAGTAATACATTTATGTCTTATTTAAATGTACTCTGGGGTTCTTAGTTCCAACTCTACAGTTTCTTATTTTCTTACCCTTCTTTCCAGAGAAAAATATTTCACCTTTCCTTTCAGGAAGAAACAAATTCCATACCGCTTGCAAAAGAGTAGGAGATGAAGGATTAGAGACTGTTTTTTCTAAACTTCAAGAAGCATATTGATTGGAAGGAAGAAATACTGTAGAGGTCAAGGCTTAGAGATGTAGTTCATTAATGTATTTCTCCCATAACTGTTTATTGAGTTTTGACAAGGTGATAAGCAATATATCAGATATACACGGAAAAATCCTGTGAGACCATTCTTTGACGGCTAATTGTCCACACTTGTGATCTTAAGAACACTGGACTGGCGATCTTGAGGAACCTTGCCCAAGCTCCTCCCTCACTGCCTCAGTGACTTAAAAAGTAAGCCTTTGTTAAGCACGTGCTAAGTCAAGAACTTGAAATTCTGATTAAAATATTTTCTGTTTGATAGGCTAGGTGTGTTAGGAAGAGGAACAGAAGAGACCGGCACCTCAGGAAGCACATTCACTAACAGGCCCAGTGACATCTCAGTGACATCTTCTGCATGCCTTCCACCAATCAGCTTCCTCTTAATGTTGCAGAAGACTATTCCATGACCTAGAATTCTCAATGGCATGATATATTAAAGTTTAAACAATGATGTTACACATCGTGTAAACTATAATCTCAGTGAACACACAGAAAGGAAATATATCTAAATATTAATAATAGTTGGTTCCGACTGGTGGGATTGTAAGTGATTTTTATTATATTTGTCTTTTTATTTTGTATTTTCCTAAGTTTCCACCATGAACTTTTTTTTTTTGTCACAATGACCTCTTGCCTGGCATGGCTGTTTTTATTATTTCCCTGGAAGCCCAGGTGATCCTTTTAAAATGGAAGTCAGATCATGTCATTCCTCTGCTTAAAAATTCTCCAATGGCCCCTC
Organism: Homo sapiens; assembly: GCF_000001405.40. NCBI lineage: Eukaryota > Metazoa > Chordata > Mammalia > Primates > Hominidae > Homo > Homo sapiens. Next base: position 185,989,784 of record NC_000004.12, on the reverse strand, counting down.
ATTTCACTCAGGATGAACGCCATGTCTTTATCTGGCTGTGACAGATTGGACATTTGCATACATCCTTATTTTCCCTTCTAAGCATATGGCCTCAAAGCGTAGACCACCAGCATGAGCATCACCTGTAGACTTGATAGAGATGCAAATTCCAAGGGCTCATCAAGGTGTACTGAACCCCAACAATGTGTCGACAAACCTTTTTGACTAGAGGTGATGGAGTCTGAGAATGTCTAATCTATGCTATTCCTCTGTATTGCTGGACCAGGAACCTGGGAACTACATTCCCCAGAATGACCATAAGCAAGGTTCTGGTTTTGATCTGGAAGGCAGAAGGAGATCAAAAGGCATTACATTTTCCTGGCTGCTAAGATGAATTGAGGTGTTTCCGGTGGCCTCAGGGCATTTTCTTGTGAAAGCGGCTGTGACTATTGGTGGTGGGTTCCTGTAGCTCCTAGCAAGGATGTCAGAGGCGATTTCATAAATCTCTAATGAACAGCAAACCTACAAGTGTTCCAGCACAGAAAATGGTTTTGAACATGCCCATTTTGCTGTAACAAGTCATTTTCCATTTTATTTATTTATTTGTTTTATTTATTTATTTATTTAGAGATGGACTTTCGCTCTTGTCACCCAGGCTGGAGTGCAATGGCATGATCTCGGCTCACTGCAACCTCTACCTCCCGGGTTCAAGTGATTCTCCTGCCTCAGCCTCCCCAGTAGCTGGGATTACAGGTGCCCACCACCACGCCCAGCTAATTTTTGTATTTTTAGTAAAGACGGGGTTTCACCATGTAGGCCAGGCTGGACTCGAGCTCCTGACCTCAAGTGATCCACCCGGCTCGGCCGCCCAAAGTGCTGGGATTACAGGCGTGAGCCACCGCGCCGGCCATTTTCCATTTTAAATAGTTCCTGTTCTTTCACAAATACTGACCTATGCAAGTGCTCTTGGTATGTTCTGTGCATTGCATTACATTTTACCATCACTTAACACCTGGCAGCTAATGTCAGTAGAAACTCCCAGTCATTCTGACAAACAAGGAAATCTCCCTACATTTTTAGACACCTCCTCCGGTTGCAGGACTGTTTCCAATCAGGTTCCTCTGCCCAGGCCTGTGGTAGTGTCACTGCCTAAAATAGTGAGTGGTCCTTAGTCAATACTTACTATGTGTTGAGTGAAATAATAAATAACAATCTGATAAAGGTTATTTTTGAAAAGCATATCAAGGGTGGAAGCTTATCTAAATCACATCCCACATTTGGAAAATCCAGCATGGTATGTTTTGCTCAGTCCCACAGGACCATCTCCTCACTTACAGCCTTCTAAAAATTCTTCAGGCAGTTACAATTTTCTGAGTCATGGGGAAAGCTTGTGAACTCCCTGTTCAACTACAGATAATCTGGAAATTATCCGGAAACATCACATGGCCCAAGGATACGGAGCTTACTTTTACCTGGGTCTCTTTCTCGGGACTCGGTAATTAACAGGATCAAGTGACATCAGTGAGGACAGGGTCCCCTAATCTGACAAGTGTTGACCCACCCATAAAACATGTTTTTTTCAAAAGTGCTGTTTGGTGTGCTGTGACTGGAACCTTGTGACGTGGGTCTATAGTATGTCTCACCCTGTCTCCTATGGGATTGCAAAAGCATGATTCTCAGGCCAAAAACTCAGCTGTATGAAAAATATTTCTCGATTTCCTTTATATGAACTTAATCCTGGATTTCAGCTCCCATTCCACTGTATTGGTGAGGAATGATTTTTCCAATGCTATTGGGATCCTTTCCAAGAATGCTCCAACATGTGCTGTTTTCATGACCCCTAGGAAATGAAATGAGGATCGATGTTACCGTGGTCACCACTGACCTTTTAAAAACCCCCTTAGATTTCTGCTTCCAAATCGCCAATAGAGCAGGGAATCTTCCTGAAACTGGGAATTTTGTTGTTGTTGTTCTTGTTGTGAGGGGTCTTGTTCTGTCACTCGGGCTGGAGTGCAGTACTGCAGTCATGATTCTTACTATAGCCGCAAACTTCTGGGCTCAAACAATCTTCCCACCTTGGCCTTCTGAGTAGCTAGGACTACATGTGTGCACCACCATGCCTAATTTTTTTTTAAATTCATGTATAGACAGGGTCTCACTATGTTGCCCAGGATGGTCTGGAACTCCTGGACTCAAGTAATTCTCCCGCCTTGGCCTCCCCAAGTGCTAGGAGTACAGGTGTGAGCCACCACGCCCAGCCTGAAGCTGGGAATCGGGAAGCTTTGAGTTTTACCCCTCACAGCCATCTGCTTAGATGTCTGATCTCTGCCCTCCCTCCACAGAGGGCTTTCACTGAGCAGTGTTCTCCCGCTCTTATGGGATATACCATTTTCCATACCTGTCTAAATCTAAGGAAATAGACCCTTCCCAAACTGGGTGATTGTGTTTTTTTTCTGATTAAAAATAGATCATATTCATTATAAAATATATTTTGTAAAAAAAAAATCAGACCTTTATAAATTTAAAATAGAGGCTATGAACTCAAATGCTTTTAGGGGCTACAGAGGTCAAATGTTAGGAAAATAGTGGAATTTAACACTAATGGGAGTAAAGTAATAATGGAGTTGCTTGTATAAGACAAACCCTCATGCTAATAACAATGATACAAAACACAATACAACCCAAAGAAGGCAGAAACTGTTCAGCAGAAGGTGCTTGAACGGAGCAAAGGACACTGAGTGACTTCTACATGTACCCAACTTTTCCCATATGGGAACTTTTCAGTTCACATGATGCATGAGGAAATCAAGTTCAAACTGAAAGAAGACATTTTTTGCTCAGGAAACAGAAACTGAAGTTCAGAGATGCCACAGTGGTTGAAAACCAAGGGGACAAATCTTAGAAGAAATCTTAGACACAAAGAGAGAGCTCTAAAATCAGCATAGAAAGTCCCTGCAAGTCTCTGGCTGGTTCCTAAATGACACTCAAGGAACCCAGCAGACATCAGCAATTGAGGGGCTAAAAAGATAAAATATTATGCAGCCATAAAAAGGAACGAGATTACGTCCTTTGCAGGGACATGGATGAAGCTGGAAGCCATTATCCCTAGCAAACTATCAGGAACAAAAAACCAAATACCACACACCACACGTTCTCACTTACAAGTGGGAGCTGAACAATGAGAACACAGGGACACAGGGAGGGGAACAACACACACTGGGGCCTGTCAGGGGAGGGCAGGGAGTGGGGAGAGCATCAGGAAAAATCGCTAATACATGCAGGGCTTAATACCTAGGTGTTGGGTTGACAGGTGCAGCCAACCACCATGGCACATGTTTACCTGTGTAACAAACCTGCACATCCTACACGTGTATCCCAGAACTTAAAATAAAATAAAATAACAAATAAAAAATACAAAAAAGAAAATACACAAACTAAAAGAAAAAAATATATATAAGCAGAGATTTCAGTAGCTACCTGGTTCTAGGAAGATAGTTCAGAGTTCAAATCTAGTCAAGAAGGAGGAGATTAGAAAACATTTTGGATTTTCCAATGAAACCCTAAGAGCCATGTTACCAGAATAAACTCATGATCCAAGACTCCAAGCCATGCCCCAAATCTAAGGGTAAACTCAAATAAGCCTCCATAACAAATTCCAAAATCAAGCCTCAATAGAATCAAGAACATCCACCAAATATTTAAATATTTGCCAGAGTGAAATGGAGTACTCTTTATGGGAAGATAATAGAATCTAGAGTTTGTACAATATGTCGTACATAATGTTCAGAATTCAATACACACTTACTAGTTATGCAAAGATGCAGGAAAATGTGACCTAGAACCAAGAGAAAAACAGGCAATAGAAATAGAGTTTCCATTACTCAGATTCTGGAATTAGCAAAGAAAGAATTTAAAAACAGCTAGTATATTTATGTTAAAAGATTAAACATTGGGTACACATCGACATTAAGATGGGAACAATAGACATTGGAGACTACAAGAAGCGGGAGGGAGGAAGGGAAGCAAGCACTGGAAAATTACCTGTTGGGTACTATGCTCATTACCTGGGTGATGGGCTCAATTGTACCCAAACCTCAGCACCATGCAATAGGCCCTTGTAATAATCCTATACTCTCTGAACCTAAAATAAAAGTTGCAGTTTAAAAAAATATTTTTTAAGGTTTTCAGGAAAAAATAGAATGTGTGAACAGATAAGGAATTCCAGCAGAAAATTAAAATTGTAAAATATAATGGAGGCTGGGCTCAGTGGCTCACTCCTGTAAACAGAACACTTTGGGAGGCTCAAGTGGGCAGATTACTTGAGCCCAGGAGTTCGAGACCAGCCTGGGCAACATTGCGAAACCCTGTCTCTACAAAAACAGAAAAAGGAAAGAAAGAAGGGAAGAAAGAAAAGAAAGAAAGAAAGAAAGAAAAAGAAAGAAAGAAAGAAAGAAAGAAGGAAGGAAGGAAGGAAGGAAGGAAGGAAGGAAAGAAAAAAAGAAAGAAAGAAAGAAAAGAAAGAAAGAAAGAAAGAAAGAAAGAAAGAAAGAAAGAAAGAAAGAAAGAAAGAAAGAAAAAGAAAGAAAGAAAGAAAAAACCAAAAATTAGCCAGGTATTGTGGTGTGTGCATATAGTCCCAGCTACTTAGGAGGCTGAGGGGGTAGGATTGCTTGAGCCTGGGAGACTGAGGCTGCAGTCAGCTGTGATCACACCACTGCATTCCAGCCTGGGTGACAAAGTGAGACCCCATCTCAATAAATAATAAATAAATAAATAACTATCTCATGTAATATTGTGATGGTAGTTAATAAGAATGTATTGTATATTTTAAAATTGCTTAAAAAGTAGATATTAAACATTTTTATGCCCACACACATAAAAAGATAACTATGTGAGGTGATGAATATGTTAAATTAGGTTAATTATAATCATTTTACACTGTATACAGATATGAAAACATCACATTATATACCATAAATATATAGAATTTTAATTTGTCAACTATATCTCAATAAAGCTGAAAAAGAAGAACTAAAATCTCTAGAACTAGAAAACAGAATATCTTAAATGAAAAGTTCTTTAGAGGATTTAAGAGCAGAATGAACACATAGATGAAAGGATGGATGAAATTGAAGATAGTTCAATAGAATTCACTCAAACTGAATCATGGAGAAATATAGAGAGAGAACAGAGTACCTAAGACCTGTTGACAAAAACATGTTGTCGAACACAGGAGTGAGTCAAATTTCTCAAAGGCATAAACCCATAGATCAAAAACAAAACAAAACAAAACAAAAAAAAAACTCAGCAAATCCCAGACAGGACAAAAACAATGAAGACTTCATCAAGGCATACCACAGTCAAATAGCCAAAATTCAAAGATAAAGGTGAGAAATCTTGTTTGTATGTTTGAGCCAGCGTTTCACTCTGTCACCCAGGCTGGAGTGCAGTGGTGCAATCTTGGCTAACTGCAGCCTCCACTTCACAGGCACAAACAATTCTACTGCCTCAGCCTCCTGAGTAGCTGGGATTACAGGAATCCACCACCACACCCGGCCAAGGTGAGAAATCCTAAAAGTACCCAGAGAAGAAAAGAGATGTTACACTCAGAGAAACAATAAGAATTGTGGCTGACTTCTCATTAATAAAGAAATGGACAGTAGAAAACAATTAAATAACTTCAAAGTATTGAAAAAAAATATGTCAACCTAGAATTCTAAGTCCTGTGAGATTGTCCTTTAAAAATGAATGTAAAAAAGAGCCATTTTCAGGCCAGGTTCCATGGCTCATGTATGTAATCCCAGAACTTTGGGAGCCCGAGGCTGGCAGATCGCTTTGAGCCCAGGAGTTCAAGACCAGCCTGGCCAACATGGTGAAACTTTGTCTCTACTAAAAATACAAAAACTAGCTGGATGTGGTGGTGTGCATCTGTGGTCCCAGCTGCTTAGGAAGCTAAAGTGGGAGGATGGCTTAAGCCTGGGAGGCACAGGTTGTAGTGAGCTGAGATCATGCCACTGCACTTCAGCCTGGGTAGCAGAGCCAGACCCTATCTCAAAAAAAAAAAAACAAAAAAAAAAACACACACACACACATACACGAAACAAACAAACAAGAAAACCCCTACCATTTCCAGAAAACAAAGGTGAAGAGAATTTATCACCAGCAGTTTTACACTACACAAAATACTAAAGAATGCACTTCAGGCTGAGGAAGATGGTCAGAGGTGGATGTGAAAACATGAATCTGCAAAAAAAAAAAAAAAAAGGAAGAGCACCAGATTTGGTAAATATGTGGGCAAATACAAAATACTTTTCCTTAATCTTTTTAAGAAAGTCAAGTGATTGTTTAAAGTAAAATAATAAAATTGTACTGCAGAATTTATAAGACAGAAGTGAAATATATGACAATAATAGTAAAAAGTGTTGGAGGTAGAAAATTGTTACAGAAAATTGAATTATACTGTTACAAAGTTCTTAACATGAAATCGTAAAATATTAATTTCAGTAAACTATGATAAGGTTAGGGTCCATATTATGATCCCTAGAGAACTTTAACTTTAGCTTTTTTCCAAACCTATTCACTTAGAGTAGATTTGGTTGTATCTGTTTTATAAGCCAGAGTTTCTGGAAGATTTCATTTGAAGAAAGCAGTCTTTTGCTAAGAAAAGGCTTGAAACCACACCTCTGAGTGGAAAAATACCTTTTCTTCCCTTTAAATTCACTCGTGTAATGACTGTATTTATCGATGAAAATCATGAAAATCAATTTATGCACACACTGTTTCATTCTAAAAATATTTTGAAGCAGCTCATTTATTTCTACTTGCAATTTCAGTTATCTGAATTAATCTGCTCTACTAAATTAGAAACACATGAATGACAGGTATCTTCCATGCTGAATAAGACAATGAAATGCAACCTCTGGAAACCCAGTGAAGAATTTCAGATTCATAAACTCAGATTTTAGACTTGAATGCTTTGATTTCAGGTCACTATACACATTTTGATCATATAACATTATTTTTATTAAAAACAATATTGGGCCGGGCGCGGTGACTCATGCATGTAATCCTAGCGCTTTGGGAGGCCTAGGCGGGCAGATCACGAAGTCAGGAGATCGAGACCATACTGGCCAACATGGTGAAACCTCGTCTGTATTAAAATACAAAAAATTAGCTGGGCATGGTGGCAGGCGCCTGTAATCCCAGCTACTCGGGAGGCTGAGGCAGGGGAATCACTTGAACCTGGGAGGCGGAAATTGCAGTCAGCAGAAATCGCGCCACTGCACTCCAGCATGGCAACAGAGTGACACTCCGTCTCAGATAATGATGTTGATGATTATGATAATAATAATAATATGTTAATACGTACATAGGAAATACCAGATATAAAAAACAGTTAACATTGCTTATGTCTTGCGGGTAGGATTATGGAGATTTTTGCTTTATTATCCGTGGTGCATCACTGTATGAGTTTGAAAATATTATTTTTGAAAACCTTAAGAATTTGAATTAGGTAGATATTCACTCCTCGGTTCTCCAGGGAACAGTAGACAGGGAGAATCTTTAAGAGGCTTTTGTGCTCCTTGTCCCTTTGTATTTCCCAATATATACTTTATAATGAAATAAAAACATCAGCCGAATTAAATGTAAAGGAGTTTAATTGAGCAATGAATGATTTGTGAATCGGGCAGCCTTCAGAGCCAGAGTAGGCTCTGTGACCCCAGCGCAGCCACATATGTGGTAGAAGAAGATTTATGGACAAAAAATGGCAAGTGATGTACAGAAAACGCAAGTGAGGTGAAGAAACAGCTAGATGAATTACCGGTTGGCATTTGCCTTATTGGAACATAGTTGGAACATTTGGCTGTATTTGATTGGCCAAAACTCGGTGATTGGCACAAGTGTAGGCTGTGGTCTGTTTACACCTCCACCTGTTTTAGTTCATGATGTACAGAAAAACCTTTAGGCTGAATTTAAAATACATAAGGAGGCAGCTTTAGGCTAAACTTGATTTAACACATATTATTTTACTTTGAAGCACTTTTTGAGTTATTTTTATATGCAATAAAATGCTCAAATTTCAAGTGTACAGTCTGATGAGTTTTGACAATTTTATAAACCCGTGTAACCAACCACCAAAACCAAGACATTGAACATTTCCATTATCCATGAAAGGACTTTCATGCCTCTTTCTAGTAAATTCTCCTCTCCACAAGGCAAACATTGTTCTAATTTGTATCACTAAGAATTAATTTTAAGTTTATGAACTTAAAATTAAGTTTAAGTTCTTAAACTTCATATAAATAGAATTACATAGGTTGCCCTCTTGTGTATGGCTTCTCTAATTCAACGTAATAGTTTTGAGACTCATCCATACTGTTACATATATCAATAATACGTATCTTCTTTATTGCTAAGTAGCATTCCATTGTAAGAAATACCACAAACTGATTATCCATTTTCCTGTTGATATACCTTTGGGTTAATTCCAGAAGTTTGAGGCTGCAGTGAGCTGTGATTGCACCACTGCACTCCAGCCTGAGTGACAGAGTGAGATCCTGTCTCTAAAGAAAAAAAAAAAAGGAGTCTTACATTTTTATTAAATTTAATGTATTAACTTTGTCCTTTTGTAATTAGTGATTTTATTTCTCTACTTACCCCAAGGGATAAAATTTTCTTCTAGAAAATTTATAGTTTTAGTTTCTATAATTAGGAATATGATAAATTTCAACTGACTTATTGTGAATGCTGGGAAGTAGTGGTTAATATTTTCTCACATTTTTCTGCCGAGACCAGCTTGGTAGGGGAGACCCTAACCCAGCGGTGCTAGAGGAATTAAAGACACACACACAGAAATATAGAGGTGTGAAGCGGGAAATCAGGGGTCTCACAGCCTTCAGAGCTGAGAGCCCCGAACAGAGATTTACCCACGTATTTATTAACAGCAAGCCAGTCATTAGCATTGTTTCTATAGATATTCGATTAACTAAAAGTATCCTTTATGGGAAACAAAGGGATGGGCCGAATTAAAGGAATAGGTTGGGCTAGTTACCTGCAGCAGGAGCATGTCCATAAGGGACAGATCACTCATGCTATTATTTGTGGCTTACGAATGCTTTTAAGCGGTTTTCCGCCCTGGGCGGGCCAGGTGTTTCTTGCCCTCATTCCCATAAACCCACAACCTTCCAGCTTAGGCATTAGGGGCCATTATGAACATGTTACAGTGCTGCAGACATTTTGTTTATGGCCAGTTTTGGGGGGCCTGCTCCCAACATTTTTCCAGTTGTTCCAGCAATAGTTATTCAAAGAATTTTACTTCCCCATTGAGTTGCAGTGGGGCTGGTGTTGGAATTGACTGTACATGTATGTGTACATTTCTGGACCTTTTATTCTTGTCCATTGAAAAATTTGTTTATCTTTATCACAACACTGCACTATCTTAATTTTGTAGCATTGTAGTAAGTCTTGAAATAAAACACTATTATTTTTTTCAATTTTCTCTTTTTAAAAATCATCTTGTCTATACCAGTTCTTCTAATTTCCATATAAATTTTAGAATTAGTTTGTCAAATTTTACAAAAATCTGTTGGGGTTTTTGTTGTAATTGCCTCAAAGATGTAGATAATGTTGGGAATAATGAATATTTTCACAATATTTAGAGCTCCAAATCATAAACATCGTACATCTCTCCATTTATTTAGATGTCTAATTTCTCTTAGCAATGTTTCGTAGTGTTTAGTATAGAGGTTTTGCACATCTTTCATTGAATTTATTTCTATGTAATAGATGTTTTAAGGTGTTGTTGTAGATGGTCTTTCTGTCTTCCTTCCTTCCTTCCTTCCTTCCTTCCTTTCTTTCTTTCTTTTCTTTTTTTTTTTTGATGGAGTTTCGCTCTTGTTGCCCAGGCTGGAGTGCAATGGTGTGATCTCGGCTCACCACAACATCTGCCTCCTGGATTCTCCTGCCTCAGCCTCCCGAATAGCTGGGATTACAGGCATGCGCCACCATGCCTGGCTAATTTTGTATTTTTTAGTAGAGACGGGGTTTCACCATGTTGGTCAGGCTGGTCTCGAACTCCCAACCTCAGGTGATCCACCCACCTCAGCCTCCCAAAGTGCTGGGATTATTATTTTATTTTCTAGTTATTTATTGCTAATGCAAGATTGACACTTGCAGACTGCTATGACCTTGCTAAGTTCACTTACTGCTTCTAGTAGCTTGTAGAACACACTAGACTTTCTACGTATCCAAACCATGGAGAGTCTTCACATAGACAATGTTGCACCTTTCTTGTTTTTCAGTCTTTATGACTTTTCCTTGCTTTCTTCTTTCTCTTTATTTTTTGTTTCTTTTTTTCCTTGCTGCACTGTTTAGGATCCTAGAACATGTTAAATCGAAGTTGTTAAAGTATCCTTGCCTTGTTTCTGATGTTGAGGGGGTGGTAAAGATAGAGCATTCAATATCTTATAAAATATTATGTTAGAGGTAAGTTTTTCAGGTCAGGCATGGTGGCTCATGCCTGTAATCCCAGCACTTTGGGAGGCCGAGGCGGGTGGATCACCTGAGGTCAGGAGTTCAAGGCCAGTCAGGCCAACATGGTGAAACCCCATCTCTACTAAAAATACAAAAAATTAGCCAAAAATGGTGGTGCACGCCTGTAATCCCAGCTACTCAGGAGGCTGAGGTGGGAGAATCGCTTGAACCCAGGAGGTGGAGGTTCCAGTGAGCCAAGATCATGCCATTGCACTCCAGCCTGGAGCCTGGATGACAGAGTGAGACTCTGTTCCAAAAAACACAAAAGAACAAAAAAAAAAAGGTAAGTTTTTCATAGGTGTCCTTTTCTAAATTTAAGAAATTCTCTTCTATTCCTAGTTTATTGTTGTTTTTAATCCGGATTAAGGGGTAAATTTTGTCAAATGCCTTATCTGTATATTGAGATGATCATATGATTTATTTATTCTATTAATGTGGTAAATTATATAAATTAATTTTGAAATATTAAATCCTGGTATAAACCCTACTTGGCCTGATGTACTATTATTGTTAAATATTACTGGATTTTATTTGCTAACATGATATTGAGGATTTTTATATCTGTGTTCTCAGAAATAGTTATCTGTAATTTTTTTGTTATACCATCCTTGATGTTTTGGTCTCAGGATTATGTTGGTCTCATTAAGGTAGTTTGTGCTTCCTCTTATTTTATTTATAAAATAGTTTGTTGAATTTTGATATTTTTCTTCCTTAAATGTTTTATAGAATGGACTAGTGAAGATATTTAGGCTTGACATTTCTTTTGGGATATTTTGGTTTCTTTAACGAATACAGTGCTATTCAGAATTTCTGTTTTCTTGTATAAATTTCAGGAAAAAATAATTGAATTCATTGAATTTATTGATGTAAACTTGTTCTAATATGCTTTAATATCATTTAATGTCTGAAGAATCTATAGTTATATCTCCTCTTCCATTCCTATAGTGGCAATTTGTTTCTCAGCTAGTCTTGCTAGAAGTGCATCACTTTTATTAATCTTTTTAAATAACAAAGTTCAACTTGGTTGATTTTTGCTTTTTTAATCTGTTTTATAGTATTGACTTATGATTTTATATTATTTCCTTCCTTTTACTTTTATTGGGCTTAATATTTTTTTCTTGTCTAGCTTGTTTTATCTTGATAGCTTAGTTCACTGATCTTTTTCTTTCTGTTTTTGAGACAGAATTTTGCTCTGTCACCCAGGCTGGTGTGCAGTGGTGCGATCTTGACTCACTGCAACCTCCACTCCCCTGGTTCAAGCGATTCTCCTGCCTGAGCCTCCTGGGTTGCTGGGACTACAGGTGCCCGCCACCACACTCAGCTAATTTTTTTTTTTTGTATTTTTCATAGAGATGGGATTTCACCATGTTGGCCAGGATAGTCTCAATCTCCTGACTTCATGATCCACCTGCCTCAGCCTCCCAAAGTGCTGGGATTACAGGTGTGCGCCATCACGCCTGGCCCTGATCTTTTTCTTAATGTAAACTTTAATGCTACACATTTCCCTCTTAGCACTGTTTTTGCTGCATCTCACACATTTTGATATGCTTTGTTTTAATTACAATTTAGTTCAAAATATTTTCTAATTTCCCTTGGGATTTTTTTTCTTTTCACCCGTGGGTTATGTAGAAGCATGTAGTTTAATTTTCAAGTATTTAAGAATTTTTCTAGTTATAATTTTACTATTGATTTTAACTTAATTCTCTTGTGGTTTAAAAATACTCTATATAATTTTAGTCTTTCAAAATGTATTGAAACTTATTTTATGACTCAGCATTTGTCAATCTTAGTCAATGTTACTTGTACATTTGAAATTAATATATATTTGCAGCAATTTGTTGTAATAGTCTATAAATATCAATTAGGTCGAGGGGTTGATAAAGTTGCTGAATTCTTCTCTATGTTGCTAACTTTTTTGGTTTACTTCTGTGAATTTTTAATATATGGCTGTAAAAATTTCCCACTATGATTGTAAAGTTTTCTAATTTTCCATTTAGCTCTGCCAATTTTTGTTACTGTATTTTGAAGTTCTACTCCTCATTGCAAATAAATCTAGGATGTTTATGTAATGAATTGACCCTTGTCAACATGTGGTTATAAGTGTATCTTTTTTCAAATACCTCTTGTCAGAAAGCCTACTTTGATAATATAGTCACATTGTGTTACTTGTGATTAGTGTTTGTATGGTATATTCTTTTCCATTCTTTTATTTATTTTTTTTTTTTTGAGACGGAGTCTCCTCGCTCTTTCGCCCAGGTTGGAGTGCAGTGGCACGATCTCAGATCACTGCAACCTCTGCCTCCCGGGTTCAAGCGATTCTCTTGCCTCAACCGTCCAAGTAGCTGGGATTACAGGCGCCCGCCACTATGCCCAGCTAATTTTTGTATTTTTAGTAAAGGCAGGGTTTCACCATGTTTTCCAGGCTGTTCTCAAACTCCTGACCTCGTGATCCGCCCGCCTCAGCCTCCCAAAGTGCTGGGATTACAGGCGTGAGCCACCGCACCTGGCCTCTTTTCCATTCTTTTACTTTCAACCTATTTGTGTCTTTATAGTTAAAGTATTATCCTATTGAATTCATCTTACTTTTCTATCTGACAATTTCTAACATTTAATTAAGAGTATTTAGTACCTTTTTACCCAATGTAATTGTTGATATAGTTGGGTTTGCTAACAATTGTTTTCTACTTATTCCATAACTCCCATCTCTCCTTGGTCTCATTTTTCCTGCCTTCTTTTAGATTAATTGAATTATAAGAATTACATATTATTATTTCTATCGGTCTTTGAAATTGACATTCTAATTTTCCATTTATAGTAGGTGCTCTAAGGATCATAATATGGACCCTAACCTTATCATAGCTTACTGAAATGCATATTTTACTATTTCATGTTAAGAACCTTATAACAGTATAATTCAATTTTCTATAACAATTTTTACTGCCAAGACTTTTTACTATTATTGTCATATATTTCATTTCTTTTTTTTTTTTTTTTTTTTTTTTTTTTGAGATGGAGTCTCACACGGTCACCCAGGCTGGAGTGCCAGTGACACGATCTCAGCTCACTGCTCACTTCTGTCTTATAAACTCTGCAGTACAATTTTATTATTTTACTTTAAACAATCACTTGAGTTTCTTAAAAAGATTAAGAAAAAGTATTTTGTATTTGCCCACATATTTACCAACTCTGGTGCTCTTCCTTTTTTTTTTTTTTTTTTTTTTTTTTTTTTGCAGATTCATGTTTTCTCATCCACCTCTGACCATCTTCCTCAGCCTGAAGTGCATTCTTTAATATTTTGTGTAGTGTAAAACTGCTAGTGATAAATTCTCTTTATCTTTGTTTTCTGGAAATGGCTTTTTTTTTTTTTTTTGAGACATGGTCTGGCTCTGCCACCCAGGCTGGAGTGCAGTGGCATGATCTCAGCTCACTGCAACCTCTGCCTCCCAGGCTTAAGCCATCCTCCCACCTCTGCTTCCTGAGTAGCTGGGAACAGAGGCTGGAGTTTGTCAAGGCTCAGTCCTCATCTCCTCCATGCCACCCCGGTGCCTAGATTCCTTAGAACTTGCAGGGCTCCAATGAAGGGTTTGAAAACCAGCCAAAGAAAGGATAAGAGTTTTCTCTAATTATTGATCATTTTCCTTTTCTATTATGTCCCTTTTGTATCATTCATGTCTCTCTTCTTTTCCAAAAACTCAACAATAAAGAAAGAAAGAGTTTTGCCTGGTGTGATGGCTCACCCCTATAATCCCAGCACTTTGGGAGGTCAAGGCAGGAGAATTGCTTGAGCCCAGGAGTTCAAAATTAGGCTGGACAACATGGTGAAACCCCATCTATACAAAAAAACTTTTAAGATTAGCTGGGCATGTGGTGTGCACCTGTAGTCCCAGCTACTTGGGAGGCTAAGGCAGGAGGATCCCTTGAGCCGAGGAGTTTGAGGCTGTGGTGAGCTGTGATTATGCCACTGCATTCCAGCCTAGACCACAGAACGAGACCCTGTCTCAAAAACAAACAAAAAACAAAAAACAAAAAAAAAAGAGAAAGAAATAGTTGTTAAATTTTGCTGCATTTGTTCATATAATCAGAAGGATGGTTTAAAGATTAAAATGAATTTACAATCAATAGAGTATCATTGAATTAAATAACTGTATTGCTTTTCAAATTTCAAAATTTGCTGGCCTTTAGTTTTAAACTTAATCATCAGCTCCATTGTTTACATCAGAGATTGGTTGGGTTTTGGTCTTAACCAGCTTTCTTCTGGAATGTACATCCTACTGAATTGTCCTTAATTCTTTCTCGGCTCTCAATCCTTGACTTTGCCTTCCTTAAGCTACTTGCAAATCTCACTTTAATCTACCCTTTTATCCTTAGCCAAAATAAAAGGAGGTAGAAGGAAGGTGCTTCGAATAAAATGCATTCTGTTCAGTTTCTTCCTTTGTTTCTCCATCTTCCTTTCTTTCACTTGAGGCCAAGTATTCACAAGAGGTAGCTACGATTTAAGTGTGTCTGAAGGTGATGGAGACAGCAGTGCTGGGGCTCAGAAAACAAAGTGAAGGCTGCAGAAGCAGCCTCAAGCCAAGTCTCTCTCTTTCTTCTGGCCTCTTGTCCCTTGGCCCTCATTCTCCCACAAGGCAAGCCATAGAAATGAGAAGCTCTCTACTTCCAGGTGGGTCATAGAAACCAGACTCCTGGCCGGGCACAGTGGCTCATGTCTGTAATCCCAGTACTCTGGAAGGCCGAAGCGGGAGGATTATGAGGTCAGGAGTTCGTGACCAGCCTGGCAAGCATGGTGAAACCCCATCTCTACTAAAAGATACAAAAAATTAGCTGGATATGGTGGTGCCCGCCTGTAATCTCAGCTGCTTGGGAGGCTGGGGCAGGAGAATCATTTGAACCTGGGAGGCGGAGGTTGCAGTGAGGAGATCACGCCATTGCACTCCAGCCAGGGTGACAGGGCGAGACTCTGTCTCAAATGATGATAATAATAATAATAATAAAATAAATAAATAAAAGAAACCAGACTCCCACTTCCCCAAAGCCAACAATAAAGCCTAAAATCACTACTTTCAGCCTCCCCTGCCTTTCTGTGTGAGAGCTGCCGTAAAGAACTTCTCTGACCCACGTTGTTTAATTGTGGGTCGTAAGATCCCCATTCCAGGGGGACCCTACCCCACACCCAGGAGGAAGGAAGCTGCACAGAGAGGCCAAGAAGAGTCCGAACAGGCCTTGCTGGGTTTCCACACTCAGCCCCGGTACTACTAGAACATTCCCTTTTTGTCCGTTCCCATTTCTACACGGCCGTCCCTGCTTTATCAAACCTTAGCATGAGATCAGATAGTCTCTCCTGTACCTTAGGGTCTCCATTCCCAAGGCCCCCATGCCACGTAAAACAATGATCAGACAAATTTGTTATGCTTGTCTCTTGTTAGCCTGTTGTTTGTTATAGGAGGGTTGGTCATGATGCTTATGATGGGGAGAAAAGGGATCACCCTCTTTCCACCCCTGTAGTTCTGGTGACCCAAATAGGGTGACCAAGACACCTGACTTGCTCTGGAGCCTCCAGATGAGGTCCTGGGACAACTGACAGAAAAATAGCAATCAAAGGCCGGGCACAGTGGCTCATACCTGTAATCCCAGCACTTTGGGAGGCCGAGGCAGGTGGATCACAAGGTCAGGAGATCGAGACCATCCTGGCTAACACGGTGAAACCCCGTCTCTACTAAAAATACAAAAAATTAGACGGGCGTGGTGGCGGGCGCCTGTAGTCCCAGCTACTCGGGAGGCTGAGGCAAGAGAATGGCGCGAACCCGGGAGGCCGAGCTTGCAGTGAGCCGAGATGGCGCCACTGCACTCCAGCCTGGGCGACAGCGAGACTCCGTCTCAAAAAAAAAAAAAAAAAAAAAAAAAAATTAAACAGCTCTATGATCAAAATGGCTAAATGTATTTATTATTATTATTTTTTGAGACAGGGTTTTGCTTTGTTGCCCAGATTGGTCTCAAACTCCTGGGTTCAAGCAATCCTCCTGCCTTGGCATCCCAAAGTGCTGGGATTACAGGCATGAGCAACTGCACCCGGCCAAGAGTTGGCTGAATTAAAAGCCTATATTCAGGCTATAATTTTTTTTAAAGCTTTTCTGCTTTTTCTCTTTTGAATTCTGTTTCTCTTATGAGAATTTTTTCAGTAGCTGAAAGCCCCTATTTTTCTCAAGCCTCTGCTAATGATAAGCTCCTCTTTAGAAGACTTAAAATCTCCCTAAGTCGGCTCCTCTAAGACCTGATCTTTCCATTTGCGTCTGCTCCTTTCGCCACATTTGCTCTTCCAGCTAGTTCCCAGTAATCTTACCTCCTCCATTTGGTGGTCAATGGATAAAAAATTACTAAGGGAAACAGTTTTGGGTACTGCATACAGGGATATAAAGGAGACGTGCAACAACCCTGAGACCCTTGAAGGAACAATGGGGATCCCCCTCTTCCTGATGGAGCCCCAGGAGTCATGGGTGGGTTTCTCTCAGGGCTGAAGCTCTACTCTCTTTCCAATTAAGCTCCCTGATCTCTTTGGCTTTCATTTTTTATTTTATTTTTATTTTTTGAGACGGAGTCTTGCTCTGTCACCCAGGCTGGAGTGCAGTGACATGATCTCAGCCCATTACAACCTCCGCCTCCTGGGTTCATGCAATTCTCCTGCCTCAGCCTCCCGAGTAGCTGGGATTACAGGTGCGTGCCACCACACCCAACTGATTTTTGTATTTTTAGTAGAGATGGGGTTTCACCATGTTGGCCAGACTGGTCTCGAACCCCTGACCTCAAGTGATCCGTCTGCCTCGGCCTCCCAAAGTGCTAGGATTACAGGTGTGAGCCACCGCGCCTAGCTCTCTTTGGCTTTTAGGCACACCAAGGGTCACCGTGAGAGGATACTTGGCCTTTGAGTGCAAAGTAACGAACACTGGCAAGAGATGACATTTTTAAGGAAATAGCAGTTGCAATAAGTGGTTATTACTAGAAAGAGCAAACTCTGGCTTTTTATTGTCTTCATTTCGTTGTGTGCACAGGTAGGGGAAGCCTCAAGTATCTCACCGGGTCGGACAGAAACCAACAGTAAGTGGCAATTTCTTACAGAAAAAAAGCATTGGTTAAGTTGGTCAGGGGGGCTCTCAGAGCCAAAGCCATAACTGGCTGACAGGCGTGGTTCAAGCACTTAGAGGTTACTGGAGCACTGGTCACCAGGAAGTCGAAGCTCCATGGGGTGGGGGCTGGGGGCCACTCCTGGAGCGGCTGGTTAGGTGAGGCAGCATCCTGGGGGGCATCCTTGCAGCAGGATGCACTGGGAGGGCATTGAGCAGCTCAGCCCCATGGCGTTGCCCTCTCGGACTTTTTCTTGGGTCTGGAAGACACATGATTCAGTGTAAAAAAGGAATCCTTAATTTCTAAAGATCTGAGTACTCCGCCTTCCAGCTACACCTGCTTTTACATGCATAAATTTTAAACCCCAGAAGCTGCAAGTACTTTGTTGGCCCTATTCCTCAATGGGCTCTCCACCCAGAGCTGGGTCATCCAGTTAAAAAAAAGAAGATATGTTGAAAAGCTACCTATTTAACTAGATTGTTTTCCAAAGTACGAGTTTCAGGCATTCAACTGATTATTTTGAACAGATTTCTGAACTTCTTCCTAAGCTCATCTGGGTATTTCCTTGTAAAATACTGTAGTGAATTCCTGTAATTTTATGCAGCCTGGATATCTGTTTTTGAATCCTTCTCCATGGCTCTTCTAACTGAAGCACCTGAACCTAATTCTTCTCCTCATCAGGGATCTCCTAGAGAGTGGCTACCTTGATAAACCTGTCTGGCCAGGGGTAGGGATTACAGCTACTTTTCAGAGAGAAACTTCAAGACCAAATTAGAGAAAAATGCAACAAACCCAGTTGTAGCAAAAATGGATATTTAGTCCACTCAGATGAGCTTTAAAAACATTCACACCTAAAACCCAGTCTGTAGCCTCCATAAAATTGATCTATGATAATAGGCATGATGCCCCTAAAGCTTTTTTGTTTTGCTTTGTTTTTGAAACAGAGTCTCACTCTGTTGCCTGGGCTGGAGTGCAGTGGTGAGATCTCAGCTCACTGCAACCTCCATCTCCTGGGTTCAAGAGATTCTCCTGCCTCAGCCTCCTGAGTAGCTGGGATTACAGGCCCACACCACCATACCCAGCTAATTTTTGTATTTTTAGGAGAGATGGGTTTTCATCATGTTGGCCAGGCTGGTCTCAAACTCCTGACCTCAAATGATTCACCCATCTCAGTCTCCCAAAGTGCTAGGATTACAGGTGTGAGCCACTGCACCTGGCCCCTAAAGCTCTTTTTCAAAGATAAAATTAAAACTAACTCAAATACTTCATATAATAGTATCAAGTGCTAGATAGTTCATGTGATCTGAGTTTCTATACAGTTAATAAAAATCGTTATTGGTAAATAAAGTTAGTTTTAAACTTGTTGGTAAAATAAAAACAGGAATATCTTCAGAATTATCAGCATTGGTTATAGTACTGATAGGGACAGAAGGCAGGGAAATTCTAGGCAGAAGAGGGCAGGTCCTGGTGAGGGCCCCACCCTCAAACCAAAAAGCCTAGAACCACAGCCCAAAGTGAGAACTTCCATCCCTGTTTTCCTGCTCAAATGTTCCTTTTCCAAAACCACCCATGGCTCGCCCCACCCCGTGTCGTGTGCCCATAAAAACCCCAGAACTCAGCCGGCAGAGAGAAGAAGCAGCTAGACGTTGGAGACTACAGTTGGACATTGGAGAGAAGTGGCTTGACTTCAGAGGAACAGCTTGATGGTGTAAGTTCAGAGAAGAATCTGGCCAGAGACAGTTGAACTTTGAGGGAAGATTACCTTCCCACCCCGTCCCCTTTTCAGCTCCCCTTCCCACTGAGAGCCACCTCTATCAGCAGTAAAATCCCCCACATTTACCATCCTTCAATTTGTTCCTGCAACCTCATGTCCTGGACACCAGACAAGAACTCGGGAACTACAAGTGCAGATGCGAAAGGCTGTCACACTGGCCCTTCACCCTCACTGGTGGAAGGCAGCCACCTCATGCGAAAAGGCATGGGGTCCACTGAGCTGTTAACACTTAAGCCATCCACGGACAGCAGAACTAAAGGAGCACTGTAACACTCCCTCTGGGGCTTCAGGGGTTGCGGGCACCTCCCTAGACACTGCCGTGGGGCCAGCACAGAGTTGGCTCCTGCTGGCACCCAAAAGCACTCACGCCAGCTCCTGCACCCATTCACCTGTGCACCCCCTCCTGCAAGGGTGGAAATGCAGTGGGTCCAAGTGAATGGAGTTCACTCCTGCAGGTGCTGGAGCAGCTGGGTGACTCCAGTGCTTCTGTACTCCAGTTCCCACCACATTCACTTGTGCAATCCCTCCTGTGAGCAGCTGAGAGCTGTGGGCTGAGTAAACAGGGCATCCCCTTTGTGGGGCCTGTGAAGGGGTCAGGGAAATATCCTGCTTCAGTACAAACATATATATATATTTTTAATACCTAGAGCTACTAGTCAAACAAGACTGTTATCACCTAGGTATTTAAAGGAGGGTGGGGGGAACCATGTTTAACTTTTAACTTTTATTCTCCGCTTCCGTACTATTTTTGATATTTGCTTGGTTTGTCTGTGGACTGAACTGTGTGGGCTGGGTGCTGGCTCCCCTGAAACCTTATACACATGCTGCTGCAAGCTTATGTCTTCAGTTTTGAGCTTCTGAATTCTGGGATCTGGACTGGTGGCCATGGTAAAGCCTGAGCGTGCATGTGTATCCCAGCACCTGGGCTGGCAGCTGCAGGGCAGGGTCTAGCCGAGTATAGGCCCATCCTGTGGCCAGTGTCACAGAGGCCTCGATGGAAACAAAGCTGGCTGTTGCAGGGCTAGCTTGGTCTTGCTTTTTCAAAAATAACTTCTATGGTTAGCTTTGTTTTCCGTGAGCAATTCAAATATAATTGTTAAGAATGAGTAAATTAGGTAAATGGAATAAACATTTCTAAATAAACTTGTCCTAGGTTCAAAGATTTTTAAAAATAATTTAAAATCTGAAAGTTGTGTTATATTAAGTTAAATAATAGATCATCATGAAACGTCTGAGTCATTTCTAAATAAGTTAAGGTACTGAAAGATTAATTAATAAGCATAAGTTCCAGTTTATATACTTTGGCATTTTGTTTTTATAGGTTATTTTAAAAAGCAAAATGTATTTGGATTTGTTAATAAACATACGAAGATTCTAAAAAACTAATGTTTCTAATAATTTTAAAATGTGTATTTATAAATTACTAGTGCAAACAGTCAAAATTGCTTACTTCTAGGTTTTCAGTAAAAATTAAGGCTACTAAGAGTTAAAATTACAATTAATACATTTAATGAAAACTACCAAAAATAAGAAGACCAATTTTATACGCAAAATATACAAGCAAAACAAGAGGTATTTCTGATGAAAAAAGTTACAAAAAATGAAAAATATGTGTTTTGTTTAGAAAAGTAATTTTATCTAGTTTAGAGTACGTTTAAAGATCATTTCAGAATAGTTTTTTAATGTTGTATATTATATTAATTAGATAAAATAGTTGAAAATATAACAGAGGAGCTTATGTGGTTAAACTAAGAATAAATAAATGTATTATAAGAGAAGAGATAATAAAGGATTTTTGTTTCCCTTTTGAATAAACTACAAAAGAAAAAAGAAGAGAAAGAAAAAATATTCCATGTGCATCACACTGTGTTTATTAGATCTTTTGTTTAAATAAGTGGTTATTTTTCTCATAATGATCTGTGATGGCAACCTTTATTTTGGCAACTTTCCCCAAATCAAAATTAAGTCTTTTTGACCTCAAAGTAACTTTTAGACATTATAGGAGGGCCCCTGGAAATCCAAGAAAGACATTAAATTAGACTTACTTGATATGTTAAATTATATGACAAACATTGTCAAATAAGAAATGATGTTTAACCTTCTTTGAGGTTATATTTGTGTGAATATGTTATTGACATATGTGTTCCAAAATTGTAAGAGATTCCTAGAAATCCTAGAAATTATGTTTTAGTATATGTTATCAGTCATAACGCTAATGTTAAAATGTTGTGTGCCACAGAGAGGACCAAATTTTCTTGACAGTTGCATCATTATTATTGTGAATTCCTATCATATCTTTAACCATAGCCATTTTACATCTTACTGTCCACAGTTAATTGCTTTATTTTGATGTTTTTTTCTGAAAGCTCTTTGCAAGTGATTAGAGTCCTAAAATGTTGTGTCTTCAAGGAAATATATGGAAAGAACAAAAATAATTCTAACTCTGAGTTCATACCATTGGACTGAGTTTCCATAACTCGAATGGAAAAACTGGACTCAAGAAAATCCTAACTTACATTGGCAGAACAAGAATTAATTACATGGGACTGAACTCACAAAGGATTATGACTTTTTAGTGACTTTTTGTTTGAAACATATTTTTTATGTTTTTATCTGCATTGTTAAGGAAACTCTTCTATGCTATCTATAGCTTGCAGCAATTTGCTAACGTATATTTTTATGAGCAAAATTGAAACATTTACCTTTGTCCCTACCTGATCCCTCCAAAATTTGGCAACTGCGAGTATTCTAGTTTTAAGGCAAAACAGTTGTTTGTGTAAGTACAGTCCTGAGGTGCGTCCTTGGCTTGGCTCCTGAGACCTGAGAGGCTTTTAGAAAGTCCAGTCTGAGGTTCCTTATGAAAAAGTTCCCCACAAAGCCAATTTAAAAAGTGCCTATATGGTTGATCACTATTCTTGCTATACTTATGTAAAAAATCATAAAGACTAAAGACTAAACTTTTCTTATGAACAAATTAGTCTTGTTTTAATGACTTTTTGTTTGAAACATATTTTTTATGTTTTTTGATAGGTGGACTAGAGAAATAAAAATTATATTTCAGAAGACAACTCTAGTGCACCTGTTATTAGACTCTACCTCATTGTTTTTGAGGGTTTACTATCTACCTACAATCTGGACCAGATCTTGAATTATTTTAGTTTCCTGCAATATTTGACTATGACTCACCAAAGTAGTATTTGTAATTTTTCTCCACCCTTCCAGCTTGGAATCACTGAAATGAAAACTGCACTTTCCTGAAACCCTGCAGACTAAAACTGGATGGTCTGATATAGCCTTTGGAGAAATCACCACAGCAGTTTTATGTAGAAATAAACTTTCTGCCTATTACTATATGGGCCACTTAGAAAGCTCACCGGATGCAAACTGCGAACCGGAAAAATCCCAGATTGCCACTGTCTGCTCTCACTCCATATGAAGATGCTTCAAGTCTAACATCTGAAAATCTTGACTGGCTGCCCTCTAGACCCAAAGGTTTGTTTTCTTTTCTTTCCCTAGAAATGCCCTTTGCTACGTACATGACTGTTCACACTATTTGGGGCCTGACTTCGGTGGAAGCCAGTCTGCAACACTGCTGCTGAAATGAGACACAACTGTCAACTGATTAGCTGAAAGGCCTCTTCTCAGGACTGAGAGCCTGGGAACAGCCTGGGAGACAATCCACCAACCCGATCCGTGGACTGTCAAACTACCTATGGGGGCCGGGCGTGGTGGCTCAAACCTGTAATCCCAGCACTTTGGGAGGCCGAGGTGGGTGAATCACCTGAGGTTAGGAGTTCAAGACCAGCCTGGCCAACATGGTGAAACCCCGTCTCTACTAAAAATACAAAAATAAGCCCAGTGTGGTGGTGGGTGCCTGTCATCCCAGCTACTCGGGAGGCTGAGGCAGGAGAATCGCTTGAACCAGGGAGGCAGAGGTTGCAGTGAGCCGAGATCGCCCCACTGCACTCCAGCCTGGCGACAGAGTGAGACTCTGTCTCAAAACAAATGAACAAACAAACAAAAAAACTACTGGGGGGAAGTTTCAGACTGAAGAATGTTGAGGCTCAGAAAAATGATGCTTCAAAGTGAAGACGGCAGAAGCAGCCTCAGAAGCGAAGTTTCCCTGTGACCTTCTCTCACCCTCCTGTCTCTCAGCCCCATTCTCCCCTGAGGCCAGTCGCAGGAACTAGAATCTCTCTGCCCCAACGAGTGTCACAGAAACCAGAGTTCCTTTTCCCCAAAGCCAACGTGTAGCCTAAAGGCACTTTCACTTTTGGCTGTTTTTCTGTGTAAGAATTGGCCAGAAAAAATTTTCTGACCTATCTTATTTAATGGTAGGTAATAGGCCCCCCATTACAGAAAGGGTCCTGCCGGATACCTGCGAGGAAGGAAAGCTACACAGAGAGGCTGAGCAAGATCTGAACAGACAGGCCTCACCGAGTGTCCCTAGTTAGCCTGTTACCATTACATCATTTCCTTCTGTCCGGTCACATTTCTGCATGACTGTCCCTGCTCCCTGAAACCTGGGCACACAATCAGAGAGTTTCCCCGGTACCTTTGGGTCTTCATTCCGAAGGCTCCTGTGTATTGTAAAGCTGTGGTCGAATATATTTGTTGGGCTTTTCTCTTGTTAATCTGTCTTTGTTTCAGAGGTGTCCGTTTTGACCCCTATGACAGGGAGGAAACGGATCACTCCTTTTCTGCTGCTACAACAGGAAGTGTTGTGTCTCAGAAACCTGAACTCCAACATATGGCCCTTTGACATGCTGGATTGAAGAAGCGATCCCAAGGTCTCTCTGACCTACCCCTCACCCCCATTTCTCAATGTTTTGTCTCTCCCAAGGAACAGAATGAAGTTGTTCTCTGAGGATCCTTTATCTTCCTAGAAACCAGACTGGCCAAAAGAACACAACTGCCTTCCCTGAGTTTCATTAACTGCACTCATATCACAGGAAGAAAGACCGAAGTCCATCAACACCCCTGGGTACACTTTTGTCACAAACAATTGCCTGATCTCCAGTCACAACACGTTTTGTCCCAGGCCATCGTATGTTCTCCAAGTCCATTCATTTTCCCCTAAAAATCATTCACTGTTCCACAAATCGCCACATTTGTTGTATGAAGAGGGGTGTCTAAGCGTCTGTACCCCACTGGGTAATCATTCTGCAATTCCCCAGTGCTATACAAGTTAAAATAGAAATGTGTGTGTGCCTTTTCTCCTATTAATTTGCCTTTTATTTTGTTTTGAGACTGAGTCTTGCTCTGTCGCCCAGGCTGGAGTGCAATGGCACAATCTCGGCTCACTGAAACCTCAGCCTCCCAGGTTCAAGCGATTCTCCTGCCTCAGCCTCCTGAGTAGCTGGGATTACAGGCGTGTGCCACCACGCCCAGCTAATTTTTATATTTTTAGTAGAGATGGGGTTTCACCATGTTGTCCAGGCTGGTCTTGAACTCTTGATCTGATGTGATCCACCCGCCTCGGCCTCCCAAAGTGCTGGGATTACAGAGGTGAGCCACTGCGTCCGGCTTAATCTTCTTTTTGTCTGTTCATTTTCAGTGACCCTTCAGAGGGCAAAGAGAAAGTTGTCCTGTGGCCCCTCCAGAAGTTGGGTTGAGGATAATTTATTTTTATCAGAGACTTTTATCACATTTTATAACATGGTTTAGTGTAAAAACATCTGTGCTCCTCATGAATTACTTGTAGAGATATAAGTGTTTTATTTCCTCCTACCTATTGCCCAGAAGAGCTAATGTGAATGAAGCAATTTATCAGAAACGTCCTTATTTTTATCTGAACTCTGGTCTAATGGATGCTTTCATGTGAATAAGCATCAGAAGTCTCCATTTTCATGAAAATAAATGAATGAAGTAGGTCAAGGTGGTAAATCTAGACCAATAAGTTTAGCTGTTAAGGCACTTCCAAAACAAGGCATTTCAGCTCTAGTAAGCAGACACCAGCCCACTGCATTGTGTTTGAGATCTGAAGCTGAATATGGCTTTGAAGTGAAAAGACAAAGGCAATGACAGACTCAAAAGAATGAAACTACAGTAGACAGTGAGAAATTGTGCTAAGGAAAGGGGCTCCCTTTTTATCGCATTGGTTAATTCTCAAAACTGTCTTTTATATCCCTGTTTTTGGAATTGGAATTGGCAGTTAAAACTTATATTTAAAAACTTTAGAGATTTCATTACTGTAAATCTGTATAGTCAAGTTTGTGTTGGAGATGTACAAATTTAATTAAATAGGAAGTCTGCCATTTTGTTAGCTACTGCATTTCCATATAGCATAAGAAGTTATCCAATTACTTTCTGAAAGCAAAGATGTAAGAAAAAGTCTGTAATCACTCCTGGCAAACCCAATTAAAGCGGATTAGATTTATAAGAAGTATCTGCTCATATGTATCACATAGACATAAGAAGAGGTAATTTTAAAGAGACAGCCCTCCAATATGGGTGTGTTCTATACAGTGGAGCATCTGGGAGGGACAGAATGGATGGTACTACAGGATCACAGGATGGGTCAGTATCTTCTTCCTACTAGTTGTTCCTTCTGATTTCCCTTTCTATACCTCAAAATCCACAAATTTGGGTACCAATGTGAAGTATTCAATGTTTGATGAATAAACAAATGAACAATTAAATGATCAAATAGAAATACAAATATTAGCTGTGAAAATGATTGTTTTATAATAAGTTAGCCTTGTAGATTGTGTTCTGAAGTTCAAGAT
This sequence comes from Homo sapiens, assembly GCF_000001405.40. Lineage (NCBI taxonomy): Eukaryota > Metazoa > Chordata > Mammalia > Primates > Hominidae > Homo > Homo sapiens. The sequence goes on along the minus strand of NC_000004.12, from coordinate 185,963,651 downwards.
ACTCTACATGCTAAAGAATGCTTATTTTATTTCTTAAACAAAAAGTTCAATTTACAAGGTATTTTCTGTGACTGCCAAATCCTGTGGATCTGTACAGTTGAATCAACTATTGTTATTTTCTCAAAATTCCTCAACAGGCACCAAATGTGTGTTTGAACATTTTTGATTAACTTTGACTTTGGTTATTGAAAAGTCACTAAGAAGTAAAATTTATCATTGTTTTTAAATTCTATAAAATGATTTTGGTGGTAAAGTGTTAAGGATGTTTTACTTTACTGGTTCTTTTATATTTATGATTGAGTTTTAAATTTATTTTTAAATAATTATAATTATTTTGGAGAAAAATATGCTGACCATATTTGTATATTGCTCTTGAATGTCATTTTATTTTATTTTTTTTATCACTTCAGAATTTCAAATAGTGCCTCTTGAATGTTCTAGTATTGATTTTAAGATCCTTTATTTTCTCTGAAGTGCCTCTAACAAGAAAGTGACTGAAATTGGTGAGCCAGAAGGAGAATGCCAGTGAACTTAACTATACTCAGTAGAGGATTCCAGAGGAAATTCAAATTTTTACCATTGAAGCCAGAGATGATCTTGTAAACTAAGCTGGAACTAAATAATAAAATGCTCAGACACTAGGAATTTTTATTGCCTTCTATAATTTGCAAAGTATCCTACCACAAACACAGAATAAACTATTACACTTACCTAAGATATAAAAAAGAAATAGGTGGAAGAACTACAGTTTGAGAAATGAGAAAATTATAAAGCATTTTGTAAAGAGCACTGCTATATCATAGATTTGCTTCACACTAAAAATGTTAAAGGTTTACAAATATTTGATTAAAATAGTGTTGGTAGTGTGGTAGCTGAGTTGAGAAGGTTGAGATTCTAAATGTTTATATTACTTACTCCAGGGTTATTCATTTGGCAAATGGTAGAACAACATTAGAATTAAAGCTTCGGGATGTCTATAGTTTCTATGTACAATTTAGAAGTAACCTGGGCAGCCCTTGGTTGTAACTATAGTTCTACTTGCAACCAACCAAAGCATTCCACATATTTTTTCTATGTTCCTGGAGCTTCCTTTCTCTGCCTCCAAGATTCTATTCCAACATGATCTGATGCTATTCTTTCCATAACATTGACAAGAAGGCTAACCTCTTCATCCCTCTCTAAAAATTGTGTTCCCAGCAAATATTCCATAAATTTTGTGTCTTTATTGATGATTTGGTGAGAGGCCCTTTGCCATCTTACTACCAGCTTTCTCTGAATTCCGTATCTTTTCCTCTGCCTCCACAGACCCAAAATTACCTCCCTTACCCAAAAAGTTCCTCCCATATTAAGTGCTAAGGAGACTTTTCAAGGAATGTTTTACAAAGGAAATTCTCAGCCATGACCATGCAAGAAATTCTAATAGACAATTTAAATATGTTATTGAAATACATTATGTTTGTGACATTATGCATGTAACATTATATGTGCTTCTTTACAATGACATACTACTCTAATTTTCATTGCTTCCAAAGTCTTAATATTTTTAACCAGAAAACAAATTCAATATGAAGACCAAATTCATAAGATTATTTACTGTAGAAGATCACCACTTAAATGACAAAAGTAGACTTTTTTCTCTTGGATTAGAAATTTTGTCATTTAAAATTTGTTAATTTTATTGAAAAATGTTTATAAGTAAAGATTGTAACAGTATAGAAAATTATATAGGAAAAAATAAGTTTCATCTCCATATCTTAAACCCTCCAATTTTGCTGCCCAGAGGCAACCATCATCAGTAGATTATTTTCTTGTACATCTTTCTAAAAGGTATAAATATTTCTTTTTTTAACATAAATGGCTCCCTTTTTTCACACTGTTATACATCTTGCATTTTCTCTACTTAATCGTTAGCGCATAAAGACTTACAACTCTACCTCAAGTTTTAATATTTTGTTATAATTTTTATTCTCATTACAGTTAACGGATGTACATGTAAAGTTGTATTCAGCAATTACAAAAACAGGAATTTCTGCCATTTCCTGTTTGCTGGAGGCAATCATATTAAAATTAGCTCTTCTAGTATTTACTTCCTCACCTCTAAGTGTTCGTATTTCCACTTCTTGATATTTCAGTTTTAGGCAGTAAATATTGACTTCTCCCTTTGGAAGGTGAGGATTTATTTCTCTTTCAATCATACGGCCTATACCCACCATGCACCTACACTTGCAGTCAGCTAGCCTTGAAATACTATACTTTTGCTTGTATCAATACTCAGTACTTTTATAACTGTGGCTAAGTAAAAACTACTCAAGCCTGAATCATGTTTACTACAATTACTTTGTTTTCCTATTCAACAAAATTGTCTTTTTTGTTACTCAGTTGTTTATATACTTACAATTAGTACAGCCTAGAGCCCTCTCCCAATTGTATAAGCCTTTTCTCAAAAATCTCAAATATATTATACATGCTATCAATTTTGTCTTCCTGAAATTGTTCCTCCTTTTGACCTGATGCAATCTGGACTGACAGCTCCCTAGATCTGCTCGTTGTCTTTATTCTGAAATGTCTCCAAGACCATTCTGCAGGGTGGCAGAGCCTTGAACTTTTCATTTTGTAGGATCCCAGTTTTCTGGATGCCAAGCCTTGTCTTTTTTGTTTTATTCCCTTGTTTTGGTGGACACATTTTGCAATAGACTCCTGAGAAAAGGTTCTTGAGACGGAAATTTTAAGGACCTTTCAAATCCAAGAAAAACATGTCTTATCTATCTCGACTCTTAGAGATATTTTGGCTAGGTATGGAATTCCAAATTGGAAATCCTTTTCTCTCAGAACTTCAAAGACATTTTTCCACTACCTTCCAGCTTCTAGTATTGTTATTGAGAAACATACCATCCAAATTCTTGATCCTTTATATGAAATTCATAGTTTTCTTTCCAGAAGTTTAAAGAACTTTTTTTTTTTTTCAAGAGGCAGGGTCTTGATTCATTTAAGGCCAACTGCAGCCTCAAACTTCTAGGCTCAGCCTCCCAAGTAGCAGGGACTACAAGCATGCCCCACCATGCCTGGCTAATTTTTTAATTTTCATTTTTTTGTAGTGATGAGGATCTTGCTATGCTGCCCAGGCTGGTCTCAAACTCCTGGCCTCAAGTAATTCTCCCACCTTAACCTCCCAAAATGCTGAAATTATAAGAATGAGCTATCTCACCAAACCAAGAAAGTGCTTTATTTTTAATTTGCTGAAATTCCACGACCATGAGCCAATTGTGTGTCTTAACGTCATACTTCTATTCTGGAAACTCATGAGAACTTTTTAAAAATTATTTTTTATGGTTTTCTTCCTTTTGTTTTCTTAACTGTTTCTTGCTAGAATTCCTGTTATCCAGATGTTGAATTCCTAGACTATATCTCCAATTTTCTTACCGTTTTTCTTACAGTTTTCCATTTTTTGCCCTTTTACTCAACTTTCAAGGATATTTCCTCAACTTTGTCTTCCAATTCTTCTTCTGAATTTTCCAAGAGCTTTTTGTGTTCCATAGTTTTCTTTCATACAGTTGCTTTTGCTTATTTCATAGAAAAATATAGTCAGTCTTCAGTTTGTGTGGTAGTACAGGATTGTAGCTGAAACCATGAAAAGCAATCTTAATAATCAATGATGAAAATGACAATTGTTCTGTGGCCTTTAATAATTTTCCTATGACTTTAAAAATGCTCTTGCTATCAGTTATAAATGCATAGGGCAATAAAAATAACAAAACTAATATTTACTGAGTATGCCGTAATTTAAAGCATTGAAAACAGGGAAAATTAGTTATTTCTTTCTTGGAACAGAGCTTGTCCCCTTCTCATGATGTGAATTAAAACACTAAAGTAGCACCTTTCCCACGTCTTGGGGAATTGTCATCCTCCCTTCTAAGTTTGGAGCAGCTTCCCACCATCATTTCTCCTTTGTGCTTTCAATGTCATGAAATGTCTCCAAGAGATGTTTTGTTCTGTTTTGTTTTATTTTGAGATACAGTCTCACTCTGTCACCCAGGCTGGAGTGCAATGGTGCCATCTCAGCTCACTGCAACCTCCACCTCCTCGGTTCAAGCGATTCTCCTGTGTCAGCCTCCTTAGTAGCTGGGATTACAGGTGTGTGCCACCATGTCCAGCTCTTTTGTATTTTTAGTAGAGACAGGGTTTCACTATGTTGGCCAGGCTGGTCTCAAACTCCTGACCTCAAGAAATCCACCTGCCTTGGCATCCCAAAGTGATGGGATTACAGGTGTGAGCCACCGTGCCTGGCCCCAAGAATTCTTTAGCGTAAATTATTTTGCCAGGATCACTTCCTCTGGGACATTTTCATCTTTTTCATCACAAACACTTTTATTCACATAGAATATTTGACAACGATCATGTCCCCTTGTTTAACCAGTCCTTGGAATCTAGGTGAACATTTCATAGCAGGACACCGTTTGCTCTGGAAGCTTCACAAGATGGCTTAACATTAATCAGTTTCTGCCAACTTTTGAAAACAGATTTTTCTGGCAGTAAAAAGTGTCTTCTTCCTTTCTTTTGTAATTACCATTTTCTTTTCAGGTGGGAAGGAACATCAACACTTTGACCTGAATATTAGCTAAATAACTTTTCAAAAATTACAATCTTCAATCCAACCAGAGTGCTTTCTTTCCTTTGTGCAATTTAAAAAGATGTTAAAGAAACTTACCTTTTAAAAAAGTATTGATTAGGCTTCTGCAGTATGATTTATTCAAAGCTAGGTCTCTTCAAATCTTAAACTTTGCTATTCCCATTTTAAAATCTTCTAATCATATCCAATTTCACTTCCCATGAAATTGTTTATTTCTTTGCAGCACTTTCATCTTTGTTGGTGAATTCCCTCTTTTCGTTATCCATTCTTGTGAAATGTTGCATGGGTGCACCACTGGGAGACAAGGAGGCAACTCCATAACACACTTGGTGCAACAACTCAACAACAACAATATACATGAGCTGACTAACAGGCATGCCGCAACCAATCACTGACAGGTTTTGAAGAAGTGCTGTGATTGGCCAGTGATCATGTTGTGCATCTATTATTACTTAGTGACTGTGGGTGGAAGAGCTAAAAGAGTTTGCATACTGCATAATCACTCATGGTTAACACGCCATGGTAACTGAAATTTGAACTGTATTGCTGGAAGACTGGTGCTATCAACTACACTGTGTAGGTGATATTTGTGAATACTGGAACCATGCAGAGTGAGAACTGCCATACATCTCTTATTTTGACAAGGCCATTAATGATAGTGTTTAAACTGTTCTTCTCCCTGCACACCCATTGTTTCCATCAGTTTACTTTTTGCCATGTTTGCTTGTCTGTCTGTTATTTGCCTGTTTCTTTTTTGTTTGTTTTGTTCTATGCTTTGATGTTAGAGATTTGTCTGATCTGCTTACATGTAAGAGAGGGGCACCAAAATTCATGTGTAGAGCTTATTAATGTGGCCTGAACTTCTGGGAGATCTAGCCCAGCCATATCTTAGAGAGTACCCTGTAGTGATGCCTTTACGTCTTATATTTTGGGATGGTGGGATCCCTGAAGAGCGCTCTTCACATCTTTTTTTCTGGAGCCTATTCACCTTGCTACCTGGCTCCCAGGAGTTGAGTGGGGAAAGAAGGCCCAGGGTTTTTATATCTGTTTCTGATTAACAGCAATATTTTTAGTTTGGTACCTTTATTCCCAGCCATGCCAGTCCAGAAGCCCTCTGTTAGTCTCTCCAGAGAATAAGCCTTCTGTGTTCTGCAGGGTGAATGATGGGCAGTCAGGCCACCTGCTGTTTTTAGCCCCAATTTCATCTCTGCCAATTCCAGAGCATATTGGGGCTGCTGGCTTGGAAATGCTGCTGCTTCTTGACTCTCCTCATTGCTCATTTGGGATCCAGCTCTCTCTGTCCAGCTACCACTCACCCATCTGCTTTCTTTTTCTAAATTGGGTTGCTGTTTTCTCCTATTTCTTTGTCCTTGTGGGTTTATGGTTCTTAAAATAAAAGCTTTATTGTCATTTTAGTGGGGCTTTGTGAGGGAGAAAGGGTTAAATGTATGTGGTCAATTCACTATCTTCCATTTGATGCCTCTCATTTTTAAAAACAAAACAAAACAAAACAAAACTGTCTGGGTGTGGTGGCTCACGCCTGTAATCCCAGCATTTTGGGAGGTTGAGGCAGGCGGATCACCTGAGGTCAGGAGTTCGAGACCAGCCTGGCCAACATAGTGAAACCCCATCTCTACTAAAAATACAAAAATTAGCTGGGTGTGGTGGCAGGTGCCTGTGATCCCAGCTGCTCGGGAGGCTGAGGCAGGAGAACTGCTTGAACCTGGGAGGTGGAGGGGGTAGTGCGTGGAGATCACGCCACTGCACTCCAGCCTGGGCAACAGAGCAAAACTCGGTCTCAAAACAAAGAAACAACAACAAAAAACAAAAAACAAAAAAAAACAGAAAGAACAAAACAAACCAAAACCCCATTGGGGACTTTTCAATACCCTGTTCTAGGTCCTTGACCAAATTGAATCCAGTACATGGACAGGAGATGATGAAGGTGTACTTTTGTTCTTTTCTCATTTCACTACTTTTGTAGAGTAAAAGATTTGATTTTTCTTTCTGTTACTTGTCTTCTAGAGATGCTAAGTCAGGCTTTACCTTTTTGTCTGTCATTGGTCTTTATGTTTTTATTATCAGAGCTATCTAAAATCAACCATAACTGTCTTAAGAGCATTTTGTGTAAATGATTTATAACACTTTCTTGAGATGGCTTCAGCAGCCTTATTCAACTGCATCTCCTGGCACTTTTAATAAGCCTCTTAATATATTCTGTCATCCCCATCTGTTTTGATTTAAGGTTGATTATACAGACACGCAGTGCTGCAAAAAGCCACCTGATCACTTCAGTAGGGTGTTAGGCATGCATTAAACTCCAGGTATTTTCAGGGAGGAATCATGAAGCCGCTCCTGTTAAATCATATCCATTTTATTACGTCTCTCCTTGTGGATTACGTAGAACTTTGGAAAATTAAACATTAGACATCTTCATAGAAAATCATGTCACTGATTTTTAAAGCCAGCTCAATTTAACCTGCCACTGATTCCCTAACCAGCTCTTCTCTGACTGTATCCCGAGGGAAAATGTATTGAACGCAGCAGAAGGTTAAGGCAGAGGAGTTCGGCTAGACCGGGTAGCAGCCAATCAGATGGGGAGGGTCCAAGGATCTGATGCCTCCAGGCGAGCAGCGCCAAGCTGAGCTGGTTAGTCTCCTTTTATTGTGGATGAACACCACGTACATGCCGTAAATGCTCCCTAGGCTGGCTGCGGCTACAAGGCAGACCCGGGAGCTGAGAATAGAGGAATACCTGCCCAAGCAACTCATTCTGCACAGCAGCCGACAAGACAGCGATTTTCCTGTGCTGGAATGTGCCCATCCAAAGGTATCACTTCCTTTTCATTGAGTTTCTATATTTCTTAAGAATTACGGAAAGCAGAGATGCTGATCCTGGAGGAAGATCCCTGCTTTCTAGTAATGCTTTGTTCCTGTTCTCAGGCTGAGTGCCAGCTTTAAAATGGTTAACCTCTGGGGGAGAAGCTACTAAGCAGAATAAAGGAACACTTTACGTTGCTTAAGCTGACTGTGCACAGAGCTTTTATTAGGATGGATTCTTTGTTACTCTTGCTATTGTTGCGAAGGTAAGCTGGTTACAAATGCAGCTTTCAACCATCACATTCTGCTACCTTTATAACTAAGGAGACCTGGGGGAAGACCTGGGGTGGGGGTGGAGGGTCTAGTATCTCAAAGGTTGCTGCAATTTATCAGCCTCAGAGAGAAAAAAGGCCAAATTGCTGATCAAAGGTAGAGAAAGAGCATTTGGTTGGTATGAGGATTCTTCTACCTTAGGACACAAGTTTTATAAAAAATGAACACTGCATATTTTCACTGTGCTTAATAATTAAGATGCCTTAATTATCATTTATAACTGACAGCTGGTGTGCTCGTCCGAAAGTCATCAGCGTGTTAGGCGCTCTTGTTTCAGTTGCCAAGGTAATTGGAAGGATAATTTAATATGTTAGAGTAACAAAAGACCCATGAGAAACATATTGCATTAGGTGAGGCATGAGATTGCTTTGTGGAGCGTTTATTTCTGAGAGTGAGTTCCTTCTTTTGTCTCTTGGCCCCATCAATTATCTGTTAGAAGGAATAGCTATAACAGGGACTTTCATCATGTACCATGCAGTTGAACTAACACAGTTGTTTCTTCTATACAGTAGGCAAGATTCAGTTTCTGTCTAAGACATTAAATTGTTAGTCATATGGAAATATTTCCCGGGAAGTTGTTCATTATCCTCTGTGGGACAAGTGACATCACACATCACTGGGTTATGAATGGTGGCTTGAGTGAAGGAGAGAAAGTGTTTTCTCGGGGAGCAGAAATGAATGCAAAGAGTGCTCTGCTTCATTTCCTAGTGATCTCTAAGAAACATGGCCCATTGAAATGTTAAATGTCACAGCAAATTATCAGGGCTAACATTTTATGGTATATTTGTGGAAGCTCTTATAAGTCATGCAGATGCTTTGTGTAGTTATTTTTCTAAAAGAAGGGACATATTAAGGCATTGATTATAGTTTCTAAATTGCTAGCCCGGTGGTACTGTTTTTTTGTTTCTTTGTTTGTTTTTGAGATGGAGTTTTACTCATGTTGGCCAGGCTGGAATGCAATGGCAAGGTCTCTGCTCACTGCCACTTATCTGGTTCAAGCAATTCTCCTGCCTCAGCCTCCTGAGTAGCTGGGATTACAGGCACCTGCCTCCACATCCTGCTAATTTTTGTACTTTTAGTAGAGTTGGGGTTTTGCCATGTTGACCAGTCTTGTCTCGAACTCCTGACCTCGTGATCCGCCTGCCTCAGCCTCCCAAAGTGCTGGGATTACAGGTGTGAGCCACTGCACCCAGCCTAGCATTATCTATCTTTAATAGCCAACATTTGAAAATAATGAGTGCCAAACAATAAGAGACGCTTCGTTTATTCATTCAGTATTCATTTATTTACTAATTATGGTCTGGTGAGTGAAAATACACTTCGCCTCTGTGACAACATCAATTATGCTAGCTTGATACACTTTGTGATTTTGTTTCTCAAAATATTTACAATGTACATAATTTTATTTATAAAATATAAGCAAGTAAAATGGAAATGTACATCTAATATTTAAAAAGCATTTATGTGTAATATAATTCACTATCAAAATAATACAAAATTAAAATTCAAAGTTTTAAGATTTAAAAATCAACTGTAAGATAAAAATAAGATTTTTTAAATGTATGTGAGATTATTGTCTTACTTATTTCTATGTTTAAAAGGCATTGCTTTTGAGAAGGTGTATTAGCCCATTAATCAGATGGTCACAGGGAGTCCATTAGCAACCTTGATGAATGGCAACGGGACTATAGAGGGGGTATTATTTTGCAGAAGAGAATACAGAAGGAGGGTATCTTGGATGATAAGAAGTGTCCTTATACCTGAGATATATAAAATCTATTTCTAGTAAAGAAAGAATAAAAAGAACAGGCAGATTATAATCTTTAAAAATAAAGTTAGCATCAATAAAACATTCAGGACAGCAAGAGATGAGTTAACTTAAGGAATGGATTAAAGCAAAAGAAAGGACGTCTCCCTCCGGGATGTCCTCCAGGCATGAGATAATGGACCAAGGTTGGCCTTGGACACACACAGGTGTGATGGAAAGCCCAGCTCTGCGCCTACTCCCTGCCCACACCGGGGAGATTGGCCCTACTTGGGCAGCTTATGAGAGTTGCAAGAAATCCACATAATTATAAGCAGTTCATGTAAATATAAGAAGGGTGTAATTATAAAGGTGTGATAAAATCGATTCCCACCTCACTGGGGATGATGGAGTTGACATGATTACTCCTGAGAAGAGGGGCCTGGCTACGGAGCCAGCAACAGAAAGGCCCTTATTAGCGTCTTCATCTCTGTCCTCACCCTCGCCAGTCTCTTTCATCTTTCAGCTGACATCTAGACTTCTACCTTTTGAGAGTATTGCCTTGGATTTAATGCTCTGAAGCCTATGCAAATGCAAATAGCCTTGGGAAGTACACTTTAACACAGGGTCCCACCTTGGTGTCCTGGTGGGACTGAGCACGGAGGCTGTTGGGGAATGCTGAGTAGAAGAGAGATTTTTCCAAAGGAAGGGTGGAAATACCAGACCAAAATGATGCCAGTGAGAGAGGAAGGGCTGACTGGAGAGCATGGAGTCTGGGAAACATATTATTATGATTATTATTGTTTGTGTTTTTTGAGACAGAGTCTCATTCTGTCACCCAGGCTGGAGTGCGGTGGCGCAATCTCGGCTCACTGCAAACTCCACCTCCCGGGTTCAAGCAATTCTCCTGCATCAGCCTCCCTAGTAGCTGGGATTCAGGCGTGCGCCCCTGCACCTGGCTGATTTTTGTATTTTTAGTAGAGACGGGGTTTCACTATGTTGGCCAGGCTGGTCTTGAACTCCTGACCTCAGGTGATCCACCCGCCTCAGCCTCCTGCAGTGCTGGGATTACAGGCGTGAGCCACCGCGCCCGGCCTGGGAAACATTTGAAGAGACCAACATAACTTAATAAATGCCCACAGAGAGACCTACAAGTGGGCTGTGGGCCAAAATGAAGTTCGAAGCTCAGGCTGTAACCTTAATGGGAATGTGACACACACACATTTTCTTTTTCTCGGCCACCTGTGAGGATGTTTGCTACGAGTGGTGACTCATGCTGTTTGTAGGAAGAATTTGTTTATTGGTTTGAAGGGGAATAAACTAGAGGAAAAATAAATCAAATCTAAGGGACAGAACAACATTTTTTATTTTTTGCCAGGAAGAGGCAAAATGTGAGGAGATAATGTGAGGAATGGCTTTCTTCAAAATTAACGCTGTCGGCATACATGATGGACTTTGATCTCAACAAAGAACGATACAGCCTCTGAGCAGGAATAATTTTCAGATTTGTGCAACCCTCCAGACTCTCCCTATTCAAGGGAACTGCACTGCATGCCTTGATTTTCTCAAAGACGAAATGAATCCCATATACTCCCACCTTTAGGGCTTAGTAGTGATTAAATCTAGAGAGGATTCCATGCTACTCAAGGACCAAATACTCAGGGTATTGCCCAGGCATGGGCAATGGGAGGGCCCGGTGTTCTCAGGTGACCTCTACCTACTGGCCCAGGCCTCAGTACCACCTTTAATCCCACTGAAATGCAAACACCTGGAGGTGAAGGGCCACTATAAAAAGCTATTTTGCCAGGCTTGGTGGCTCACACCTGTAATCCTAGCACTTTGGGAGGCCGAGGCTGGTGGATTTCTTGAGGTCAGGAGTTCGAGACCAGCCTGGCCAACATGGTGAAACCCTGTCTCTACTAAAAATACAACAAAAATTAGCCAGAAGTGGTGGCACACGCCTGTGATCCCAGCTACTTGGGAGGCTGAGGCAGGAGGATGGCTTCAACCTGGGAGGTGAAGGTTGCAGTGAGCCGAGATCTTGCCACTGCACTCCAGCCTGGCGACAGAGTGAGACTCTATCAAAAAAAAAAAAAAGAAGCTATTTTAACTTTCTTCTACCACTTTTGATATTCTGCCATCTTTTTACAATTTTGGGGTTGTTTGTTTCCTTTACCAGATTGGAATTCTTCCAAAAAAAGAATAGAGTTGGGCTTCTAATTTATGATTGCCTGGCTAGCAAAATGCCTGTCACATAGAAAATATTGCATAAGTATTTGTTCAACTCACTAACCCGATTTATTTCCCAAGAAGCTCACTGATGCATGCACACTGAGCTACCAAGCTGCCTAAGTTACCCGATGGGAAAGGTGGCCAAATTAATAGTCTCAATTTGACTTCACAATACAATCTGCAAATTAGGAAAATTTACCTTTGTTCAGCATCTCTCAGCAAACTTAGGTCAGTGGATCCTGGCACCTTATGGTACTGCTGATACCAGGGAACTGTGTTTATGCCCAAGCAAGTCTGACAGATCCACACTGAGAAAATAACAGGTTACTGTCATCTATTAGTGCAGGAGCCTAATCCTGAATGTGCAATGTCAGGGAGGGCTGTTGAGAAAGGTACAAAGGACACCAGAAGTATCTGCCACCTACTGGGAAGTGGGGATTGGCTTCTAAGAGGGATGAAGGGCAGAGATGACAGGGCAGCAGTACCCGGGCAGTGAGCTGGGCTGGAGGAAGGCCCTGGATTAGGAGGCAGGGTGATGGATCCCACGCTAGTCATCAGAGAACACAGCCATTTGTCAGACATGGGAGGCATGGTCCTGTGTCGCCCTCCACAATTTCTTAAACTCTTCTCATGTCTGTTCAAAATGCTTGTATGGACTGAGAAAGGAAGCCAAGTGTATGTTTTCCCTGATGTGCCTGAAGTGGTAGCGTGATGGTACATACCTGTTAACAGCTGGGACCGTGTGATTCTAAATCCTGTTAAGGCAGGCAATGAAAAACAATGAAGCGCTGGAAGGGTACCAAGAACATTTGTCTTGTTTTGTTGAGTATGATGTCATTGAGGGATCACTTGCAGTAGCATCTGGTTTCTGACCTGTGAATCAATCCATCTTACATTCCATCCATCCTTCCTTGCTTTAAACTCTATCGGTATTTTTCCTACCAGCAGCACAGGGGAAATACTTATAGGGGTTCATTCAGTGAACGTTCAGCATCCTCTGGAACCATCTGGGAACCCTATTCCCTTCCTATTCTGCTCTTAGAGACATTCAAGCTCCTTCCCTCAACCCCAAAAGAGCAGATATCCGCCGTGCAGGCCATAGTGCGATTTCCAAAGTGTCTCTCTAAGGAATATTCAGCCTGTTCTTAGAGGAAAAAAGGGCAACATTATTAAAACAGAGACTCTCAACAAGTCCAAATGTGTATTAAAAATTAAAATATTGTTCACAGCCTGGTCTTGTGTTAAGGCTCCAAATATGCATTTTAAAAAATCATTGCTGAAGTCCTGGAAGGGGCATTCATCACTCCTGAGCCACACCGTCAGGCACACCTGAATTCTAGGGAAATATTTGAATAAAGAATCTCTATGAGGTAACTTCTGGAAATTGCCTCCAAACCCTCAACCTGCACAGAATATAGAGGTTCTCTAACCCACTCTGGTCTCTTTTTCCATTAACTGTGGCCAAACCATGATCTTCTCCCTAGACTACAGCCTCTCTGAGATTTTATACTTCATCTGCCTCTAATTCCATTATGTTCTTCAGGTCTGGGATTACTTCCTAATTCACTATCAAAAATTGATTCAGTGTTGAGCTGTAGCCCAATGTTACTTTACAAATTCATTCTCAAAGTATTCTTTTTTTTTTTTTGAGACAGTCTTGCTCGTTGCCCAGGGTGGAGTGCAATGGCACAATCTCGGCTCGCTGCAACCTCCGCCTCCTGGGTTCAAACGATTCTCCTGCCTCAGCCTTTCTAGTAACTGGGATTACAGGTGCCTGTCACCATGCCCAGCTAATTTTTGTATTTTTAGTAGAGATGGGGTTTCACCATGGTGGCCAGGCTGGTTTCGAACTCCTGACCTCATGATCCGCCCGCCTTGGCCTCCCAAAGTGCTGGGATTATGGCCGTGAGCCACTGTGTCTGGCCTCAAAATATTCTTGATAGGATCAGTTACCAGTTGTAGCAAAAACTCTTTGTTCTTCTCTTCCCCTCTTCTTGGCATCCAGTTATTATGGTGAGCTGCTGGACCCTTGATTACTTGAGTTTCGCATGATGAAAAGTCAGTGAGCATTGTGAGGATGCTATTGTTGTCAGTTATAGTTCCCAAATAGGTCTCAGATTCAGCATTTTCTTTGAATTTCACACTGTGTTTGTTTAGACTCCTGCATCTCTCACCAGACAACTGCTTTACGTTTTAATGGGCTTTTCTGCTTGTAAGACTCTTCCTTCTTTCATCTATTATCCACACTGCTGCACAGTTATGATTGTTAAAATTCAATTTTTTAACATTATTCCTTCCCTTAAAACATGTCAGAGGGCCACTCCTCACTCTGCCCCCCGCCCCCTTAGTCTAATCTCTTCCAAAGTGTGGTTGCAATCACGTGGACTTTAGTTAAAACCCCGACTGCACCATTTTGGTAGTTGATGACTTGATTTTTATGTGAATGAAGTGGGATGATATCTATCTATGTTGCATTTTACTTGAGGTTTAAATAGGATAATGAATGTCAGGTATCTAAGATGCCATCTGTTTCGGAGTAGACACTGACAAAGTTGGAAACAATTATTTCTGCTCGGGTCCAGTCCAGATTCAATACTGGGTGTACCACCAAAGAGACTTTCATTCTCTGACACCTGCCTACCATAGCAGCCTCCTGCTCCTCCCAGCCCACTGCTTCCTCCTGCAATTTTATTCTCTAGCCGTACTTGGAGTTCTCAAACATCACATGTGGTTTAGTCTGCATTCCTCAATGTTTGCCATTATATGTGCTGTTTCCTCAGTATGGAATACAGCATCTCTCCCCAACCCCCCTCCTGTTTCCTGGAAATTTCTTGTGCATCATTGAACACATAGATAAAGAGCACCTGTTTCTTCTCGGTGATAATTCTTTATACCTTTTAATAACTCTTCAAACATTTGATAATCCTTTCTATGTGCCAGGAGCTCTTTTAGGTGTTTTAAACATTTTATCTAATTTAATATTGATCACCTTTCACCTTACGAGAAAAAGAAATGTAATGTTTTTAATTAAAATGAAGTACAAAAGAAAAAAATAACAATTTAATATTTTGAAATTCATAGCCTGGCGTGGTGGCTCACACTTGTAATCCCAGCACTTTGGGAGGCCGAGGCGGGTGGATCACCTGAGTTCAGGAGTTCAAGACCAGTCTGGCCAACATGATGAAACCCTGTCTCTACTAAAAATACAAAAATTAGCCAGGAGTGGTGGCGGACACCTGTAATCCCAGCTACTTGGGAGGCTGAGGCAGGAGAATTGCTTGAACCCAGGAGGCAGAGGTTGCAGTAAGCCAAGACTGTGCCACTGCACTCCAGCCTGGGCAATGGAGCAAGACTCTATCTCAAAAAAAAAAAAAAAAAAAAAAAAATTGAAATTCATTACTCTCCTAATCACAATGTACTGTCTTCCCCATTACATTTATGAACTACTGGAGTGTGGAAACCAGTGATTATCATAGCTTGAATGGATGAATGAACAGAAAGATAGATGGATAGAAGAAAATTGGGAGGGCTAATGTATATTAGGGGAGGTGAAACTGTTTCCTGAGATGGCCAATATTTTAGGAAGGGAATTATAACAAAGCCCAGAAATGCCTGAAAAGATGCTATGTAAACAAATAAATAAAAACAAGGTAAACCAAGCTTAAACCAGGATGGTCTGCTGCAGATTGGAGAGATTCAGGTAAGCTAGATGGCCTGATAGGAAACTAAGAACAGAGAGAAGCTGCATCAGAGGATTCCTGAAGGAAGAGTCTAGGATGCACTAAGAATGGGCTTCACTTCCTACAGAAACGAGCCAGAGTAGCCTAGATGGAAAACAACAACAACAACAAAAATACATTAAAAAAAGAACCGGCCTCTTTAAGAATTCATAATATATTTGATTAGCACTTCCTTAGTGCCGGGTTCCATGCTAAGCACATTACATGAATTGACTCATTTGAACTTCCTTTAAAAAATCTCAAGAGGGCGGGGCGTAGTGGCTCACGCCTGTAATCCCAGCACTTTGAGAGGCTGAGGCAGGCAGATCACCTGAGGTCAGGAGTTCGAGACCAGCCTGGCCAACCTGGTGAAACCTCGTCTCTGCTAAAAATACAAAAATTACCTGGGTGTGGTGACATGCACCTGTAATTCCAGCTACTTGGAAGGCTGAGACAGGAGAATCACTTGAGCCCAGGAGGCGGAGGTTGCAGTAAGCTAGACCACACCATTGCACTCCAGCCTGGGCAACAAGAGCGAAACTCCATCTCAAAAAGAAAAAAAAAACCCAAGAAAAAAGAGATTTTGTAATCCCTATTGTGTAGGTGAGATGACCGAACTGTAGCCAGACTAGTGTAAGACCACAGAGCTGGCAATTGGAAGGTTGGGTTGGAACCCAGGTTTGCCTCACTTTTGCCCTTTAAGACTCTGCAGTTCTGTCCCTCTAAAGATACTGTAGGAGATGGTTTGGGCTAGAAAAAAAAGTGAATTAACCTAGGAAGAAAAGACCTCACATCACCTCCAAAGTTTGAAACTAGAGGAAAATCAAGAAATGCAAAGCCCAGGAAATTAAAATATGAGAAGAAACAGGCTTCCGTTCCCTGCTAAACTCATTGAGGATTGTGAGATTTCCCTGACTATAGTACAGATCCCATAAGAGTGCCATTACTGTGGCAGCGAGATTGCTGTGGACACTGAAGACCAACCACATGCACAGGTTGCACTTTTCCTGGATAAGGGGTAGGGAGAGGATGGAGAAGGAATTCAAGAAAACTGAAAGGGGGAAAGCTATAAATGCCAGGGCCATGAACTGCGGAGACACAAATCCTCCTTTTTCCTTGATCCGATTTTACCCTGGATATGTAATTGTTGGGGAATGGAGTAGAAATTGATGGGAGGAGGTGAGAACACTAAGTCATGGGCCAGGTACCCATCTGTTGGGGTACACCCCAGGGAGAGGTTTGGTTGTATGACCCTGGCACACATAGTCAGGGATGAAAGATGATTTCTGGAGTCAGGGAGCAATCTGACAGGTCATCATTTTGCATTTTATTTAATTAAGTATTTTTATCTGTTCAATGAAATAAAAAGCCAACCGAAGGTTTTATTGTCTTATTTGGCACTTTAATTGAAAGATATGTGCTGTAAAATATGTCTTATTTACAAAATTAGGTTCAGATGTACATTAAGTGTTGAATTTATTCCATTAATATATTTTGAAAAGAATGAGTTCATCATTTAGAGGAGAAGCAGGGTGGATGAGGAGATGGAAGGATGTTTGTTTGTTTACTTTGCTTTGTATTTCCTTTGCTGATGTTTTGATTAGAACACTACAAAGAAAAGATATTTGGAGATGTAAATGGGCAAGAAATGTCATATATTGATTTTTCTGGAATTCATATCTATGTCTAACTCTCATCTCAAGTTTTAAGCTTCATCCATTTTCAGGTTCTTACAGATGCTAAACTTACAAAACATATTTGTAGGCTTGTTGCTCTTTCCAACCCATCCCTGTTTCTTCTATTCTCACCATTGCCTTCGCTCACACTCACATTTTTTTGTTCCAATTATGGCAATAACCTTGTGATAGGTTTCTAGGCCTGCCTCCTCCAACTTCTACATACTTGCCAGAGTTGACTTTCGAAAACACACATCTACTCATGTTCTCTTTTTCCTTTTCTTCTTGTTTTTCCTTCCCCACCCACCCCCCCAACATCCTATGGGTGCTGTACGGATGTGGTAACAAGCTTTGAGGGAGACACATGTCACACACATGCATAGAAACCCAATCATCACACCTATCAACCCCAAAAGGATCACTTCCTCATGTTAGTAACTTTCTTAAACTTTTTAAAGATAGCCCTTTATTCTCAGAAGAAGGTCCAGCTTTGCTCATGGATTACAAAGTCTTGACCATCTGTCAACATGCGAGCTCCCAACAGCCTCTGCCCCATTGCCATGAAGCTGCCAAACACATGGTTCTTTTCCACCACCCTTGCCTTTCTGACTGCTGCTGCTTCTTCCTGGAACATCATTCCCTACCCCTCCATCCCATCAGTCACTTCTTACTCCGGCCCGAAGCCCTCCATTTCCGGGCACATGGCACATCTCACAGCAAGCCCCTGCTCACACACTTAGCCAGCATGGATCAGATATCTGTCCTCTCTGCTCATTCAGCACCTGTTTGTGTTTCTAACATGTCAACCATTTTTAATTTATGTTTGCCTGATTCTCGAGAAATGTTTGTTGAGTGAATAATGACAAAAACAAGAATTTCTAAAATGAAAAGGGCAAAGAACATATATTTCCTATAGTAATATAATCAGTGGAACACTAGAAGAGGATCTGTAGATGAAATCAAATTTTCTTCCTAAAGGTTTACCAAAATTGTGCAATGATCGGGAAATAACTTGGGATTTGAATCATCATCATTTTTCATTCTTGTTATGAAATGTTGCCTATTAAATGTGCCTACCCTTGACCTAACCTCAGTCAAAAATTTAAAGACATAGCTAAAAAATTTGCTAAGTCATATGTTATACCTTTTATTTGTTGATAATGCTGTCCAAATATTTGGTTTGGTTTCTTCATTTATTCAACATTATTCTCTCAGGAGAGAGCTGATGGGGTTCATAAACTTCTCAAAATGGTCAACTTGTCATTGCAATGGTTACTGTATCAACAAGTTGACAGAATCAAATAGGTGGACTAAACTTCCAAGCTATCACAATGCATTTAGCTTAGTAACTGCTGATGGTCTATATTCTACTTAATGTTCAGGGCCCATCTCCAAATCAACACCAACTTGAGTAAAACGTGGCGGGCATTGGCATATATGAGCACGTTGCATAGTGTGATTCATAAGCTCCAAAAGTTCCTAGAGCACTCATGATTTTATGTTTGGAGCACCCTTTAAAGGCTTGATATTAGTGTTCTTTTTCCTATAAATTGTTGGCTGCTGCATTGGAGAAATTCAGTGACAGAGTGGTTTTGTAACAGGGTTTGACCCCAAATATTTCGGCTGTTGGTAGCGATGCTAATCTTGCACTTACCTGTGCCATGGGATTGCAGAGAAAAGCTCATTGTTTTATGATTGTGGGACACACCGTAATATGGAGTGTCCTACAAATGACTTTCACAGAATCATATTTCTTTATACTTGTCTTCATTTTCCAGGATGTAAAGTCACTTGAGGCGCTTGTCTCATGAGTATCTGCAATGAAGCTTCATGGATATATGTATGTTCCTGAACTCTTTTAGTTATGCCAGCATTTTCCTGTTAAATATTTATAATGACTTAGTGCCACATTTCAGCTTCTCTGTAGTTTGAAAAGTGTCAATGCATCAAAAGGGCTGTGTGATTTCTGCACTATGCATTTCAGATCCAAATTTTAGATGTGTTGTGTCTTTATAGTCTCTAGATTGACTATATTGTGTAAATTCATATCTGGTCTCATTTGTTAGAACTGACATGTTACACAGTTCTGATCTCTGGAAATGAACTGACATTGAGACTCAATCTATGTAAGTATTTAAGTGATGTGGCTGACATCACATTGATGTCAATGAAAGTGTCAATTTGGAAACTAGGCCCAGGCTAGTGGCCACACAGTGGCTTTAAGTGGGTGCTTCTCATCTCTATTTGGGGCCCCGAAAGCATTTCTTGCCAGTCACTTACTTAGAATTTGCAGAAGATTTAAGAAAAAGTAGTTGGCTATATAAGCGTTTGGCTTTCCGTATGAGGGCTTTCCTGTGTGAAGCATATATGATCAGTTATATTACAGGAGATTTAATAAAATAGTTTCCTAATAAGGAGTGCAGAATGACAAATGTAAGTAGGACATAGCTTTGCTAAGTAACTTTCTGAAGCACTACCATTAGCTTCGTTTCAACATTTTTACCTTCAACATTTAAACAAACAGAATGATTGAAAGAATAGTACATCAAATACCCACTAGCTGGATTTAATTATTAACATGTTGCTGTACTGCTAGGTCCTCACGGGCATGTGTTTTGAAGAAGCATTTGAAAATAAATTGTAGGCATCATGACGTACTTCACTCCTAGAAACAGGAGACCCCAAGAGTAAGGGCATTGTATTACATGGCCTCAATTTTATAATACAACTAAGAAAATTAATAGTTTTCTAATATAACCTAACGTCCATTTCACTTTTAGTCTTTTTCAATTGTTCTTTTTAAATTATTTTATTCTTTTGTTCTTCAACCAGGTTATACTGGAGGCTCAGGAATTTCATCTCTATTAATCTAATATATTCCCCCTGCTATTTTTCCCTGTGACATTGACTTTGTGAAGAGAACAGGCCAATTGTCTTGTAAAACGTCCCACAGTGAGGATTTGTGTGATTGCTTTATTGTAATGATGTTCCCTTTGGTTCCTATTAACTAGAAATTACTTCTTACAGCTTGAGTAGGTACCATTTGTATGTTTTTGGCAAGAATATGTCGTAGATGATGTTTCTATGCCATCACATCTGGAGGCACACAATTTCATGACATCAGAATTCAGTGATGCTGCAGTTGATTTTTTGGTTAAGGTGGTGACTGCCAGATCTTTCCAAAAAGAAAAGTTTTCCCTTTTACAATCATTAGGTAATCTGAGGGGTGGTAATTTGTTACTATGTGGAATATCCTATTTGTCCATAACTACTAGGTTCGTAGGTTGAAATGGCCTTAAGCCACCCAAGGGATCTTTCCTGAATATCTCTTTTCTGAATGTGTTTGAACGTGATCTATGAGGAAATTATTTCTCCTAGAAGCACCATTAATCCAAATCTGTTTCATCAGGAAAAATGTCATAAGCCTTCTAAAAATTATTGTTGCATTAAACCACCTTCATTAAAGAAAATATAGATGATATCAAACAGATTATCTGTGGAATTTATTTTCTCATATCCTAATTATTAAATATACAACTGTCAGTTCATCATCTGGGTGTAAACCACATTTTTTTCAGTCACACTCTCAGAAACAAGTAGAACAAGTTGGAGAGAAAGCTGTCACTTGTTTTTCCAGTAATTCTATCAGATTATGAACCAGTCTGCAAAGTAATGGAAGATCTAATATAAGACATACATGATCTCTTTCCCTATCTACATTGTAAACTCCTTAAAGGCAAGAACCATAGTTCTGATTTTGGGGTGGAGATAAAATAAGGGGCAAAGGTGGAAATTGTTCTAATAAGAGCATGGAGACACATTGTACTGAGGGGCAAGAGTAAAGAAAATATGGGGCCATGCGCGGTGGCTCATGCCTATAATCCCAGCACTTTGGGAGGCCGAGGCGGGTGGATCACGAGGTCAGGAGTTCAAGACCAGCCTGACCAACATGGTGAAACCCCAGCTCTACTAAAAATACAAAAGTCAGCTGGGCATGGTGGTGGGCACCTGTAATCCCAGCTACTCAGGAGGCTGAGGCAGGAGAATCACTCGAACCCGGGAGGCAGAGGTTGCAGTGAGCCAAGATCACACCACTGCACTCCAGACTGAGTGACAAAGTGAGGTTCCAACTCAAAAAAAAAAAGAAAATATAAACCTAGGGAAATGTAGTCATCTAAATGAAGGTCCTGTTCGATTTGAGGACTGCAAAAAGTGCTTTCCTAAGTGGGCTATGGGGGGCCTGTTGCCCTAAGAGCTTCTACAAATTCTTTCTTCCCAGAAGCATTTCAGAGTTACATGAAAATTCCAAACAGAAGGAAGAAAAACTGGAATTTTCATCAGTATCTTGCTTAGTTTCTCCAAGTCTTAGTTTTTTGTTTTTTGTTTTAAATGGAATCTGGCTCTGTCACCCCAGCTGGAGTGCAGTGGCATGATCTTGGCTCACTGCAACCTCTGCCTCCTGGGTTCAAGTGATTCTCCTGCCTCAGACTCCCGAGTAGCTGGAATTACAGGCGTGCACAACCACACCTGGCAAATTTTTGTATTTTTAGTAGAGATGGGGTTTCACCACATTGGCCAGGCTGGTCTCGATCTCCTCACCTCAGACAAACTGCCCACCTTGGCCTCCCAAAGTACTGAGATTACAGGTGTGAGCCACCGTGCCCAGCCATCCAAGTCTTACTTTTCTTACATGTAAAATAAATAATTTGAAAGCTGTAATCTCTAACGTTCTTTCCACCAAAATGACTCTGTGGATCTATGGGTCTGAAATGTGTTATGCAAGATTGGAGGCGGGGCTGGAGAAATGGGTGCAATCATACTCGTGTTGAGTACAGGAGTGAGGAGGAAAAACTGGACCTGAGAGAGTGTGGGCTGAATCAGAGGGAAAGCAAGAAACTGGAATGTCTCCAGGATAGAAAGCAGGTCATTTCCCGGGAAGTCAGCTTTGTGTGAGATTATAAGAAGCAATGCTGGAAAGGTATGCAGAACTCTTCATTCGTTCAAGATTTTTGAGGGCCTCCTATATGTCTAGACAGAGAGGATCCAGAGATAAACAAGTATATTATTTCCATGTTCTCATGGAGATAGTATATTAGTGGGAAAAGACAGATAATATAGGAAAAAAATGTAACCTCATGGCCCTCTAATGCAATGGTTAAAGGTAAAGGCTTTAGAGCCAGACCATCTACATTCAAATTCTAGCTCTCCAACTTGATCTGGAGCAAGACAGTTAACCTTTTCCTGCCTTAATGTCCCATCTGTGTAATAATAGGACCCATTTTATATGGTTGGAACATGAGGATTAAAGAGGAAATAAATGTAAAAACTTTAGAATGGTGTCCGGCACGTGGTAAGTCTGAAATACATGTTAATTATTATTATGATGATGCAGATAAGTGCTGTGATAATAACGAAGTAGACGAATGGCATGGTTTTTCAACCTTAATCCTACTGACATTTGTGGGACCCTGATAATTCTTTTATGTGGGCAGCTGTCCAGTGCATTGTAGCATCCCTAGCCTCTACTCACTAGATGCCAGTAGCAACTCCCAGTAACGACCACCAAAAATGTCTCTATCCATTGCTAAATGCCCCTAGGGAGGCAAAAGTCTCTCCTGACTGAAAACCACTGGGTTAGAGAATAAAGGGTGCAATATTTTTAGATAGGGCAATATAGGACTCCTCAAAGAAAAACAGGAACAGACTCCTGAATGATGTTTTGCACACATTTTGCAGCGATGAGAAAACCTGGGGGAGACTGCTCTGTAGAGGCAACAGCAAAGATAAAAGTACCTAGGCTGGAACAAGTTGGTGTAGCCAGCTTGGGTGGAGAAGAGTAAGATTATGTCAAAGAAGTAGGTGGGGTCAGAGTCTGAAGGGCAGTGAAGACCCTGGCAATCAGTTTGGATTTTATTCTTTATATGCTGAGAAGCTATTAGAGGATATTAAGCCAGAGAATGACAAAGCAGGAAAGCTGGTGTGGAGCGGAATGCAAGTCCAGTGAGAGATGAGGGGGGCTTGGACAGGAGCAGTCAGAGGTCATGGCTGGGGAGGTGGTGAGCTGCAACAGGATTGCAATGTATGATGGTTGAAGAATATGTAGAATGGTTCTTCATGTATGGGGAATAAGGGTAAAAAGGGAAAAGCACATTTATGAGGAAGGAGTTTAATAAATCAGTAATTCTGTCTAGGCCGTGTGCCATTTGGGATCCTGCAAGTGGTAACTGGGCTGTTGACCATACTAGTTTGGAGATCAAGTGAAAGATTGGTCCTGGAGATATATGTTTGGGAGCTATCAGTGTTTAGACAGTACTTAAGCCATGGAACCTTCTGAGATCACCAAAGGAGAGAGGAGGGTGAGGTGGGAAGGCCATGGACCAGTTCTGAAGCATGCCTACATTCTCTGAAGAGACAGAGAAAACAGAAATGGCCACTGATGTAGGAGGTCAGCCCAGAGGCTGTGTGGCGTCTTAGAAGAAAAGCAAAGAAACGCTTCAAGAGGGTGCGGCTCATCTGGGTCAAATGCTACCAAGAGGTCAAGTAAGAAGAGAACTCTGGACAGACATCTGGATTTGACAAGGTGGAGAGTGTTGGTGACTATGATGAGAATGGTTTCACTGGGGGCATGGGGATGAAGGGCTTTCTGGAGTTGATTCTGGAGACAGTGGATGGGCGTTAAGAAAGTTGAGACAGGCCAGGCGTGGTAGCTCATGCCTGTAATCCCAGCACTTTGGGAGGCCGAGGCGGGCAGATCACGTGAGGTTGGGAGTTCGAGACCAGCCTGACCAACTTTAGGAGAAACCCTGTCTACTAAAAATACAAAATTAGCCAGGCGTGGTGGCACGTGCCTGTAATCCCAGCTACTAGGGAGGCTGAGGCAGGAGAATCGCTTGAACCTGGGAGGCAGAGGTTGCGGTGAGCCGAGGTCGCGCCATCGCACTCCAGCCTGGGCAACAAGAGTGCAACTCCATCTCAAAAAAAAAAGAAAGTTGAGACAGGAAGTGCAGATACCTCTTTGGAGAACTGTTCCTGGGAAGGAGAAGGGAGAAATAGAGCAGCAGTCAGAGAGGGACGTGGGCCAAAGAACACACTGTTTTTTGGTTAAGGTGGAAGTATTACAGCATATTTGAATGCTGATGGAACTATTCCAGTGAAGAGAAGGAAACTGATGATCCAGTGGGATATTAGGAACAATTGCACGGAAGAATTTGTTGAGGAATGGAAGAGGTAAAATACACTGTTGACAATGGGTCAGTTTGTCTGATGAGAGAAGGATGGACAGTTCAATAAAATGAGAGAGGAGAGAAATTTAGGTAAAATGGTGCATTCAGGGTGAAAAATAAAGTAATTTTTGTCAGAATACTTCTATTTTCTTAAAGTATATAGCAAGACCATCAACATATGGCCAGGGCGCAGAGGTTAAAGGGCTGAACAAAAGATAAAAAGGCACTGAGTATTCCTTTAGGAGAGAGAACAGGAGTATTTATCGGGAAATCTGTTAGAATCACCAGGCAGTTTTAAATACTGATTGAGCCGCGTAGTGATGTCTTTAAAAGTGAGACCCATCAGCACATTTGCATCCTTTTTCTTTGTTGCTTTCGTGCTTTGAAGCGGACATAATGTAGTTAGAGGGTTGAATGTAAACAGACTGGTGTATTGCCAGGCATGTGTACAGGGGGAGAATAGAGGAGCAGGGGATGAAGGCAGAATATGAAGGGACATTTGCACTGGTGGGTTCTGGCCTCCAGGCTGCTGGGGGGGAAAGCAGTTGTGGGGAGTGGTGCTGACAGGCGGGAAACTCATAGGGTTGGTGCACTGGGGTTCTCGGGGAGGTGGAACGTAACCAGAGTGTAGATACTAGGATAAGTTGCCTGGAATGATCAGAGATAATTATCAGAGTGGATGCTTTCCACTGGGATCTCAGAAATGGTCAAGTCTTGGGTGATGAATGGTGAGATTACAGAGAGCTTTGACACGCAGGATAAGAAGTTTGAGTTCTGATCTTCCTGAGCAAGTTGTTCAGTCTGGAGTTTGTGGACAAGTTTTAGAGCATGGAACTAGAATAAAAGGGTGTGTGTGTGTGTGTGTGTGTGTGTGTGTGTGTGTGTGTGTATGTGTCTACATTTTTCTGGGTGAGAGGATCCTAGGTTCCCCTAGATTATCAAAAGAATATCTGAACTACAAAATGTTAAGAATAATTTCTTGGTCAGGCGTGGTGGCTCACGCCTGTAATCTCAGCACTTTGGGAGGCCGAGGCGGGTGGATGACCTGAGGTCCGAAGTTCGAGACTAGCCTGGCCAACCTGGTGAAGCCTCATCGCTACAAAAAATACAAAAATTAGCTGGACATGGTGGCAGGTGCCTGTAATCCCAGCTACTCACAGGAGAATCACTTGAACCGGGAGGTGGGGGTTGCAGTGGGCCGAGATCATGCCACTGCACTCCAGCCTGGGTGACAGAGCAAGACCCCATCTCAAAAAAAAAAAAAAAAAAAGAATGATTTCTCTAAAACCTAGGAGGCAGGCAGCCACTGACAGTCTCTGAACAGCAGTAGTGGTGTGAGCTGCTATTTCCAAAGATGACACTGAGTTTGAAGGGGCAGAGAGGAGAAGATATTCCAACTCTGAAGAGATGTGTAATTCTCCACTTACATAGCACAGAAAGGAGTAGATGCTGGAGCCGACTCCACAGCACAGCACCTGTGGGGCTGGATGCCGGTCCCTGCTGAGGCAGCATCCCTCTTCACATCATTCTGTGTTCATTGCTTCCTCATTCCTCATTTCCCCCTCCCCTCCACTTCCAGCTAAAATAAAGTGGTTTTAATGAGGCATCACTTGGTGAGCTTTCGAATCAGGAGCCTGTAGGAGGACTGAACCAAGGATGTAGAGCCCTGCTAAATGCATCTTTCATCACTTTGGGGCAGGAGGACAGACCTAGAGGTACTTTTTGACGAAGGATTTAGTGCATTTGTTCCTGGGCTCAGGAAATATGGAGTTCTCCACTTCTGAAGTTAAGCACTTTAGTGCCCATCAACCTTAAGATTGAGGCATTATGGTGTCAATAAAGAGCAAAAATCTTGGATTCAGATACATGGCTAAGCAGCTACTTCATTTCACCCTAACAATAGCTCTGTTAAGAAAAATTGAACCTATCTCACTGTAAGAGTAAATAAACAGAAGTTTCAAGAAATTGCCTCACCCACGGTGAGACTGCTAGTACAATGCAGAACTTGATATACTTTTCAAAAGGTCACATGTATTTCTCAAAGCGTAGGAAACATGCTCCTCCAGTTCTCGTGAAGCACTCACTCACTCACTCACTCACTCACTCACTGGCAGAAGCACGAGATGAATGAGTTTTCCTTAAAATCGGGTTCAAGCACCAGGCTGACAGGAAACCATGTCATAATTAAAATCAGTCAATGTCATTGTTGAAATAGAATGACTTGTCATTCAAGAAGACAATTCTGAGTGGAATTTCAATTACATTTGGAATTAAAATAACTGTGCTATGTAATCTTTTAGAAGGTAGTCCTCTTACTGTCTAAGAAGCTGAATTTATTTTTTAAAACATTCTAATTAGGCATTCTTGAGGAATTTCCACCTTCAGTGAAACTGACAGCCCGTGCCATGCTGTGCCGTGCCGTGCATGCTGTGCTGTTGGTAGTGAGAGCAGAAGCTGAGTGTGGGAGGTGAAAGGAGACTCTTGCATAGTCTTAGAAGCAGACGGAAAGGGAAATCTTCTGTAAATTGCATTTCTAATCAACGTGATGACCATGTTTTCTAGCCCTAAAATTGGGACATGTGACTTGACAAAGAGACAGAATACTCAAAACTGGGAATGATCAGAAATATGGGATTTATGGTTATCACACTATTATCAATGGTGGCAAGGGTCAGCTTGAAGAATTCAGAATTAAAATTTAGATTAGATTTGAGGAAATTTACTTTAAAAATTAATTTCTGAATATGTCACACTTATGAACATTCAATTCTCTGTCTTGAAAGCTTCCCACCACCTCCTTCTCCTAAATATCCTGTTTGTGAGTTCCCATACGTACTTTATAACTTTGTGTAATTGATGGTTTCAGTACCCATTGCCTATGTGCAACTGCATTCAGCCTTTGTAGTTTTGGAACTGAGGATACTGCCCACTCTCAGTTGGCCATCAATAAATATTTGTTGCAGGGATGGAGGGTGGGTGAAACTGGAGCCAACCAGAGCCAGGATAAACCATGTGCCTTGGTGCTTTTCTTGTGAAGGCTTTATATTTACTTCTCTTCGCACAACTAAATATGGGACTAAGTTTGAATAGCACGTGTCTCCTCATTGAAAACTTACCGTTGGCCAGGTGCAATGGCTCACGCCTGTCATCTCAGTAGTTTGGGAGGCCGAGTCGGGCTAATCACTTGAGCTCAGGAGTTCAGGACCAGCCTGTCCAACATGCAACATGGTGAAACCTCATCTTTACAAAAAACACAAAACTTAGCCAGGCATGGTGGTGCACACCTGTAATCCCAACTACTCAGGAGGCTGAGGCAGGAGAATCACTTGAGCCTGGGAGAAAGAGGCTGCAGTGAGCCGAGATCATACCAATGCACTCCAGCCTGGGTGACAGTGAGACCATGTCACAAAGAAAAAGAAAACATACCTGTTCACTACTCTCCCACTTAATTTTCAAAGGCAGCCTGTGTCTCTTTTCCACATTCTCCCATGATGCTCTGTGTTACCAACTACGGCTCTGATTGATTATTGGTGTCTCTGTGGAGAGTAAATCATGTTTTCCACCCATATACATATCTCAAAAACAGCCCACCGTTCTAGGTTTTAACTGGACAGCTTCAAATTGGTGATAATTAGCCCTATCAATACCCTAGTTAAAGTTGGTATGTCTAAAGAACTAGTTCTTGGGTACTAACAATGGCTACTCATGGTAAAATGTTGGCCTTTTGGTGGAGTTTGTTCTAATGATCTAATGTCTTAATATTGCTATAGCACTTGGAATAGTGCTGGGACATAGTGAGAGACATTTTTGTGTTTGCCATTATCTTGCTTTATATCTCAACAAGCTTATGGGGGCAGAGAAAACTGATGCAAAAGTCAAGGAGTCTCTTAAACGTGTTATCTCCCATGGCTTAGTTTTGAGTTTCTTGTTACAGATAAGTGATATTTAAGCATAAAATAATAAATTTAAAATGTGGTATTGATAGCTGAGACTCAGCCCCTTTATGGTGGGACAGAAGCTTGTGGAAATAGTAGATACTTGGGATTGAACCCCTTGTGCCTTAAGGACCAGAAAAACTTCTCAGTTATTGAATTTGGATCGGGTTTTACTAACTGATACATTGCCTATTGGTTTGTGGGTACAAACTGTGTTTCTTTGGATTTTTCTTAAGAACTGGGGAAAGAGCTACATTAGCCTTGATTGTTGGCTGATTTTGATATCTGTAATGATTTGACTTGGAACAGAAAGGCAGAACATATTTCATACATAGAAGGTACTATCCAAAACACCTAAAGTGCAAATTATGGAGAAGCGACCTGACTCAGTAACAAACTATCCCGAAGAGCCATGATCAAGCATCTTCTCCTTGAGCAGTCTAGGGATGCACAGAGGGGGCCACAGAACAGTGTTTAGAAAGACAGACCCCGTCTTGAGTATCTGATTAGAGTTGAATGTCAGCAACTGCCTTGATTTCTCTCTCATTTTTTTTTTTTTTTTGAGATGGAGTCTCACTGTTGCCCAGGCTGGAGTCCAGTGGTGCAACCTCAGCTCACTGCAGCCTCCGCCTCCCGGGTTCAAGCGATTCTCTTGCCTCAACCTCCCACGTAGCTGGAATTACAGGGGCCCGCCACCATGTCTGGCTAATTTGTTGTTGTTGTTGTTGTTGTTTTTTGTATTTTTAGTAGAGCTGGGGTTTCCTCATGTTGGCCAGGCTGGTGTCGAACTCCTGACCTCAGGTGATCCACCTGTCTCGGCCTCCCAAAGTGCTGGGATTACAGGTGTGAGCCACCGTGATTGACCAAAATTTTTTTGTTCTTTAATATGTAAAATCTCATATTGCTTTGTGGAAGGGTGAGAGTTTTCTAAACAAAAGCAAATTGGATGCCTTTATTCTAGAAGGGTGTCTTCATTCTGTTTCACTGGTGAGTGCAAGCCTTTGCGTGGCAGGGACAGTGCCTTATTCATGTTTTATCCTGAAGGGCTTACAGAGGTCACGCCATGAAGAGCGGTTCTGAAAATCATCTGTGGAATGAATAAATGAATGAAAGCAGGAAAGGCTCTTGTCCTCTAGATTGTTATTCAAACAGTGTTCGAATTGCTATATTATCCAACAATGGCATGCGGGAAAAGACATGAGGGTTAAAAGAGAAATCAGTCAGCAAAAGTGCCAACCAGAGAGGGACTTTAAATGAAACCTACTGGGAAAAGTTGACGGATGTGTCTTCCCTAAAGATTTTATTTTTTCCTATGGGGAAAAATGCTTTGAAGGAAAGACTTTTGATTGAGAACAAAACCACAGTCTCTGGAAAGTGTGCAGCTTAGCAGGCCATCTATAGAGAGACTTTAAAGCCAGTTGGAGGTCAACTTATGTTCCTAAGCTCTGTAATCTTTTCAAGAAGGGTCTTCATATCAGGTGGCCTACTTTCACTGAAATGCCACTGATATTGGCTAAATTCTGTTTCCTTTCCAATTCATATTCTGAAGTCTTAACCTCCAGTACCTACGTATGTGACTTTTTTTGGGAAATGAGTGGCTGGTAAATTAACAGATTAGGTAAGATTAGGTCATTTTGGAGTGGGGTGGGCATTTGATCCAATATAAGTGGTGTCCTTGTTTATAAAAAGGGGAAGTTTGGACATGGACACACGCGCAAGGGGAATACCGTGCAAAGATGAAGGCAGAGATCCAGGTGATGCGTCTACAAGCCAAGGAAGCCAAAGACGGCCAGCAAGGGGAAAGGCAAGCAACAGACTCTCCCGCACAGCCTCAGAAGGAACCAGTCTGCTATAACCTTGATCTCAGGCTTCCAGCCTTCAGAACTGTGAGATAATGCATTTCTCACAGGATGCATTTCTCACAGGATGTTTAAGCCATCCTGTCTGTGGTACTTTGTTATCACAGCCCAAGCAGACGAATAGACCCACAGATGATTCAAACACTGTTGTACTTTAATGGTTACTGCAAAATACCACAGTTCACGATGATTCTACAGCGATACTCTAGAACTGCTGTAACGTTCGAGTAGACATGAGATCACTGGGTGGATTGTGTTTTTACCAACATATGAAACTGTAATTATCCATGAGCACCGTACTGCCTTTGGAGACACTGCTGGGACTGTGACTCAGACCTCCCTTGAGACAACTGGTCATTAGGAGTCACAGTGATGTGGAATCAACTTTGTCTTTCTGAAAAGCTGGAGATATTCATCATAGCCTGGACTGCCTGGGATCTACATGTTTTCTCCGTGTTGTAATGATGTGAAACACTTTATTAGCAGAGGAAGACATTTTTAGGAGAAGCATTTTGAATCAGAAGGCTTAAGAAGAATTCTGCTTTTCTCGTGAGTATCAAGTAGTTGATTATTGAGAACTGAAAACATTGTAGAAGGATAATTTACAAAATGACCCTTAAACATCTGCATTTATCATGGAAGATAAAAGTCTAGAGAAACTGTTTTTTAGCTGCTAGGAAAAGCTGTGTTTTCTTCAGAGGGTAAGTCATAGAGAAGGATCATGGTGTGGCCAGGGCAACCGAGCCCCAGGGGGGCTCATCCGCTTTAGGCCAGGCCCTGCCTACAGCAGTTTGCAGAGGCTGGTCTCAGATGCTTGCCAACAAATACAGCCCTGCAATGCAGTGACATTGCATTCCGGCAACTCTCTGTTCTCTTCATATTTTCTCATAAAATCTTGGCTCTGGCTAAAGAGAAAATGCCGTGCGGTAGGCTTAGCTCCTTAATGGTGAGGTGTTGATTTGGTATAGGTCTGTTTTCAGCCAACCCAGTACTTAATGTGTGGGGATTTTGTTGTTGTTAATGATAACAGTATTGTCTGGCCAAAAAATCATCCTTGCCATCCAGAAGTAAGACTATCATCGAATCACGCCACTTCTGCTTGCAGACAAGCAGCAGTGGACATGTCAAAACCGTGTGTGGTTATTAAAAGTTGACTTAACACCCTACTCTCTACCCTCCACTGTCCTTTGCAAGATTTCTTCAGTATATCAGGGGATCCATCCTTTTTTCCCTCCACTGCCCCCTTCGTAGCTGCCCCTCTGACAAATGCCTCCTAATCCCGCAAGCATTGCTGTTCAGCTGCTTCTGAGTCAGCTCATTTCCTCATGATCTTGGGGCCCCTTCCTCCAAGTGGTTTACCAAGGTGTGTGTTTATTATGTGTATATAATAAACACACACATATATAAATAAATATATAATAAACACACACACTAAATATATATCTGTATCTATATCTATATCTATCTATATATATATATATAGAGAGAGAGAGAGAGAGAGAGAGACAGGTTCTTCCCTTAAGATGTACTCTAGGGCAATCTCATATAAGAATTCTTTTCCACACACTTTTACTCACTTTCTCTTAACTCCTGTAAACTTAGAGGCTAGACCATTTACTTACATGTCCTTGTTATCTTTCTTCTCTTTCTGCATGTGTGCATGTGTGTGTGTCTGTCTGTCTCTGCCTCTCCTGTCTTTTTCTTTCTTTCTTTTCTTTATTTTTTGTATTGACAGTGACTCTCTCCCTAACCTCACTCTGGTCTGTCCTTGGCCCATTTAGTCTAATTTCAGCAAGAATCCTGCTGCGTCAGTTTAATGAAAGTCCCCTGCACTTGGGGTCTGATCCCCCTTGGTACCTGATCAAATGCCTCATCCCCTAGCCTTGGTATCTTATCACCCTGGCCTGCCTTCAACAAGATTATTTTTGAGTCAGCCTAGTAATAACCCCCGGCCTTGATGTTCCCACTTAGTAATTTTCCATCTGCTCACCCGCAGCCTGCTTCTTGGCCATCAGTCTCCGCTCGTCCTTGTAGTTGGAGTTGAGCTCAGTCACTCTTCCCAACTACAAACCTCCTTGTGGTGTCCCCCCTCATAAAATCTGTGTGTCCTTAACAAGTGTCATGAATATTTTTTTCTCTAGCAGTAAAAGAGTTATTATAATTAGACCATAAGCTTTTCCAAGGTAAAACTTTTCTCCTTGGCTCCTGAAATCATGAGTATATAGTAGTTGGTCAATAAACATTTGCTAGTAGATGGATTCTCCTCTTCCTTCTCATTTTCCCCCATACCCTCCTTATTGTCTTGCTTCCTTTTTCCTTCTCTGTTTAGCATAAAAATGATGAATCATAATGATAAATTATCTAATGTGATCATAATGTATGTAATTCTGTGTAGAATTGTTCATATACTTATAATTATACCATAAAAAGTGAAGATATCATCACTTTAAATATATTCATGTGTTTTCTTCATTTAATCAGCATTCTCTAACTTACTATTAATGAAATTATCCATTTCAATAGGGTAGGTATATCAATGCATTGAGTTTTTAGAGGCACATACATTTCACAGGGACTTAGTGTTTTATAAAAATATGTAGCATTGATGCATTAATTAAGGGAGAAGTAAAAATCCACAGAATTCGTATACAAGTCATTATTACTTTTTCCATCACAGAATTCTGCTTCTTTTTATTTTATAAGAAGAATATAGAAACTATGATTTTTCATTGCTTGGAAACAAGTGGATAGCATTGGAGGAGGGGACAGATCATATTTCATGAGTTACACCTTCAGAATAACATAAGATAGTGATAAGGAGAAATATCTTATCAAAACAGAGAGAGCTGAAAGGATTCAAAATCCCCCAGTTTAAAACTCTATCCAGGGCCGGGAGCAGTGGCTCACACCTGTAATCCCAGCACTTTGGGAGGCCGAGGCAGGCGGATCACGAGGTCAGGAGATCGAGACCATCCTGGCTAACACGGTGAAACCCTGTCTGTACTAAAAAATACAAAAAATTAGCCGGGCGTGGTGGTGGCGGTCGCCTGTAGTCCCAGCTACTCGGGAGGCTGAGGCAGGAGAATAGCGTGAACCCGGGTGGTGGAGCTTGCAGTGAGCCGAGATCGCACCACTGCACTCCAGCCTGGGAGACAGTGAGACTCCATCTCAAACAAAACAAAACAAAACAAAACAAAAAAACCTCTATCCTAGTGTTATAATAGAGATACAAGTTTTATTCACTAACATAAAGTAATAAAAACTGTAATTCTATGGGGTTTTCTTGTTATGTTTGGGGGATGAGGAGGTGACCATTTAAAATATCCCTGAAAACAAGTGCAGAATTATCAGTTTCATATGTTGTTAGCATCCTGTTCTGATTCTTGTAGAAAAGTAGTGACAAAGATAACACACATTTGTTCTGCCCTCGTGTGTGCCATGCATGGTAAGTGCTTTCTGTACATTGCCTCATTGACTCCTCACAACCACATCGTGCAGTCATTTCTTTTCTTATCTCCATTTTATCCATGGCTGAGCTGAGGCTTGAGAGTGAAATAAACTGCCCAAGTTCATCCCCGTCAATAGCAGAATATGAGATTCAACCCATAGTGTCACACACGCCCAAAATCAGGCTTTTAAAAATCTCTTTGCGGCCAGGCACAGTGGCTCATGCCTGTAATCCCAGCACTTTGAGGGGCCAAGGCAGGTGGATCACGAGGTCAAGAGATCGAGACCATCCTGGCCAACATGGTGAAACCCCAACTCTACTAAAAATACAAAAATCAGCTGGGCGTGGTGGTGCATGCCTGTAGTCCCAGCTATTCGGGAGGCTGAGGCAGGAGAATCTCTTGAACCCGGGAGGCGGAGGTTCCAGTGAGTCAGTGAGTCGAGATTGCACCACTGCACTCCAGTCTAGCAACAGAGTGAGACTCTGTCTCAAAAAAAAAAAAAAAACCCAACAAAAAACAACAAATAAAACCTCTTTGCTATCATAATGAAAACAATTGACCTTTGATGGATCATACAAATGAGATATTTGCTTGTACTCTGCTTTAAACTCAATTATAAAAGACTTTGGAAAGAAGAGCTATGATGATTTACAGATTGAATCTTTCTACATCATGTGAGGTTGATTTCTTGAAGTTTCTCAGAACTGGATTGACACCCTCTGAGTGTTAACTGGTTGGAATGAATCCAAATTCCTTCAGCGCTTGTGGAAGCCTGGGTCACCTGTCTCAGAGATGTTTATCCCAGACTTGCAGACCCAGAAATCTTGTGAGGTGCTGCCCAGGAACCCACAGTGGTAACAAGCTCGTCATAGGATTCTTGTGTAAACTAAAGTTTTAAAACCACTGTTATAAGGGTGATTTCTCTTTCTATAGGTGGAAAAAGATTACATCCAAATGTTTAGTTTAAAGGAATATCACTATAATTGTGATAAACCAGGAGTTGCAAACTCGTGGCCTGAATGACAGTAGTTTTTCCTTTGGCCAGCACAGTTTGTTACCATAAGAGTTTGGATGTGTTTATGTAAGGCATACGCCCTCTATTTCAACACAGTGCCCATGACTTCCTAGCATCTTAGACTTTGAAGATACCTGCATGATCCCTGAAGAAAGCTGGAAAGAAGAACCTTCTTGGCCAGGCGCGGTGGCTCACGCCTGGAATCCCAGCACTTTAGGAGGCCGAGGTGGGCGGATCACGAGGTCAGGAGATCAAGACCATCCTGGCTAACACGGTGAAACCCCGTCTCTACTAAAAATACAAAATAATTAGCCAGGCGTGGTGGCAGGCGCCTGTAGTCCCAGCTACTCGGGAGGATGAGGCAGGAGAATGGCATGAACCCAGGAGGCAGAGCTTGCAGTGAGCCAAGATCGCGCCACTGCACTCCAGCCTGGGCAACAGAGCAAAACTCCGTCTCAAAAAAAAGAAGAAGAAGCTTCTTATACATGAAATCCATGAGATACTGGGGCCCCACGTGCCTGACTCTCCCGCAGTGCTCAAGACCTGTCTATAAAGTAGTTTTTCTCTTTGTTCAGGGAGTTAGACAAAGAAGAAATATGTTTTCTTTTTTTCTTTTTGAGATGGGGTCTTGCTCTGCCACTCAGGCTGGAGTGCAACAACAGGGTCATAGCTCACTGCAGCCTCAGACTCCTGGGCTCAAGTGATCCTCCCGCCTCAGCCTCCCAATGAGCTGGGACCACAGGCACATACCACCACTCCCAAATAATTTTTATTTTTTATAGAGACAGGATCTCTCTATGTTGCCCAGGCTGGTATTGAACTCCTTGGCTCAAGGAATCCTTCCACTTTGGTCCCCCAAAGTGATGAAATTACAGGTGTGAGCCACTGCCCCCAGCCAGAAATATTTTTTTTTCTATGCTTCTTCTTGCCCTCTATAAGTGACTTAAATATTCTCATGGGTCATTTGAGACCTCAGTCCTTTTTGATAAAGCAGAAGGGAAAAAATGGACAGGAGGCCTTCAGTGAAAACAAACCAGCAATATGAGTATTTTTCAGAAATTAAGAAAATAAAACAATTTATGTTAAATCAACAAGGTGACATATCAAATAAAACAAATCAGAAGTCCGTGTTGGTGATGAAAATGATAGGACTTGTGTATCCCTTGAGTGTTCACCATATAACAACAGTACCTATAAGGGCTTTGAAAAGAAAAACTGTCAAAATTAATCAAGATTCATTTTTGGGAAAAGATGACATATTTGACAAATTAAACCACTTAAGGAAAGAATAGTAGAAATGACATATAAACTTAACTTTATTTCATCAATATAGGTAATTGAAGTAATTGGGCTTTTATTTTGTAACTAAATATATGTAGTTTTCAAATTAAGATGTAATGGAATTTTGACTAATACTTAATTAGGAGCCTTTGGTTAAGAACTGAGTGCTCTCTCAGCAAACTAACACAGGAACAGAAAACCAAATACCACATGTCCTCACTCATAACTGGGAGTTGAACAATGAGCATACATGGACACGGGGAGTGGAATATCACACAGGGGCCTGTCAGGGGGTGGGGGGCAAGGGGAGGGAGAGCATTAGGACAAATACCTAATGCATGTGGGGCTTAAAACCTAGGTGACAGATTGATAGGTGCAGCAAACCGCCATGGCATGTGTATACTTATGTACCAAACCTACATGTTCTGCACATGTATCCCAGAACTTAAAGTAAAATAAAAAATAAAAAAAAGGACTGAGTGCTCAAAATTTTTTTATAAGTTAGGAAAACCAAACAAAAATTATATATACACATATATAATATGTATAATATTATATATAATATGTATACCTTATGTATGTAAATGTATTGTTGTATGTAAGAATATATTTTATATACATATAATATTCACATATATATGACAATGTGTAATATATATTATATAATATGTGGTATCATATTTCATATATATCACATATAAAATTGACTTGATTTTATAATAGCATGGCAGTTCAATAAGAAGGAGGAAAGTAAAGAACCGTAAAATCCTCTTTGTTCAACTTTTCCTTGGCTTGTGGCTTATATAGAGCTATCCTAGGTTTCTTCTGCTGGTTAAGGATTGCTTATTTGTGATTAGGATTAGTTGATAGAATTAATGTCAGGGTCAGCAATGGATGAGTCTGTAAGGGGAGCCCGTGTGCTCTAAAGTGATGATGAAAGTCACTTTCTTAGAAATAAAGATCCTTGTGCCACATCAAAAAGCTTTTAAATATGTCAATTAACCTCGCATGTTTCCTAAGTAAACAGAGATATGGGCAAAGGTAAATCTATAAGGATGTTTATCAGAACAATATTTAAATTATACTAATATAAAATATAAACAAACTGTGCTCCAGAAGTAGTATACTTGTGTTTTAAAAATTGGCTTTTATAATAGAATTCTACATTGCCATTAAAAAAAAAACAAAACCACAACTTGAACATTTCAAATCAACACGTCCAAAACGAAACGCTTTCCAACTAGATGTCCTCCCATCATTTATATATGAGTGTTTCCATCACCTCCGAGATGATCATGCCAGATACCAAAAATTGTCCAATTCCCCTATCTCCTTTTTTGTCTCCCTAATACAGCCCCATAGTCTGTAGGCGACAAGGCACCGCCTCCAGGACTCAGCCTAAACTCATCCACTTTCCTCTACCCGTGCCGCCACCACGCTAGTTCGAGAGACCATGCCTTCTTGCCTGGAAACTATGCTGTAGCCTCTTACCACGGCCCTCTTGGCATTGCAGCCAGGGCAGTCATTTTCAAAATGCAAATTAGACCACGCCCACTCCTGTGCTTAAAAGCCATCAGGTCCTCCATTTGTTTCACGTGAGATCCCAAGCCTGGCACATAGCGCGGTTATAGCGCAGTCCTTGCTCTCCAGCTCTGTTTCAGCTTACTCTCCACCTCGCTGTCTGCACTCCAGGAAGGGTAGTGTGGCTCCTCCGAGTCTGTGTGTGCTGTTCCCTGTGTCTGGAATCCTTCGCTCCCACACAGCGCTCCTCCCTTCCATCAAAGAAATTGCCTTCTTATCTTTGACCTCTCAGCTTAAGTCCTGTCTTGCCAGAGGAGACTTCTATGCTCTGTGATATGGATTGAGTCCCTAGTTAGTTCTTTCTTATAGCGCCCTGTCACCCTGCACCCGGACTCTATATTGCATATATGTTTTGTAATTAAAATTTCATTTGGGCCTAATACCTGCTTGACCCATGGGATCGTAACTCTGAGAGGAGGTAATCTTGTGTGCTTTCTTCTCCAGCCACCTCCCCCATGCCTACCGATACAGTGCAGATGCTGACAGTTGTCACTCAGCGAAATGTGTAGAGTGAGTAAATAATGTCTGACATTTAACAGTCATCATCATATATTTCCAAAATGTATCTTTTTAAATAGACATGAACAAATATACGCGTCTCATACATATTTTGAATATGCGACTATGACACTAAGAATGCAAGCAAAAGTTATAATGGTTCTCTCTGGGGGGAGATGCGTTTTAAAAATATATTTCTGTGTTTTTCAGTTATCCATTGAGTACTTTCATCCTTAAAATTAGAAAAAAAATGTGCTATTTTGTAAAATGTGTCCCTTTCTTGCACTAATTATAATTCTGACCACCCACCACATCCTATTCTGCCTCTAGGGCTAGGACTCTAAGACAATGCGTTTATCAATTTTAAACCCAGCTGTACATGTACATATTTAAGGACCAGTGGCATTAGAGGATATATTCTCAAAAAGAAGAATGACTGTTTTAGGGAAAAAGTCCAAAGTGGCCTCAGCAAATCACACAGTTTATCAGAATATTAAGTAATAATATAACAATGAGAATGTCATAGATGCAAACAAAACCATTGTCTTATATCATGGCAAGCTGTTTTTGTGTTTTTGGTCTCAACATTCATATAAACTCAATCAGTGGCAACTTTTTGGCTTGAATATGGCCATTGTTTTAATGCTGCGTGTATTCACTGAAAAGCCTTGTCAGAGTGATTTTTGGGGTGGGAACAAGTTGATACGACTCGGATGACTGGAGGAACACCAGGGTTCTTGGTCTCACGCCGATAGGATTAATGACACGGACACACATGGAGTGGTTTCATGGAGCGAAAAGTTTAATAGGCAAGAAAGAAGGAAGGAAGAAGAAAACAGCTCCCCAGTATAGAGACGGAGGGAGTGGGGATTGGAACAAAGAGAAAACTCGCTGTGCGGCAGCAAAGTGGCTGCTTATATGAGGAGTCTGGAGGAGGCGGTGTCTGATTTGCATAGGGCACAGGGGATTGGTTTGACCAGGCATGTCATTCACATAGCCCGTGAAATAACTGGCCCTCCCACCCTAGTCTTTTAATATGCAAATGCAGGGCGCCATGATGTTCTACACACGTGGGGTTATGTGGGGCAGCCATGTTGCCAGGCACTTGTGGGCACCAGGAAAAGACAGCGGGTATTGCCTTGTTTGGGTGGACCCAGTTTCTAATGGCGTACATTTGCATATCAAAGCTTGCCGGTGGGGGCTTTTCTGCTAGGCAAGAAATGTTTCTTGAGCTACTTTAAAAGAAACAAAAACTTGGCAAGGACCCTTTTTCGTATCTGCCTAAAATAATTTCTTATTAACTCCTATAACGAAGTGAGGTTTCTGGCCCCACGGTGAACTTTTGCTTCCCCAAACTTCTAAGGCAGGCTCCCTCCTTGTGCTCTAATGGACACCACCCACTCACTCCCTGGCAGTGTGGACTACTCGTCTTTTCTTGTAAATTGTGTCTCTTGAGGCTGACTGCAAGCTCCCTGAAGGCAGGAGAGCATCTTCTGTACCTCTGTATATCTATCCTCACACTCACAGACCACTCAACCTGTTCATGTACTCATTTCACTCATTCATTCATGTCACAAATATTGACTGTGACCTCCTGGGTTCCTGGCTCTGCTGTACCACCTGGAGATAAAGAGCAAAACAGATGAGACAGATATCTGCTTTCATGCTGCTTCCATTCTAGTGGAGTAATACACATCGCAAAGGAATGGTCATTTATTGATTGAGCGTCTTTTAACAATTCTTGTCTTGAAAATTAACTGATTTTAGTATTCAGGAAAGTATCCAAGGAAATAAGAGACATATTTTTCTTCTTTAGTTCTTTTAAATAAATTTCAGAATTTTTTTTTAAATGTAAGAAGTTAATGTTAGAACCCTGATACTGTATCTAAGGAAGGAGGTCGTGTAGAAGTGTTTCTCTCCTTTTGTGTCTTTTTCATTTACAAATGTAGGGGGTAGAGCTTACACTTCCAGAGTAATCATCACGTGCAAACGAATGCTCATTGCCAATCAGATTGCAAGTGGAGTTTCACAAATTTGGTATACAAAGGTCTATAGAAAAATTGGCCAGGCACGGTGGTTCACAAATCCCAGAGCTTTGGGAGGCAGAGGCAGGAAGATTGCTTGAGGCCAGGAGCTGGAGACCAGCCTGGGCAACATACCAAAGTCCTGTCTCTACAAAAAAAAAAAATTAAAAAAAAGAAACTTAGCCAAGCATGGTGGCATGTCTGCAGTCCCAGCTGCTCAGGAGGCTGAGGCAGGAGGATCACTTGAGCCCAGGAGCAGTGAGTAATGATGGCACCACTGCACTCCAGCCTGGGTGACAAAGCAAGACCCCATCTCTAAAATAATTCTTTTTAAGTATTATATGACTGATCCCAAAGAATAAGTTACTCAGGAAAGGAGGCAGGGCGTACTTTTCCAGCATAAGCAGCATAGATCCAAGGTTGACCACAACAGAGACAAGGAAGACTATAGAAGAAGATGGGACAAGACACTCACCTTTGTGGAGTGTCTGCTCATTATCTGCTGGACTCTGTGTGGGGCTCCCCCCATACAGATTATCCCCTTTAATGCTCTTAACCTCACTGACACTTAGCCAGTATTCTTCCCATTCTACAGAGGAGAGAACTGAAGCTCAGAGAGATTAAATAGCTTTCCCAAAGGCCTCTTAGAAAGCTTCGTTCAGGGTTTGTATCTAACTTGACAGTCCTAACTACTTGAGTTAGGAGTCAAACGATATGAATTTTCAGTTTCAGTTCCCTCAGTTTACTAGCAAGGAAACTAAACTGGGTTACTATATTTCCTAGGTCTTCCTCTCCTCCCCTAGAAATGAGAATAATAATATCTGCCATATGAGCATGTCAATTTTTAAAGGAAAAGCTAAATGAAACCATTCTGTAATCCATAAAGCACTCTGCGAACTATAACAATTGCTGAATGTTAAGAAATACAGAAAGTCTACAAAAGATTTTCTAAGAAAATGGAAAGGAAATGATAATCGCTGTAATTTCATGAAGGAGAAATTGGGCCAATAGCTGTCATTAATTACAAATGATAAAACAAGAAGGAAAGCAGAATGTCATATCACTCTCAATAAAAAACATAGGTTATGCAAACCTGATGCGTTCCAGAAGAAATGAGAAAAGTTCCTGAAATAGGATTCATTTCTGAGGCTCAATTCCATGATTCGTTCCTATGAATGTGAGTTATAAGAGCTGGAAGGAACCTTCCATGAAGGATCAGGGATGGGGAGGGTTCAGAGACTTGCTCAGTGCCAAAGCCAGAGCCAAGACCCAGGGCTGCTCTGCCCAGTGTGTTCTCCCTTAGTGCACTAGAAATCATTCTGAGTGATGCACTCCAATGAGGGGCTGGGACAGAGAGAGGAAGGGGAGAGGACCACTGTTATCAACAACCTTCCAGAAGTTAATCAAATTTATGTCCTAGAATTATTTTTTACAGTAGAAGATAACCACATAGTTATGCTAACCACGACTGTTAAAGCTAAAAGAATTCTCCTGAAAGCCAGTGCTTCACCATACACAGCTACCATGTGCCTGATTAGAGCTGTGGCAAGTGTAAATAAATCAGGGGCTCACCAATGAAAGGACTATGTTGATAACCAAATCCATTCATCAGATGAAGAATGCTTTCCATGAAATGAACAACTCCTGTTTTCCCAATGTGAGCCAGTGTTTTAACAATTGTGTGGCTTACGTGATTGGCAGTGTTCCTGTAACAGGCAGCTCCAATAGCAGGGCAGTCTGAATAAAGGAATCTCTGGAGGTGAAGGTGCTGAAGAGTGTTGATACTGGAAATGTTGGGGAATGCAAGACTACTCCTTTTGAAGAAGACTGGAAGGATCGCTTTGAAATCCCGGAAGGCTTGCAGACATCCTGCAGAAAAGAACTGGCTAAAAATAGCAAACCAGCGTTGTGGTCGGCTGATAGGGCTGTATAGTGGAAAAGTAAATATCCATTGCTTTGTGAACTGAGGATCTCTATAACCTGTATCTTCTCAGAAATATACTTTCTACTTCGTCCTTCTTTGTTTTTTCAGAGACAGGGTCTTGTTGTATCAGCCAGGCTAGTCTTGAACTCCTGATCAATTAAAATACTTTCCATTTCTTTTTTTTTCTCTTCCTCTCTCTCCATATTTTGTTGTGTGACATATTCCTCCAGGATAATAGGGAAAAATTTAATAAAATATTTTTCTAACGCCACCATTGCAAAGCATCTGGGTTGTTCATCTTCACCTCCATAAACAACTCATTATCGGGAGATGGTTAACTTGAGCAACTCCGTAACAGATTCGGTTTTGAAGTCACGTTATAAAAAACAGCCTACAGTGATTGTCACGTACTTACAGATATGCTTAGCTAATCCTTACGGTATTGATGTTATCCCCAATTTAGAAATGGCTGAGTGGAGAGAGATTAAAGCTGCCAAGGAAAAGATTAAAGCGTAGCTGTCTAACGTCTACGAGAATGGGAACCATGGAAAATTGAAACCTACACATAATGCAAACGACTTAAGCCATGAGCTATCTGATTTGCCCCTTTCTGCTCTTTAATCATGAAGGGGAAGCCAGCCTCGTAATTGACAAGGAAAGTATCAGCATTCCCCGCCCAGCCCTCTGCCTCTCAGGTGCTGAGGGGCTCCCATCGAAGGAGGAAGCCTCACAACTTCCTTTCCTATTCGCTACTCAAACCCTCATGATGGGACATCTTATTGAATGGATCACTGAAAAGCATTTTGATGACCCATCTTTATGACATCATATTCTGTGAATTTGTACAGATGACTTTTGTTACCATTTACTTATCACTGAAAGAGAGAATTGTAGTATTCTGTCTCACTTTTTCTTTCACTTTTCCTTTGTATCAGCAAAATTAATTTTATTAAATCTCAATATTTAATGTATTCAGTCTACGAAAATCCTAGCTTCTTGAAGGAAACTAGTGAAAATTCGCAGATACACTATTTTCTGGTAAACTTTTTTAGAGTTGCCAAATTTTTTTAAAAGTAAAAACATGCAAGATTTAAATTACATTGAGTTAGGACTGTTGGATGGCTGGAATCTCTGAGGCATACAAGCTCTATTCTGCTCCACTTTTTCCACTTTCAGTCACTGAAGCACTTTTAGGAAGGATGGAATGGAGGTACTTTGTATGGCGATGCAAGATGAAGCAGGATCTGTTACAAATTCCCTGGCTGGAAAAGTACACTTCTTTCAGCACTATTGTACCTTGACGGTCTCCAGTTACAGCCAGAGGAGATGTGTAATATATGACTGGACTTGCCGCAAATGCAAGTACACAAACCTTGGGACAGAGACACCTTGTGCTACGGTAAATTGATCTGCTGCTGGCGTCCACTGAGTCATCCGGCACACAAAATAGGAGCTCACATCAGAGATGGTGGGAACTGGTTGGAGTTCTGATTTTTATCTGGCCATTCAAGATCTGTAGAAAGAGTGAATTTTAAAGTCCTCTCCTGATGATTATGCTACTTTTATATTTAAAACCATTTGACATAGAATCAAATTTGTGTACCACTATTTTGAAACTCATTTTCCAATGTTTCCTCTTAGAATAATTTTTTTGTCAAATGAGAATAACATATAGCTTGCATTTTTCTTAAATGGAAATATTAAGATTATTCATATTATTGAGGAAGATTAATAAGAAAGATGGCATACTAACAACTAATTGTTTTGTATGATAGTTCAGAACAGCGGTAGATTTTGCAAAGCCAATATCTTATGTCATCTGCCATGTATTATTGAGCATCAAATATATGCCACTTCAGGCTGGGTGTCCCAGAGATGCATGGCATGAAAAGATGACAGCAGGACAATAAGATATGAGCGAAGTAAAAAGGAAAGAGAAGATAAGAGATTACTGATAAACGGTGAAGCAAACCATTGTATCAGCTATTTCTGGTGATGTCAATTTGGTGACATATCCTGGTGAAGTGGGTTAATTGCATGTGTGTGTCAAGTTGCTTCTTTTCTGATGCGGGTTTGACTTTTCTCATTTTGACTGCTTTTCCAGAGGTGAAATTAGAGTAAAGAAAGAAAGAAAGAAAAACCTCTACAGTCAAAAACTGGTCTAGGCAGTTTATATCACCTCACTTAATTATTATCAAATGCTTGGGAAGAGATAATATTATTCTCATTACAGAGATCATGAAACTAAGGCTCAGAAAAGTCAAGGAGTTTATTTATAATCACAGAACTAGGAAATGGCTAAGATGGAGACTTGAATCTATGTTCATCTTGATGAGGAGCCTGGTTTCATCCCACAGCACAGTCGCCCACAACTGCAAATGTC
Source organism: Homo sapiens (assembly GCF_000001405.40). Taxonomy (NCBI): domain Eukaryota; kingdom Metazoa; phylum Chordata; class Mammalia; order Primates; family Hominidae; genus Homo; species Homo sapiens. The sequence goes on along the minus strand of NC_000004.12, from coordinate 185,919,329 downwards.
ATGTACTTTCCGCAGCGCCTCCTATGACAGCAAAAAGAGTAAGAGTTTTGGGATTTCTAGGCAGAACACTTATGTAATCAAGTATCTTAGAGATATTTTTCAATCTCCAAGCAAGCTGGGGATTGAACTATGTAAGTGGTAATGAACGAATTCTTTAGAAGATGGGTTAACTATGCTGGTTCATAAAAGAGGAAACTTGACTGCACTAAAGAAATTCATGAAAAGAGTTCTGATTCTTCCTGAGTTCCCAGTGTCCCTTGTTCTAAGAGAGCTATGCAAATACTACACTGATGCCTGGAATCATCTATAATTTAAAGAGTTACAAAGCTTTTCTTCTGCCCTATGCTTTGGTTTTGTGAAGATTTTTGTACATCAAATGCTGCATCTGTGGACTCATTCCAGTTACATGTATATATTATACAGATCATTTGTGCATCCATTGTGATGTACTGGGTGAACATACGTGGAAACTGTAAATCTTCATGAACATCTACATCATCATTAGAGAAGTTCTACTCATTAGGCTCTCAGCACAGAATAGTCCAATTCAATTAGAACACTTCTTCAGTGAGAGTTTAATAATGAGACTATTTTCGGTGCTGTGACCGTGATATAAGGCAAATGCAAGAGCTATTGTAGGGGCTCTGCTCCCACCCTAGGCTGGAAGAGGTGAGTGGAAACAGAGCTACGCAAATGTCTCTCTAATATGAGCCATGGGGGCCACCGTGAGGCCGTGGTGACCTCTTGGGGAAGGGCTGGGTGAATAAAGAACCCTACTTCAGTTTTCTCTCACCCTTCATTGGCCAACTCAACTTGAAGCCAGAGGGTAGATGCATCTGTTGACACCATCTGTAAAGATCAGTCAGTTGGGCACTGGCGGAAAAGATGGAGAGTGACCTGGAGGGACAAAGAGAAGCCATTTAGCACATCAGTATGAGAGAAATTACTCGTAAACAATTTAAACCAAAGTATTTTCTCATACATAACGTTTCTTTCTCCAGCTCTGTAACCATGAAAACGTACGAACAAAAAAAAGTTAGTTGTATTATCTGCTAACAGAATCAAATAGCATGTCAAATTTGGGAAATTACTAATTTAATTTCTGCAAACAACCTTTATAAGATTTTTTACATTCAAAGAAATGTTGGTGATTAGTGAATCTGTGAAAACATCTTAGGTATTGTCTTTTTTTCTAACAAGTATTTTGAGTTTGTTTGATGCCTAGTAAACACTGGTTGAGTAAATACCCAATGTATTGCAAATAAGCTATACTGTTAGAATGTGTCTCAGCTGCTTTCCCGGAACATCACATTTCTCCTTTATTTCCGTTATGAAACTAAGAATTTTATTTTGTCTGCCATATTCATAATACATGGAAGTCTTGACCCGTTCTATCGTTGACAGTCAGGGTTTCTCAATCTGAGTGGAAAAAACACAAACTGTTTTTCCTCTGCTCTCACACCACGACAATCAACACAGAAGACTTCAGTGACCAAATGTCAGGGAGGTTTTCCCCACTCATCAAGCAGCAGACACCAGTAGGGTGTCCCCCAGTTCAGTACCATTCTGATGCTGTCTACCTGAAAATAGTGTCAGATCCCGCAGGTTGAAGGTTCAGTCCCAAGTCTGCCTCTCCCCAATTTTTGATACCAGTCGCAAACCCCAGGTTGAATAACCTGTGCTTCTGACCGGCTGGCTATAGCTGGGGTTCCCATGTCCCCCTTCTTAGGTTTGATTAATTTACTAGAGTGGCTCACATGACTCAGGGAAACATTTGCTGTTTTATTATAAAGGATATTATGGGCCAGCAGTGGTGGCTCATGCCTATAATCCCAGCAGGTTGGGAGGCCGAGGCAGGTGGATCCCTCGAGGACAGGAGTTCAATACCAGCCTGGACAACATGGCGAAACCTTGTCTCTATAAAAAACACAAAAGATGAGCTAGGCATGGTGGCTTGCACCTATAGTCCCAGCTACTCAGGAGGCTGAGGTGAGAGGATCCCTTGAGCCCGGGAGGCGGAGGTTACAGTGAGCTGAGATCGTGCCACTGCACTCCAGCCTGGGCAACAGAGTTAGACCCTGTTTCAAAGAAATGAAAAGGATACAAAGGATACAGATGAAGAGACGCACAGGGCAGGGTATGAGGGAAGGGGTGCGGAGCTTCTGTGCCTTCCCTGCCACACCGCCCTCCAGGAAACTCCATGTATTCAGCTCTCCAGAAGCTTCCCAAACCCTGTCCTCAGGGACTTTATAGAGTATTTGTTAGATAGGCGTGATTAATTAAACCATTGGCCATTGGTGATCCACTTAACCTTCAGCCCCTCTACCCTCCCATGAGGTTGGGGTGGGGCCAAAAGTCCCAACCCTCTAATCCTGGCTTGGTCTTTCTGGTACCCAGCCCCATCCTGTAGCTACCTGGGAGCTGCCAGCCATGAGTCAGCTCATTAGCATACGAAAAGACAGCCCTTTGCAGATTCTAAGGATTTGACGAGTTGTATAGTCAACCTGTGCACTGTTACTATTTGGGGCCACATAATTCTTTGTTGGGGGAGGTGGGGGCTGCCTGTGCACTGTAGCATGTTTAATAGCATCGCTCTCCTCTACAGACCAGGTGCCAGTTCTCACCTCCCTAGTTGTGACAATCAAAAATGTCTCCAGACACAGAAAATGTCCCCTGGGAAGTAAAATTGCCACCATTGAGAAGCACTGTTGAAAATGAATGTGCTGGGAGTGTCGTATCTTGGGCGTCAAATTCTCTATTCACAAACCAGTCCTCTTTTTATACCAGGCCACTTCAAGAATCCAGCTATTGAGTCAGTTGGCTAATGTGATCGATTCTGTGATAATCATTAGTAATGAATTGGCTCACTATGCTTCACAGGCAGGTGACTGGGTGGTTTGCACTCAAAAGCAACTGTGGGCGTGACAGGCACTGAGACTGACATGTCCAGAATAACTCTGCAAGCCATGCTCCCACCTCTAACTTCTGGTTGCTGCCTGGTGGGACAGCCATATCCATACAATAGTTTTTAGATGAAAACAGACCAAAGAACATCTGAGGCCCCTGGTTTTCTTAGTTTCAATGATTTTGGATCAAAGTCCACCATCTTCTACCTGGACTCTGAAATTCCTCCTAATTCAGTCTTCTTGCATCCATTCTTGTTTCCCTCCGGTCCATGACTCATACTGCACCCTGAGTGGCCCTCTAATTTCCTCCAGTTGGAAACCCTTCAGTATCTTCCTGACCCACTTGACCCTATTGTGATCTCGCTTCTCCTTACTTATCCACCTGCCATTTCCCTCTCTGCTTTCTTCCTATACAAGTTCATACAGATCGTTGATGACCACGGGCCCTTTGCTTATGCTGCTTCTTCCTCCAGCCTCCTTATGTCTGGTTAACACCACAGTCTTCAGTTTCCAGGTCAAATATTACTTCACCTACAAACCTTCTTATTGCAAGATCCCAAATCTTCAAAATTACCAGGGTTAGGTTTTTTTGTGTTACTTAACCTTCTTAGAGAGCTACGTTCCTTTAATCCAGAGCACTTATCTTGCTTTGCAATCATACATTCAGTAGAGTGAGTATTAATATCTCTCCTTCATTAAACTTAATGCTGGGGGTGGGGGGCAGAAGGACCTGTTAATTTTCTTCTTACCAGTACAAGTGTAGCACATAGGGAATTCCCAATAAATATTTTTGGGAGAAAGGAAGAAAGGACAAAAGAGAAGGAAAGAGGGAAGGAAATGAGAGAAATGTAGAAAGGAAAAGCAGAAAAATAGATGTCAAACGTCTGCAGTGTGACTGCAGCAAAACCTGTTTGTATGTACTCTCCTGGTCCTCCCCAGGCTACCCTCGTAGTTAGCTTTTTCCTCTAGAGCACAATGCTTTTTCCATGCCATCAGAATGACCTTCAGAGCTGATTACTATTTAGGTTTCTGGCCAACAGGTAAAATGTTCCCAAGACCTTCATTTTAGGAAAATGCTTTTCAAGGCATTAGAGGAAACATGTGAGTCTATGGCAGTGCCCTTGGAGGGAGGCTTCTATGAGATAAAACTGAGGACAGTAAAAGTTGCTTCAAAAACAAATGCTCCATTCAGTTCCATTCGGGTCTCTTTATTAAAGTCATCGTCCACTTCTTACACACAAATGCTGCTGAAAGCAGTATAAAGGCCGAAAAAAGTTTTAAAATAACATGAGAAAATGAGCAGTGAGTGGTATGAGTGACCTTGGTCCACAGATCATCCTTTCAGATGAAAGCCTTTTGTTTTCCCTAAAGTCCTTCACATTAGTCTTTAGTGTCGTCATTCATTACACAGTCTATCTTCATTTACAATCCATTTGCCACACGTCACCACTGAAGGAGATGGAAAAAATCCATTAGACATAACCCAGGCTTTCTCCCACCAGCAGGGATCAAACGACCCCATAAAGTCATTTCCTATTAATTACAAATTGATTGTGTATAAACATTTCAGCACTATTTTTCAGATGATAATAAATGAGTTGTGACTGGTTACAGAGGTTAGATAAAGATGCCGAGACAGGAAGAGGGCAAGGGCCGTGCAGGGAATGAAAACAAAGCTGCCTGATGGTCAGGCCTCGTGGTATTTGTAAACGTCAATTGGTCAGGAGTGATGGATGCATTTCAGAAACCTCAAAACCCAAAAAATGCATAATGTTAACTTCATAGATTCTTTCAGGCCTGGGTTACCACAGTATTTACAATGAACGTGCGTTCACGGTAATAACATAATAGTACCTTTCAGCCCCAAATCCCAGATATTTGCACCTTTATAAACTGTTAAATTCTAAGCCAATGGTGAATAACATTCCGGTATGTACCTATAGAACTTGTTATGAAACATGATTGAGTAGCAACTCTGTAGGCTAGATTATAAAAGTATATTTTTATGAGGGTGAAATAATGAAAACAGTCTGTACATAAAAATTATACCAGAATGAGGAAATGCTACTGTAACAAATTACTTAACTGAGATTTACTGAGGCAAGAGTCAGTGCAAGTATACACGATTAGTGGGGTTTTTGTTTCAGAACTTGAAAGGAGAGAAAATATACTTATTTCTAACTTTCCTAGAGAAAAAATGAAAAATATAGTGTTGTTTTCTATTTTTCAGTTTTTGAGTTTGTTTATAGATGGTTGTGGCAACATTGGCAAAGCTAGAGCAAGCTAGTTATTGTCCACAGTGAAAATAACCCAGGTATAGAATCATGGAATTTCAGACTGAAGAGTGAGTACTTTAAAACATACTTGTTTTGGTACTCAAAATTTCTTATTTTTAAGCTTTGTGTGTCAATAACTGAACATATTTGAAGGTTTGTGCTCTGAAACCCTTCAGAAAGGTGTATGGTCTTATGAAGCACTACTGGATTAAAATTCAGAGTGATCTAGAGCTAACCATGTCCCACATGGGGATGTTATAAAGATTAAATTATGTTTTCTACATCAACATTTTAGATATTGGATCTTCAGAGCTCAAAAACAAATTTATTTTCCTGGGATTACATTCAGACTAAACCATTGCAATGAATGAGTCTTTGAAGAGTCATTCATACATCCTAAAATCCAGAATAATGAGAATCTCTTCTAGTTTTAAAATCTCAAAGAGAGACATTCCTGGTGTTACAATGTCATTTGCTCTAACTCCTGTCTTGCTAACAATAACCAACTAGTCACCATCCTCTTCAGAATCTGGTTTAATTAAATCCCCAAGAAGAAACGAAATGAGAAAATGTTTAATAGGAAGTGACTTCTTCAGTCTTACCGTTTAACACAATCATTGCGATCAGAGAAAACAGTCAGTTTGAACTGAATTCTATTTGATTGTATTGGTTTAGACTCGTCTCGAAAGAATCACTCAGCGAATCCTTTGGTAAAATCTTTTTTAAAAGTTCAGATGTTGGTCTGTCAGGTCAACCTAAATCAAGGTATGGTAACATTTTTTAAAGGTTTGGACAGAATGAGCCTCAATGGTAATATTTTATTGGATGCCATCTGGTAAAAACTGGTTTTATTTGGTTAATGTTTATTTGTTCCATAAAAAGATAGGCTAATCATGACTCTGTTTTATATAATGCTTGTTTATGTAACAGGACATAACCATGCAGTGGGTCCCAGGAACATTATTATATTTGGTTGCTTCTGTTTTCCCAAATAGATGAAAGAAGCAAAACATCCTTGTGCATTTTTAAAGTTGCTGGTAGCTTTTGAACTGCCGTTCAGATGGAATCAATTTCAGCACAGCAAGACATTTTTTAATGCAACCCTGCAGCACTTTAGCAAATGAAAACTATTTTCCATGAGTCATTCTTTGAATTACAAAATGTTCATCATCCAGGAGTGTTTATTGCACCCATAAAACTAATGCAGCACAATAATGGGTGTTAATGTCAGCAGTATCCGGCTGTTTATTATGTAACATTCGAAACGGGAAGGTGAGTGTTTAATGCTATTGTTTGTTGTCTAACAGTTCCAATTGTTCATACCATCAGGTGCTTAGACAGCAGATCAAATATTTTGCTTGATGTTCTCCAGAGCAAAAAATGTAAGTTTACTTTTCTTTATAATTAGCATGGTGAAATGGAGGGCTAACAAAGAAGCTGCCAGGATCTCAAGGTAATTATGATTTTTTGTTTAGTGACAGCTTCTTGTTTTGAATACCCTTTCCCTTTTCTCCTACTATGACAAAATAGAAACTCTTTTTTTTTTTTTTTTTTTTTTTTTTGAGATGGAGTTTCGTTCTTGTTGCCCAGGCTGCAGTGCAGTGGCATGATCTCGGCTCACTGCAACCTCCACCTCCTGGGTGCAAGCGATTCTCCTGCCTCAGCCACCTGAGTAGCTGGGATTACAGGTGCCCACCACCACAGCCAGCTAATTTTTGTATTTTTAGTAGAGACGGGGTTTCACCATGTTGGCCAGGCTGGTCTCGAACTCCTGACCTCAGATGATCCACCCGCCTCGGCCTTCCAAAGTGCTGCGATTACAGGCATGAGCCACCATGCCCGGCCTAGCATTATCTATCTTTAATAGCAAACATTTGAAAATAATGAGTGCCAAACAATAAGAGATGCTTCAAATAAATTACCTATATTTTGTCACCTGTACGAGGCTAGCTACACACCACTGAGAAAAGAAAGAAGCACTGCTAATTAAAAACTACACTTACTGAAAGAGTTTTTTAGGGTTATTTAAACATGCATTTTGTGCATACATGAAAATGAAAAATAAGTGAAATAATTGGTTAGATTATTTTCAATGTTTTTCTCCTACAAAGTCCAGCTCTTCTGAGTCACTTTTCAATTGTGAATCATCAAAGTCCATGTTTTTCCATAAGTATTTCTCTGTGCCATGGAGAGCACTAGTGATGTGGCATTTCTTATCTGTGCCCTGCAGCCATCTCTGGGATCTTCCTGCAAGTTGCTCACAAACTGTTCTGTGAATGTTGATGCTAATTGCTTCTTGATCTAATAATGTGTCAATAAGAGGTTTTCAGAACCCAGCCAGGTCTTCTATTTTTTCTGCAAGAGATCCTTGTCATCTGTGGACCTGACATAAATGAGTTACAGTTGCCCAGTTGTGCCACTGAAACTATAACCATATTAAGCCCCTGCAGGCAGTGACCAGTCTGTCACCGCTGCCACCTGGCCAACGTGACAGCAAATGTCAGTTGTCCTTGATCTTGAGATACATCCCGACTTAGATGTTAAAATGTGTATCTTAGAACCATTAAAGTGCGGTTAAGTGTATCCACCAAGAGGGAAACTTGCGCACTCAAGGAGAAAATCAGGCTGGGCGTGGTGGCTCATGCTTATAATCCCAGGACTTTGAGAGGCTGGGGTGGGAAGACTGAGCCCAGGAGTTCAAGACCAGCCTGAGCAATATAGTGAGACTCCACCTATACAAAAAATAAAAAAAATTAGCCAGGCATGGTGGTGCACACCTGTAGCTCCAGCTACTCAGGAGGCTGAGGCAAGAAGATCACTTGAACCCAGGAGGTCAAGGCTGCAGTGAGCCATGATCATGCCACTGCACTCCAGCCTGGGTGACAGAGCGAGACTCTGTCTCGAAAAGAAAAGAAAATCATCATAATTTTGAAGCCTCTTGGACAGTTTTTATCAGACATATGAGATAAGTTTATGTTATAAGACAATAAAGGAAATGTAGCTCAGTAGAAAGGGCATAAACTTGTTTGTAAACTTGGACAAGCTACTTATCTAATCTCTCTAGAGTCTTTATTTTATAAAGGGTAAAATGGAAGTTGTTAACACCTGCTTTGTGAGGTTATTCTGAATATTAAATGACTCAATGCATAATAGTTTTAGTATTTTCCAAGGGAAGTTTTTTTTTTTTAAAAAATCAAACACCGCATTGTATATAAGAAACGAGTCCTACTCTGAAACCACGCACCTGAGAAAAGTCTGGAAGGGAATTTGGATAATGTTAAATTCTGATTTACTGATGTAGAGAAATTATAAATATTTTATTTCTCATATATAATACAGTCTGTGATACCTGTTTATATCTGCATCTTTGTATACCCACAGGATTTAGGTTATAGAATAAAAGTTGCAGTCAGATGTGCTGGCTCATGCCTGCCATCTCGGCGACTCAGGAGGCTGAGGTGGGAGGCGGTTGAGCTAAGGAGGCTGAGGTGGGAGGAGGTTGAGCTAAGGAGGCTGAGCCTGCAGTGAGCCATGATTGAGCCACTGAACGCCAGCCTGGGAAAGAGAGTGAGACCCAGACTCAAAAAACAAACAAACACATAAATGAATAATAAAAGTTTCATACCAGAAGCCATGATCTTCAAGCTCTATCTGTGTTCTGAATATGAGGCAAGAGAGAAGGGAGGACAGGAGAGGAATGGGGAGAAAGTCTCCAGAGTTGGGAGTATTGATGGAAATGGAGAGGATAAAATGAAGTCAACTTCATAAAGGGGTTTTGAAGGATAGCAAGGCTTCTTTGTTACAAAATCAGCATTTCTTTTCAGTAAGAGATAGAAACACAGGAAACGCATTGAAAATGGAGTAGGGTGTGGCCAGGCCCTTCTCGTCAGTGGGAACCATAGCATTTTATAAATATATGCATAGGGCACACATTGTACTCCAGTGCTATTACTTGTAGTGTCCTTTATTCTGCAGGACACAGGGTCATTTGTGGCAAAGAGCACAGTTGCAGAGCCACCTTGGCCTGGCTGGAATTTGGGCTGAATCACATACTAGGTGTGTCTTAACATTTCCTTTCATTAGATCTTGAACAGTGTCAGACACACAGCCAGGCATGACATTGAAGGGAATATATTTCTTTTCTTTTTTTTTTTTTTTTTTTCTGAGATGGAGTCTAGCTCTGTCACCCAAGCTGGAGTGCAGTGGAGCGATCTCAGCTCACTTCAACCTCCGCCTCCCGGGTTCAAGCAATTCTCCTGCCTCATCCTCCTGAGTAGCTGGGATTACAGGCACCTGCCACCATGCCTGGCAAATTTTTTCTCTTTGAATAATATTTCTCTTTGTAGAAAAAGAAATGCAGCAGAAAAATCAACTGTGTCAAATATTGCTATGAGTGAACATTTCTTTGCATGTTTTCCTAGTTTAGAGTTCTTGACCAAAGTTTTCACAAGTTATATTGAGTGGCAGTGAAACAATGTCTTCACAGAAGCCCTCATAATTCTTCAGAATCTTTGGCTACATTTATGCGATGATAAAGCAATGCTTGAAAGATTTTTAATGCAATGACTTTATTTTTTCTTTTTTTTACCCTTTTATTTATTTATCTTAATTTATATAAATTTAAGAAGTACGAGTGTAATTTTGTCATGTGGATATATTGTGTAGCGGTGAAGTCTGGGCTTTTGGTAGATCCATCACCCAGATAATGTACATTGTCCCCATTAAGTCATCTTTCATCATCCACCCCCTCCCCACATACCCCTAGCCCTTCTGAGTCTCCAATGCTTGTCATTCTACGTCTATGCTTACACATTATTTAGCTCCCACTTACAAGTGAGAACATAAAGTATTTGACGTTTTGAGTTGTTTCACTTAAGGTAATGACCTCCAGTTCCATTCATTATGCTGCAAAAAACATAATTTCATTTTTTATGGCTGAATAGGATTCCATTGTATATATACCACATTTTCTTTATTCAGTCATCTGTTGATGGACACTTAGGTTGATTCCATATCTTTGCCATTGTGAGTACTGCTACAGTAAACACATGAGTGCAGATGTCTTTTTGATATAACGACTTCTTTTCCTATGGGTAGAAACCCAGTGGTGGGATTGTTGGATTCATACAAATATACCAAATTTATTTTTTCTTTTCCTTTGGGTAGAAACCCAGTAGTGGGATTGTTGAATTTATATAAATATACAAAATTTATTTTTATATATGTATTATATAAAAATACATGTATATAAAGTACATGTATAATGCATATATTCATATATTTTTATATGTTATGCAAGGGTTATATTTTAGAGCCTTATGGTTTCATGTTTTATGGCTCAACCTATCTGTTTTGTGTCTTGATAGAACAGAGCCTCCATCATTGTGGGTCTCCTATATCTTACTCTCCTGAGATGAACTCCTTTGCTCTAAAAGTTTTTACTAGTTTATAGAAATATTTACAAAAATTCATTTGGTTAAGGACTCATTCATTTCAGAGGTCTAGAAGATTGTCTCCTGAGGAAACACAGTACAGCTTCAGAATCATTACTCGGCGATCCCTTTGAGCGCTTCTCTGAGTTTACTCGACAGACAGATTCATTTTCCAACAAACCCTTTCTAAGCGTTTTGATTTAGCAATCAGAAGTCAGAGGGAACGTGGCACTTTTTTTTTTCATTGAGAATAGGCCTGTTTCAATTATATTTCAAATATTTAAATAGTTTTTGTGATGTCTTTGGGTGACTTTCTATACCTCGAGTGGCCATTTACTAACATATATATACATGTATATATATGTGTATATATATATATTTGTGTGTATACAAATATATATATATATATATATATATATATATATATATATATATATAGCCTTTGCATGGGTTCACTAGTAGTTCATTTCAGACCATAATTTATCTATAGATGAAATAAAAAACAGGTTTTCTTTTTATTAAGTTAGATGGGAGCCAGGTCAGGTAGGAAGTTGGTTCTTGAGAATAGAATGTGTGTGAAGCAGCTCATCAAGAAGAAGAAAGCAAAAGCAATATCCTGAGAATGCGCTTGTTTTGGGAGAATGTGCATGGTAGTGGTGAGGAGCTCAGCATGGCTCTGCCCGATGACCTCTCCAGGTCGGTTTTCCACAGTTGCCTCTCAAATGTCCTTAAATGTTTAATTACACCTTATACTAAGCTATGTTGGGAACACAATTCTGGGATTGTTTCAATTCTCTTAAAGGCAGACAATTGTGTATATGGTTATGTTTACCAAGACAAAGCATAGGTCTAATGAATCTTTAAAAACCAAAGGCACATTTGTACAAGGAGAAGATTGGAAATGACTTAAACTGAATTGTGCAATTTAAATACACGCACAGGAAGGAGAGAGGGAAGGAGGGAGAGAGAGTGCATGTGCTTAGCTAAGAGTTCCGTATCTATACCTATAATAACATCTATATCCTTGTATTTTCCACTAAAGAACTGAGGTAGCTTAACTTACCAATAAAACCTCGGAAACTAAAATCACATTATACATAAGGATAATATGTGATTTTAAAGAAAATATCCATCATCAAGAAACAAAATAAAAAGAGGCAAGAAGCAAAGCTCTCCAGAAAAACAGCTAAACATAAACATCCAGGCCACAAAATGTGTTTCTTCATGGCCAAAGTTAAAATGGAAACATGACAATTATGTTATAAAGACGGTAAATAACACCTCCTCAGGAGAACCGAGCTTTTTCTACCTCATAGCTCTAAAATAAATTTCTTATATGGAATTTTACATTAAAGTGCTCTAAACGAGTTTCTTACTATAAAAGCTAACATTATAATACCAAAAGGTAACCCAGCGAAAACATTTAAGGTGGACAGACAGACTAGCAGGGTAGCAAGGAAATTTGGCCGAACATCCTCTATTCCATGGTTCGACTTCAACCAACAAGACAAGTGAGCATATGATGGAATAGATGGACAACAAATCTTCCCAATCATTCCTCTTTTTTTTTTTTTTTTGTTATGATGGAGTTTTGCTCTGTCACCCAGGCTGGAGTGCAGTGGCACCATCTCAGCTCACTGCAACCTCTGCCTCCAAGGTTCAAGCTGGTCTCCTGCCTCAGCCTCCTGAGTAGCTGGGATTACAGGCTCGCACCACCACACCCTGCTAATTTCTTTTTTTAATTTTATTTTTAGTAGACACGGGGTTTCGCCATGTTGGCCAAGCTGGTCTTGAACTCCTGACCTCAGGTGATCCGCCTGCCTTGGCCTCCCAAAGTGCTGGGATTACAGGCGTGAGGCACTGCGCCCGGCCTCTTCCCAATAATTCCTCCCTAAATATCACTTCTCCCAAATGGGGACTTGGGGTATAATGAGCAAAAGATTCATTTATTAGAAGAAAGATCTTTGTCTTTTCGTATAGATAGAATACCATATTCACATGTATTAGAGTCATGCATATAGTCCGAGATACGTATGGAATCATATAAACAGTGGGCAGGTGTCATTCATTTATTCATTCACGGGCACTGCATTGTAGAGTGCTGCGTTAGGTATTTTCTTAAGCTATGTTTATGAATAGTAAATTTACAGATGATTTCAGTATGTGTTTATTTCATACCAAAAGTTGGTCCTGCTAAAAATGATTTTAAATGTTTTGGTTTTGACCCAAATATCTTAAGTATCTCTAATTAACTTCCTAATGTCTGTAGAGAGGGTTTATTTAAAAAACTTTGAGAAATAAATAAAATTTTCCCAGTTTTGGATAGAGTGGCATATTAAATCTGGAGATGCATAAAGCAAATCATTACTTATAAAAATAAACAGGCCAGGCGTGGTGGCTCAGGCCTATAATCCCAGCACTTTGGGAGGATGAGGCAGGCAGATCACCTGAGGTCAGGAGTTTGAGACCAGCCTGAGCAACAAGGAGAAACCCTGTCTCTACTAAAAATACGAAATTACCCAGGCATGGTGGTGCATGCCAGTAGTCCCAGCTACTCAGGAGGCTGAGGCAGGAGAATCACTTGAACCCAGGAGGCGGAGGTTGCAGTGAGCTGAGATTGTGCCACTGCACTCCAGCCTGGGCCACAGAGCGAGACTCCGTCTCAAAAAAAAAATGGGAGTGGACCACATGGTGTGACCTGCCCCAGTTGAGCACTGCCCTAAAATAGTTTGGATGGTCACTTGGTGCTCACACAGAGTATGAGAAGGAGGCAGAGGGTCCTCTCTTTGCTGGGCCCAGAGGAGATTGTGTTGATTCTCATGACAGCAGGGCACTTATTTTTGTTTGAAGGGCCCTGACTACCTTATTTGTCTTGCAGTTGTTCCCTTTGACTTGGAAATTCATATTGGGTCACTACTTAGTTCATAAACACACCTACAAAAAGACAGAAGAGGCCGGGCCTAGTAGCTCATGTGTGTAATCCCAGTGCTTTGGGAGGCTGAGGTGGGAGGATTGCTTGAGGCCAAGAGTACAAGACCAGCCTGGGCAACTTAGTAAGACCGCACCTGTAGAAAAACATATTTTAAAATGTATTAAAGAGAGAGAAGAAACAATGACAACCTAATTCAAACTCAAATGTTAACCATTTTGATAGGTGTATCATTATGCTTCAGAAATGGAATACCGTTATGACTGTTATGTTTGTTTTAGGAAGGGAATACTGTTTTGCTCTAAATTCCAGCATTTGCAAGTGAGAGTCATTTTTCAGAGCCAAAACATTTTAGTAGACCTCTGTATAAAAATAATACAGCTTTTAGTATCTCTTGAGAAGATAAAACACTACCATAAATAGTATATTTAAGTAGTTTTCCATACACCCTTAAATGATTGTTACATACACAAATCTGTACATTTACATGTATTGTATATGTTTATATTTGTATAGATATAAAAATGAGCTCACTTTAGCCATTATTTGATGAACCCTGTGTTTCCCTGGGGTTTTTTGGCCCCCAGCTTGGGGAAGCCTGCTCCACTGGAGTAAGACAGACTACTTCAGATGGTCTGGTAGGCTGGCACTGTTTCTTTCTTTCTTTCTTTCTTTTTTTTTTTTGACAGAGTTTCACTCTTGTTGCCCAGGCTGGAGTGCAGTGGTGCAATCTTGGCTCACTGCAACCTCTGCCTCCCAGGTTCAAGCGATTGTCCTGCCTCAGCTTCCCGAGTAGCTGGGACTATAGGCATGCGCCACCACGCCTGGCTAATTTTGTATTTTTAGTAGAGACAAGGTTTCTCCATGTTGGTCAGGCTGGTCTCGAACCCCCGACCTCAGGTGATCCACCTGCCTCAGCCTCCCAAAGTGCTGGGATTACAGGCATGAGCCACTGCGCCCGGCCTATTTCTTTTACCCTTGGAGGTAGTTGCACTTCTCACTTGGTTCAGTCTCGTTTGATGTCCTGAGCTTTGCCATAACTCCCTGGGAAACTGCTTATTTTTATACTTTCTCTTTTATTTTAGTCTCTTGAAATATCAAATACCACAATACCAAAATCAGATGTACGGTTGCCTCACATAACCCTTGATGTTTATAAGTTGCTTTTGTCATTGTGCGGCATGCACTGTTATTTATCTAATCAGCATTTCAGGGAAACACCAAGTCAGAGGAACTTTCTTCCTGTTCCTAACCGCCTTTGAGATATTACATACAGGCCAAGTACCACAGGCAGGGAGGCTTTTTACCGTTCTTACAGAGAGGCAGGTGTCTCTCCACAGTCCAAAGCCTGAAGAGGCCACTGCCACCCAGTAAGATGATTCTTCTGTCCAGCTTTCAAGTCCATCCACTACCCCTGGAGTAAGGTGGGACACACCTTCAATGAACTTAGATCTTCCTCCCAGCCTCTGTCCCCATTTCTAAAGTGCACAAATACATAGTCCCAATCCTGTGACGTTCCTTCCCGCACACAGACGAAGATCCTGCTGCTCTTATACTGTAAGGGTGGTAGACATTAGGCAGGTCTTTTTCTCTCAGAAACCATGTTCACAGTTAATTAATAAGATTATACATCCATAAGTTAAATTTAGAAAACTGAAGTCATGATAAGAGACCACAGTTCTCAGGTAAGTAAAATTCCTATCTCAAAGTAGTTTTAAATGAATGTACGGTGGTTTCTAGATTAAAAAATAATAATAATTATGCAATTGCCAAGAGAGTAAATTTCCAGAGGAATGGGTATTTTTGCTGTATAAGTATTCTTGGAGGGCAAATAAGACCGAATCTACAGGCCACTAGTTTTCTAAGTCAAGTATGATCTTAACAGAATGCCACAGTAATTATCCTGTAGTTCTCTGCATGCTCTGTTGATTTTAATACTTTTGATAACTTCCATTCAGTAGTTCCCTTGAACATGAATCCTTTACAACCAAAGCCAGGTTTGTAAGTTTCAAGGTTATCGTGCAATCTGAAACTCGGAAAGATCATCACAGGGTCCTTACAGCTACCCACATAGGCCATTCCATCGTTATCCTGGCTTAATGAATTATCAGTCCAAATGCAAAGACATAGCCTGAAGAGAATACATGGAACTCAATTATTTCATTATTTAACGAATGCATTCCAAAAAAACATATCTGGCGGTGGCAGGGGGGAGAGCTAGACAAGCAGGTATCAGAGGGACCCCTCTTTTTGAGGGGAAAGGAATTTTGAAGGCTCTGTACTGACCAGAAACTTGGCCTTCCCCACAATGTTGTTCCAGATAGTCATGGGTGACTTCTTCCTACTGGCCTCATGTATCCACATGTCAAGCCAAAGTGGAGAGAAAAGAAATGTATGAATCATGATGATATTGGTAATAATAGAACCTCCTACAACTTACTGAGTATCTGTCAGGCACTATGTCACATGCTTTACATTTATTATCTCTAAACCTCACACTAATCTTAAAGAGCCCAAGATTTTTCTCAATTAGCCATGAAACATTTTGACTTTAAAATCTACAGATATCAAATCATTTCCTATGGCATGCCCCCCCAAAATCACTATAAAATATAAAGCTGTGTTTTAGGTCTTTTAGTTGTGTTTCTTTCAGTGCTTTAGTAGAAATAATGATGGCTGATATTTGTTACATGCATATTTTGCTCCGGGAAGGCACCCCCTGAGAACCTTCCATGGACTTAATACTCACAGCACCCCATGGAATCAGTGCTTTTAGTTTTCTCAGTTCACAGATGAGGAACCTAGACTTAGTTAAGTGACTTCTGTGAAGGCATGCCTGTGGCAAAGCCAGGTTCCAACTCAGCGATTATGACGTCAGAACAGAGCTTTTATTTACTTTGCCATAGAATTAACATCACGGTTGGGAATATTGGATGAATCCCAGTGCAGCTAAACCAACTGCTGTCAGCAGAGGTGAACTGAGGTAATATACAAAATCGATAACACAGGAAATGTTCTAGCAGCTTTAGCAAGATCCAGAAAGCAATCAGGACTGAACATGCATGTTGCTCCTTTCTTTTTCTTTTTTTTTTTTTTTTAAGTAAAAACACCATTTTTATCTCTAACCTCTTCCTCACACAGAGGCTATAGAATTCCCCATGTAAGTTTTTGCCCCATCCTCTCTCCAGACCAATTATTGAAGTTAGTCTTCCCAAGATGACAACTGATCAAAAGATTCATGTAATAAAACTCTAATTTCATAATAAGGATTTTTCACAATTTGAAAATGCCCTCACCTTAAGATGTTGAGGAACTTGGTTCAGTTACTTCACAGGCCATTTACTCTCCAACTGCACAGCTGGAATTGCTTCCTTTTCAATTTCAGCCTTCTGAAAGATGGTCTTTCCATATTGTCCTTAATAACTATTTTAGACCCTACAGCCTCTAATATTTTAATTAATTCTTACTCATCCTAATATACTAGAAAATATATAAATAAAAAATTTAAAATTGTCATTGTGTCTTCAAGTATTAAAAGTAGGACTCAGAAACTGAACTTTAAAAAAGTAATATTTCAAAGTGATATTTTCTTCAGCAGTGATATCACAAGAAACATTTTTAACCCAGATTTTGAAGAATGGATAGAAGTATACTAATATGCTTTTAAAATACTATTTCCTGCTGTAATTCACAAAGAAGAGAACAAACTAATCAAGTAATAGTTCTGATTTATCAATAATCTACTTAATAGCCTTTTTTATAGTAGATCTTTCTTATGATTTCTATACTTTATTTTTACTAAGGGGCTGCTATTTCATATTTTATAAAACAGAAGACTCAACAGAAATTAAGTTAAATTAAATTAACAGAAAGCCTGCTTTTTAACCACAAAACTCAGGTTTCAAATGATTTGGTTACATGAATTTTCTGACCAACTTAACTTTAGCTTTAATAGCTTGTTAGTTTCAGTACTTGTCTTCATAAGACTTGTCCAGTAAATTCACATATATTTTGCTCTGCTAAGGAGCTTGTAATTCATTGTTCGAAACCCTGATAATTATTTCAACATTTGCCTTAATGAGAATAATTTAGCAAATATAAATTTATCTTTGTATGCTAATCAAAGATATTATAATTCATTGTAAGAAATTCCAATTGTTAAAAGCTCTATAGACATGAGTATTTGGGTGATTAGTATAAATATAGAATAACCCCCAAACAGCCCCTTGATATTTTTAAAATATTTCTGCCATAAGTTTATTTTATTATAAATTTTCCTCTTCGGCCAGGCGTGGTAGCTCACACCTGTAATCTCAGCACCTTAGGAGGCCGAGGCGGGCGCATCACCTGAGGTTGGGAGTTTGAGATTAGCCTGACCACCATGGAGAAACCCCGTTTCTACTAAAAATACAAAAAATTAGCCGACCGTGGTGGCACATGCCTGTAATCCCAGCCACTCATGAGGCTGAGGCAGGAGATCGCTTGAACCCAGGAGGTAGAGGTTTCGGTGAGCCGAGATTGTGCCATTGCACTCCAGCCTGGGCAACAAGAGTGAAACTCCATCTCAATTAAAAAAAAAAAATTCTTCTTCAACATTTTGGGTAAGGCAAGGAGAAAAATCAAATTTGGAAACATAGTCTACACAGTATATGTATTCCGAAAAGATAGATATAAATTGAATTTTGTAAATGGCATCATAATTTAAAACTGACTAACAAAATACTGGTGCTAATTCTTTAGGAAAAGAAATAAATGCAACCTAGTTTATCTACCTTGTTTCATGCAATTGAGATTGCAAATGTTAGATATGTGCAAAATGAGGTCAGTCTTTACACAGAAAGAGATAGCTGTCCATAAACAATGTTTTAGACAACTTGATAATTGCACTGCCTTTTGGACTATCCTTGGGCTGTAGATTAAAAGCAGTCTGTAGTTTTAGTGACTGAATCAGATTCTTGGTCTGAAATATAATTCTCTCTGTCTCTCTCTCTCTCTGTTTCCCTGTCTCCCTCTCCCTCCCTCTCTCTCTCCCACTCATACGTACAAATACACAAAGTATTTCAGTAAATTGTAGGCAGTTTCTTCCAACTCATCTAATCACACATTTTGCAAATAGAAAAATATTGGGTATGTAATTCACATTTGTCTTGGTATCACTGCCTTTGCTATATTTTTTGAATTTTTTTTCTCTCTCTATATAACCTGTTTTCATCTGTTCTTGGTTTTGTCCTAAATTATTTCACAATTAATGAGAAATGGGATTCTATCACTTTGCAAATAACCATCTCTATAACCTAGTAGTCTTCATTATTTTATGCATGGAATGTTTTTAGGTATGACTTACAGAGCTGGCTTCTTTGATCTTCATATAAATCCAAGTTGAGTTCTCTTTGATAAGAGAACTGGGACTTGTACTTGACTGGAGAAAGTCCCGTTGTTAACCTAAAGGCTGTGTGGTTCACTGCTGGGTGTCAGTATGGAACGGGTAGCTCTATTATTTCTCACAAGTTAGGATCTAGCCAATTTAATATTTTACTCTCAAGTATAGTAACTTATTTGTCCTATGTACTTCACTGCCTTTTTACTTATGAACGATTGTCTGCCTCTAAATTTCTTTTAGCTATCTTCTCCTTTCTTCCCCTTCTTCTTTTTATTTTTAGAGATGGGTTCTTACTATATTGCCTGAGCTGGAGTGCAGTGGCTATTCACAGGTGTGATCATAGCACACGACAATCTGAAACTCCTGGGCTCAGAGATCTTCCTTCCTCAGCCTCCTTAGTAGTTGAGACTACAGATGTGTGCCACCATGTGCAGCTGTCTCCTCCTTTCTAGTGCCGTTGCCTCTATCTTAGATCAACCCTTACCTGTTTTCCTCCAGGCTGTGGCCACAGCCTAACTCATTTTCATATTTCCAACTTTACCCCCTTCTAATAAGTCTTCCATGGCGTCCAGTATGGTAACCATTTGCTGAGTGCTTATGACTGTAAAGAACGTGCGAAGCCTGAAGGTATAATACTCGTTGGGCTCTACTGTAACACTTGGCTCCCCCAAACACAAGTCTACTTATTCAGATACAATTTGTTAAGGAGAGCTCTTTATTTTTCCAACTCTGGATATCAAGCCCTTGACTCAACTAGACAATCTTGGCTCTGGGAGTGCCTGGGCATGTTGCGTAGTTGGTTGTTAGGTGGGTTTAAACTCAGTGCTGAGTATGCCTGTCAGGGTCCCAGCCTCTGGGGAGGCTGAGGGGGGAGGATCGCTTAAACCCAGGAGGCTGCAGGGATCCATGATCACGCCACCGCATTCCACCCTGGGTGAAAGAGTGAGACCCTGTCTCTTAAAAAAAATAAAAATAAACTCGCTACTTCACAAAATGAAAAAGATTTTCGAGAACGACAGAATCTACACTCTAAAATAAAAAATATGTCCAAATCCCTGTGCACACTTAAACACAGAGAACGGGTCCTGATGACAGTCACCAATTCTTCGAGACCTTAACCATCTGACTAAGGAGTAGCCTCTGCCTGTCCCAGCTTGGATTATCCGCTGTGTGTCCCAAATGCTGTTATCTAGACCGGACCTGGTGCTTCTTACCTCCAGCCATTGCCTGTGAATGCTGGGAGGGGCTGTACCGGGCAGCACCATCTCTTTCTCCTGTGAGCACTCTGTCAGAGGCTGCCCTGATTCCTGTCTCCTTTGTTCCAGATCAGGCTGCTCTGAAAATTAGTATTGCCTCTGCACACTGTGATCATGGAAGAGATTTTAGGTTCCTTGCTTGAAGTATGAGCTTAAAAAAAAAAATCTCTCATTGAACCAAAGCATGATAGGTTTTGTGTAGTTCCATTAACATCCCCTAGGCAAGAGTGGATCAGGATGTTGCCATTAAACACGTCATCCACAATATCGTGTGGGTTATACTAGCATAATCGCCTTTTAGATTTATGCTCTGTGCACCTTTATTAAATCTCACCATGCCTTGGCCTCTACAGTGAAGCTCACGGTATCCAAATAACATTCTCTGCTTTTTCTAAAGATTTGGGTATTACCTCCTGCTAAACTGACGCCCTCTCCATACCACTCTGCATTTTATTTCTATTACTTCTTCAATTTTTTTCCCAGAGGTAAAGACAAGCAATAAGGCTGAGATGCAAATCAACGTAGCCGCTAGTTAGTTTCATTTGCGTTTTGGTAGTCATTATTTTGTTCTTATTTTGCCACCCGTTACTGACTAACCCCAAGCAACACTGCCTCCAAAAACACGAGCAATGATTCTTGATGTTTTTATTTTCCTCACCCAGTCTTTCATCGTCCAGTGAATAGAGTGTGATTGATTTAACTTCTAAATATATGTTTGGGAAATTTTCCCTTTCTTTTCTTCCTTACAGACATGGTGCTAGTTTGAGCCTTTCTTATTTTTGACATCAACTGTCAAACTTTCTTTCTAGTTTCCCTGCTTATGTCCCCTACCGTTCATTTCCCCTCCACTTAATTGCTAGAATGATCCATTTAGAATATGTCTTAAAATTGTCAATGGCTTAATATGTGAATGAGTTTCTTTGGCTATCACACAATCTTGCCCTTTCAGCTTGTTTTGCCTTCAGGCAGTAATGGGATGTCAATCAGAAAACAGTCATTAAAGGCACAAGTTTATTTAGACGTCAAAAAGTGGTTGGATTATAGTCACTTTGCTTAGATGGAATGTTAGCCCCTGCTGTGGAGCTATCCAACTCCTGAGCTTTTTTGTTTGTTTGAGACGGGGTCTTGCTCTGTTGCCCAGGCTAGAGTGCAGTGGCATGATCTTGGCTCACTGCAACCTTTGCTTCCTGGGTTCAAATGATTCTTGTGTCTCAGCCTCCCTAGTAGCTGGGATTACAGGCACCTGCCACCACATCCTGCTAAATTTTTTTTTTTGAGTGGAGACAGGGTTTCACCATGTTGGCCAGGCTGGTCTTGAACTCCTGACCTCAGGTAATCTGCCTGCCTCGGCCTCCCAAAGTGCTGGGATTACAGGCGTGAGCCACTGCACCCAGCCTAACTCCTTAGCTTTTTGAACGCCCTCTCGTGCTGGTTTGAACCTTAGCCATCTGTGTTCCGTGACTTTCTATACCTGTTGTAGGCTGTGGAGCATACCTGTTTCAGACTGCAGTAGTTATGGTTGTGTCAGGGCCTAGGAGAAATTTTCCCTTCACCCTCTGAAGGTTCGCTGAAAAATCAACTCACAAAAGGCAGATTCATTTGAGAAAAGATGTACAAATTTTCTTAATGTGTACATAGGAGCCTTCAGATTGAAGACCCAAAGATACAGGGGAAACTGTCCATTTTTATGCTTAGGTTTAACAAAGTATGGGCAGCTGTGTAGGCATAGGATTGGACGAAAGGGTGTGGTCTAATGCGAATAGACTGAGTGGGGACACCCAGCAAGGCCTGTCTGTCCAGATTCTTGCTGGCCTCTCTGGTCAGCTTTCCTTCCTTCTGGTGTGGGGTGGGGCCCTCTCTGGAATCGGATCTCATACCTACACTCAAACAAGGTGGGTCAGAGAGTGTCTTTATCGCCAGTTCTTACCCAGAAAGGCGGAGCGAAAGTTAGAGTAATACTTTTAGGTTTTAAGGCTGGCTCTGGGGCAAAGGGGTTGTGGTTACTGTGACGGTCCTGGAGGAAGAGGGATTCTGGTTTCTATATCTGGCCTCAGGGGAGAATTGGGCTGAGGAACCGGAAGGCAGAAGTGAGCAGAGAGAAGCTCTTGCTTCTGAGGCTGTCATCTGGGGTACTGTTTCCTGAGCCTCCGCAATTGCTGCAGATGCTGCAGCTTTTCCAGTAGCTCAGTAATACAACCAATCACTGACGTGCTTTGTAATACAACCAATCACTGACATGTGCTTTTTTTTTTTTTTTTGGCCATGTGTAAGCAGCATTTGTAATTTAGGGCAGGTATCACTGGCATCACTGGGAAACTTGAGGGCAACGCACCACCCAGTGGCTTGGCTTTTCCCAGTGGAGCCTCCTCCACCAAGAACTCTCTGCAGAGGACATGGCTCTTTGTTAGGGGCACACACCAGGGGCCACAGAGCACCCCCTGCCAATCATCCTGTTACACTACACAGTAGTTCTGTGTTTAGAAAAGAGCAGTGAATTGAAATAAGAAGTAAGGAATTTCCATATGTCAAAACCCAGTTACTAGCTGTTTGTTTATTTATTTATTTTGAGACAGAGCTTTGCTCTTGTCACCCAGGTTGGAGTGCAGTGGCGCGATCTTGGCTCACTGCAACCTCTGCCTCCCGGATTCAGGGGATTCTCCTGCCTCAGCCTCCCGTGTAGCTGGGATTACAGGCGTGCACCAACAAACCCAGCTAATTTTTGCATTTTTAGTAGAGACGGGGTTTCACCATGTTGGTCAGGCTGGTCTTGAACTCCTGATCTCAGGTGATCCACCTGCCTCGGCCTCCCAAAGTGCTGGCATTACAGGCGTCAGCCATCTCGCCTGGCCAACATGTCTAAATCCTTTCTCTGAGGATTTGTATCTAATTCAGAACCCGTCAATGCCAAAAATTACCCCTTTTCTTTAAGTGCATTTCTTTATGCATGAATCCATTTCAGTCTGTCTTTCCTACCTATTTCCCATGACAAATTCCAAAATGAAATTGCTGTGGAATCCACTGGAGTATTTGTTATATACAAGTTGGTTAAGTGAGATTCTTTGGCCTAATCCGGAGCTTTTTTTGGCCTATGAGCATTTGATCCTTGTTCAGAGCTGGATAATTGTGGTCAATGGGATTTCTACTCAATGAGATTTCAAACTCCATCACTCTCATACACTCCCTTTTCCTGGTCCTTACTGATCATTCTCTCTGGCTAATTTTAATCCAAATGAAATTCTGTGCTGAGAATTTGGGACCAAACTTTTCCGATAATAATATTTTCAAAAGAAAACAATGAAGGGATTGGCCAGAATTATTTGAAAATTAAATTCTTTCAGGAAAACTATAATTTGCCCACATTTTACTTCTCTGAAAAAGAAATTGTTAATGTTACAGTGTGACAAAGTCACTGTTCTTCAAGTTTCTTATTGTTGAGGCAAAGTTCTCAGAGAAGAACCCTAGTCCTTCATTCTCAGCTGACCTGTCCGGGCCAATCAGCAGAAAGTACTGTCTAGGACCACAGACACTGAGACCTGACTCTGAGCAAGAAGGCAGCCGGGCACTGGGCCCGGTGCACCCGGGATCCTGGCGGGGGTGATGCCACTGCCATGCAGCACCAGGTGTCGCCCGGGCGCCATGACCGCTGCATCTGCTGCAGCAGAACGGATGCTCACGCCGCTGCCACTTTCCTCCACTGCCCTCACCTCCTTGGCTTATTCATTCCCACTGGAGATCTGAACCTAAGTCGAGCTTCGGTTATGAGGACAAGGGAAGACTTACCTGGTCTTCTTGGATTCTGTGTTGGGATGGATCAATAGAGTAGAAGTTTGGATGGTAGGGAATTACGCAAACATACAGACAAGGAGTTCAGGAGGTGCTGTGACACCAAAACAAGTCCTCTGTACCTTGGCCCTGACTTAGTTCACTGCTGTTGCTTCAGTGGCATCAGGGCTTGCCCTGTCACTCATAAGAGAGGTAGGCTGAGAATGAGAATTTTGGCCCCCGGTGGGCCTATCGTCCTAATTCATTCTTCTTTCTTGTCTGTGTCATGGATTCTTAGAAGCACACAACTAGTAAATCACATGTTTTCAAGTCTAAAATTAAAGTAAGTGTGCAAAGCCATGTGATCAGATGAAGGGGTCATTAAAACACTGATGCCTGGCCATACATGGCAGCATGGACATGGGCCCAGCCGGGGTGTCAGGAGGCATCCCCGGCTCAGTCACTGGCTCCCCGTGTGATCATGCCCCTCCTGTCTGTGCTTCAGGAAAGTGCTAGGCTCCGAGGAGCTGGTCTCCAGGCCTCCTTCATTCTCTGAGAGTCTGTGATTTTCAAGTCACAGTGATGTTTGCTGAGGGAGTGGGTTGCATCATCTGGGATGATGGTGTGTTTTGTTCTTTTGTGGGGACTGAGGTGGCAGCTCTCTTTGGCATAAGCTGAGCTGTGTCAGCGCAATGGAGCTGATTGGCTGAACCTCAAAAGCAGACCCCAGAGAGATATTGATTCTGACAGTGCAGCAATTACAGGGAGGCACTGGTGCCTTGCGAGGTAAGACATCTGGGTGCTTGTGACACGGCTGGTCAAGTCTTCAGTGTAACATGTGATGTAATTGGTATGGACAGAGGGGCTCTGGGTTCAGACCATTCTTAAAAGGAACTGGAGATTATGTCTGTAAAACTGAAAACCTACACAGAAATTTTCAAATCGATTTTTATTTTTGATGATTACTACTAATAAAAATGACTATCTCTGTTTATTTTTTTTTTTACTTCTGAAGCCAACCAATTTGTTGGAAAATCAGTCAAAATCTAATTTTGATGTTCTGCAAGTTCCCTGGGGGCCATGAAGCACCTGGTGAGTCTCACGCCCACTTTTCCCCAACACCTGCCAACATTTTCTTCTGTGTTTGATCCTTTTGCTCTTGTCTTTTTCATATTTTTCCTTCAATATGTTCCCATAATGTCTTTGCTCTTTTAAAACATGCATATTTCTGTGGTTCTATTGAAAGAAACCGGAATATTTTACCCTAAAATATGCTTCTTTGGCATATTTCGAGATCGGTATTCAGAGGGGCTGGAGAACACAGGAATAGCTCTGAAAAGCTGTCCTTTGTGAGGCAGATTTGCATCTGTAGGGAAAATCTGCATTCGGGAGGTAGACAGACCATGCAGACAGGCTCCGAGGCACCCTTGTCTTCCTCATCCGGATCTAGGAAAGGTTAACTCATGGGAAAAAAAGGCTAAAGTCTGACGCTGCTGAAGGTCTGATAGAGACTTTTACCCCATTCCCATCTGCTCTTCCTGAGGGCAGCTCCAGGGTTATAGGAGAGTTTTATCCACATAACAAGACACCGTTTGCTCACCAGGCTTACCTGCCTTCACTCTCCCATAACCTTGTTGCCTCCTCCCCCGGGGAACCCCTAGCCCCTGTTCCTTCCATCGCCTGGAATGGAAGATAGTCTAAAAACTTCAGTCAGCTGACCCTTTTTTGAGTCTCATGTTTGTGGGACTCCCATGTCCATGGGCATGTTAATAAATTCACATGCCCTTCTGGCTGTTAACCTGTCTATTGTCAGTTTGTTTTATGGACTCAAATTATCAAACCTTCAGAAGCTGGAGGGAAGAAAATTCCCTTCACCTCTACGCTATCTATTCCAGATTTAACATCCATGAGTGAGGTGCTGAAGGGCCCGGGTCTCCCAGTATCTTGGAGAATAATGAAGTTTGACAAGCTCCAGCCCTGCTAGTGGGTGGGCTCCAGCCCAGGAAGCAGCTCCCAGAGCCTTTGCTCCAGCGCGGCAGTGGTGCTGTCTGGTGTATTGCAGCCCATGCATCCCGCCTACCCCAGGCTCACACTCGCAGATGTTATGATCCCATGTCAAGCCCTCTCACCACACATCACTCTGGAATACAGGGCAGCAGAAGACAATCCATTTCCTAGTATGATAAGGCCTTTCTGTCTCTTCTTTCTTCCTCCTCATTCCACAGCATAGCAACCCCAGTGCCTTCCCCTACTCTGTGCCTGATTATCTCTTTCTTCCTTCTCCTCCACAGCTAGCATCCTTAGAAAATTCAAGACCAGTAATTTCACTAGCTCTCAATAGTAATCGGAGTGTTCAAATCACAGAAGAATATATTATGTAGTTCCCTATTCTTGTTTTTTTCAAGGCTATAATTTTCTTGTTCACTTGCTCAAGGTTTCTCCCCATTCTCATTTTCTAAATAACATAAAATTGACCATTTTAGCCATTTTTAAGTGTACAGCCATAAGGCCTTAAGTGTATTCACATTCTTGGGCTACCGTCTCTGCCATCCATCTGCAAAATTTTTTCATCTTCCAAAACTAATACTGTGTACCCATTAAACAATAACTGGCCACCTCACCCTAGCCTCTGGCAACCACCATTCTACTTTCTGTCTCTGCGAGTTTGACTTCTCCAGGTACTTCATTATGATTGGAATCATACAGGATTTTTCCTTCTGTGTCTGGCTTACTTCACCATGCACACTGTCCACAAAATTCATCCATGTTGCGACATGTGCCAGGATTTCCTTCCTTCTTAAGGTTAAATAATATTCTGCGATATGTATGCACCACGTTTTGTTTACCCATTCACTTGTCCATGGACCCTTGAGTTGTTTCCACCTTTTGGCTATTGTGAATAAGGTTGCTGTGAACATGGGTGCATAATCAAAGTCCTTATCAGTAGAATCGAATCTATGGGAATGCTGACATTGCTCTGGGGAATAATTAACATGGATTAATGTTTGCAAAAAGGAAATGTTGCAGAGCTCTCTAGTGGATGTTTTAAATTATGTCTCTCCTTTGCCCCTTAAAGATACATGATGCAATTCTAGAACATTAACAACTCCCAAGTTCCTTCATAGCTGGATATTTTCTTTAACCTCTTTATTCTTCTGTACACTCAGGTTAGTTTCTTAAAGCAATTGAAATTCTTGAGTTTACTTTGATGCTCAAAGATTTCTAGTATAAGCAGGAGGAGAAGAAATTAACTTAGCACCCAATCTAACATTTTATATAAAATGGAAAAATACTTTGGGAGACCGAGGCAGGCGGATCACGAGGTCAGGAGATCGAGACCATCCTGGCCAAGATGGTGAAACCCCTTCTCTACTAAAATACAAAAAATTAGCTGGGTGTGGTGGTGTGTGCCTATAACACTAGCTGTTCACGAGGCTGAGGCAGGGGAATCCCTTGAACCCGGGAGGTGGATGTTGCAGTGAGCCAAGATCGCGCCACTGCACTCCCAACCTGGAGACAGAGCAAGACTCTGTCTCAAAAAAACAAAAAAGTTATTGTAACCACCTGATGGGCTCTTCTTGCCCACTACACAGACAAAACCAATTCACTGAGACTATGGCATTGCAATAGTTTAATTGGCACAAGACTGGCCACAGCACGTAGGAGATAGAGTTATTGCTCAAATCAATCTCTGCCAAAATTTGGAGACTAGGGTTTTTCAAGGATAGTTTGACAGGCCAGGGGGTCTCCTTGTGAGTGAGGCCTCATAGCTGGTTGGTGGGTCCGAGTGGAGCCATTGGTGGTCAGAAGTGCAAAAACCTGAAAAGACATTTCAAAAGGCCAGTCTTAGGTTCTAGTACACAATAGTGTTGCTATCTGCAGAAATAATTGAGCACGTTGAAATCTTGTTTCCTCTAGGATAATGGCTGATAATTGTGTACGTCTGTTCCTTAACATAATTCAGGTCCCTCATTCTCCTAACCTGTGTTCTTGTATTAGTTTTGCAAAGGCCGTGTAGGTTTGGGAAAGGCTGTCATGCCCAGGAATGACTAAAGGCGGTTTGGAGGTTAAAGGCAAAGTGGGGATTGTTTAGATACGTTCTCTTTCACTGCAATAATTTTCTCACTGTTACTATTTTTGCAAAGGTGATTTCATTATGATGGCTTCTTGGGTTTAATTTCACAGATGCTAAAGTCCACTTACTTTTTTGTTTACTGACACAAAATAAAAAAGTATTAGAATAAGCAGAATTAAAAAACAAAGAATAAGCAGAATTAAAAAACAAAGAATAAGCAGAATCTGAAACTCATA